>NC_000002.12:98398708-98701739 GCF_000001405.40 Homo sapiens
CACACATTCCAAGAAAGTGACAAAGCCAAGTGCTGTTAAGGGCACAAACCAACAAGAACTCTCATTCATTGCTGGTGGGCATGCAATATTGCAATATGCAATATGGAAGACAATTTGGTAGTTTTTATAAAGTTAGGCATATGCTTTAGCATATGACCCAGCAATCACACCCTAGGTATTTACCTAAAAGAATTTGAAACTTATATGCACATAAAAACATGTATATAAATGTTGGTAGCAGCTTTATTCATTATTAACAAAAATCTGGAAGCAGTAATAATATCATTCAATAAGTGAATGGATAGATAAACAGTCAGGCGAGGTGGCGTGTGCCTATAATCCCAGCTACTAAGGAGGCTGAGAAGGGAAAATCATTTGAGTCCAACAGTTTGAGGACAGCCTAGGCAACATAGCAAGACCCTGTCTCTAAAAAAAAAAAAAAAAACGAAAGAAATAAAGAAAAAAGTAAAACAGTGGTATATTTATACAATCACCTATAATCAAATACTACTCAGGAATGAAAATGAATGAGCAATTGATCAAGGGAAAAAGATTCCATTTGTATGACATTCTGGAAAAGGCAAACAATAATGGTGGAAAACAGCTCAGCGGTTGCCAGGGGTTGTCAGGAGGTGTAGAGGCTGATTGCAAAGGAGATCACGGGGGAATTTTTAGTGTGATGGAACTGTTTTGCATGGTGTTGGGGTGGTGGGTATATGACTGTGCATTGTTCACTCTCACAGAACTGTATACCACAAAGAATAAACTGTAATGTATGAAATTTTAAAATATCAACCCGAATGTGGGCAATATAAGGATGGAAAGCAGATTGTGACAAATGAATCTAGCTATATTAGAAATATATGACATAACTTTACTGAAGGACATAGGGTAAAACAATGACCTAAGTAATGTTAAAAATGGTGCTTTGAGTAGAAACTAAGGCTAAAGATGAAAAGATGTGACATGAATACTGTACTCTAGTTGTAAATTTGTTTCACACGGGGATATGCGTTACTAATTCAGAATTACATTATACTATGGATGAATGCATGAATGAGGGAATAAATAAATAAATGTTTTAAAAAATGGAAGCCAGATTTATCATAGTCAGAAAAAGAAGTTACAAATAAGACCACACAAGATCAGAATGAACCCTGTGGTACTGGATTGAAATCAGACATTAGAATGAACTCACGTTTATTTATATATCCAGGTAGACAGATGCAGAAATGATTGTAGGTGTGTGTGTGTGTGTGTGTGTGTGTGTGTATGTATATATATGTTGGTATACATAGATATATTTCTAACTCTGTGTACCAAGAAGGCTTGGCAGTGATACCTATTACAAAGAGCACACCAAGCACCCAGATCTTGGTTTCCAAATATCTTTCTCCAATAAAAGGAACCAGGGCTGATTCTAGGGCTGAGACGGGGAAAATATACCATGAGCATGGAGTGTCTTGTAGTGCCGGAAAGTACTCAAAAAGCACAATGTTGGGGGGCAAGTGGCGATAGGGCTTTCTACATACACACACACACACACACACACACACACACACACACACACACAATGATGGAAGTAAATTAGAGGGACATAGCAACCAACCTGAAAGAGCTCCCAATGGCCAAAACTGAAGCCATTTGAAAAACAAAATTTTTAAATTTAGTATTAGACTATATCCCAAAGTATAAAAGTCCATGAGTCTATGCCATAAATGAATGATTGAATAAATAAATTAATGAGGGAGAAAGGACACATATTTTTTACAGAAGGATTCCAGATCATATATGTAGATTATTTGATACTTTCCACCCCAGGATGTAAAGCCTTATTGATGGATCTTGCACTCAGAACTGGAGCCAAGGATCCAGCAGCCTCTACACTGCCATGGGGGAACATAATGTCAATATCAACTGGTCATGTGAATGGGATTACAGTAAGGAGGTTGAGGTGGGAAAGTTATCCTGGATTTTCCAAGGGGACCTGATATAATCACAAGGATTCTGATAAGTGGGAGGCAGGAAGATCAGAGAGAGGAAGGCAATGTAACAATTAAAGAATATGTATTATTATTATGGTAGAAACTTCATTAAGATTTTTGAGATTCTGGAAAAATGGTGGTGGTGGCAGTGTAGTTTGTTGGGCTCTCTAAGTCCTCACATAAAACACAGCAAATAAGATAACAAATCTAAAGATCCACAGACAACATCTGACATCCCTGAGGATATGAAAACACCCAAATCACCAACAGGTGCTCACTAAAAAGCATGGAGAGCCTGTCTGAGAACAGCTGGAATTAAGGGAGATTCTGCAGGGATCAATTTGTGGGTGACAGCAAATTGACAATGATGCTGCAAGATTGATGTGCAGGGACACTCTCGGTGCTGCACACTCTGGATGTTCACAGAATAAAGCTTCTTTCTTTATTTGAGAAACATCTATTCAGATCCTTTGCCCATTTTTACATTGGGTTATTTGTTTGCTTGCTATTGAGTTGTTTGAGTTCCTTATATATTTTAGATATTAACCCTCATCAATGTATGGTTTGCAAATATTTTCTCTCATTCTGTAGGTTGTCTCTTCACTCTTGTTTGTTTCCTTGGCTGTGCAGAAGCTTTTTAGTTTAATGTAATCCTATTTGTCTATTTTTGCTTTTGTGGTCTGTGTTTTTGGGTTCACATCTTTAAAAATAATTTCCCAGATCAATGTCATGGAGGATTTACCCTATGTTTTCTTCTAGTATGAAAGAAGCTTCCTTCTAAGACAAAACCCCTCACTGAGAGACAATTTGGAGTAAAATCCAAATTGATCACAGGACAGAAACAGTAGTGACAAAGGAAAGAAAAAGTTTAGATAAAAGAGGGTAGAGAAGCAGAGGAGGTAGCACTACTTCATATATATTTTTATCACTTTGAGAAAACAGCCGAAGAGAGAATTAGAGAACTATGAAGTTAGAAAAAAGTAAATCATGCTCCATCTCTTCTCTCTAAAGTATAAGCACATTCAACTCACTTAGAAGACGAACAACAGAAAAGATGCACCCTCAAATTTCATGCAAAGTCTTTATTAAAAAGACAGCGAGGAAGAATCAGATGGAGTATAACATCTCTGCAGATAATGAAACCCACCAGAAAGACATGCCCACAGAACGGATGTAAACTGACTCATCATTTCAAAACCAGCCAAGAGAAATTAAGAGAATGATAGATGCTATTAAAAAAAAAACAGCATAAACCAGAATCAAGGATGAGGTGATTGAGGAAAAGGAAGATTTGACAAGAGCTGTAACAGAACTCAGAAAAGTACTAGAAATAAAAGAACAAAAAAAATTTTAAAAACTGAATTAAAAGGAACACAAGAGCAAATAAACATAGTAAGCAATGTTTTAAGAGAAATCAAAGATGGAAAGGAAAAATGTCTTAAAAATCAAAAAAGATATTCCGAATATGACATTTGGGAAAGGACAAAATTGTGGCAAAAGTAAAAAAAAAAAATTAGTGTTTGCCAGGGGTTGGGGGAGTAGAAGCATAAACAGGTGGAGTGCAGAGAGTTTCAGGGCACTGAAAATACTCTGTATGATACTGTAGTGGTAAATACATGTTGTTATACCTTTGTGAAAACCCACAGAATGTTCAACACCAAGAGTGGACACCAATGTAAACTATGGACTTCAAGAGAAAAATTGTCAGTGTAGGTTCATCTGTCACAGCAAATGCACCTTTGATACCACTTTCAAAAATATGAAGTATGTTGCAGGTATATGGGAATTTTGCTGTGAACCTAAAACTGCTCCCAAAATGCTTTTTTTTAATCAAAAAGAAATGAAAAAGATAAAAAGAATTTGTGAGAAAAGTGATGGAGAATAAACAACAAAGATCTAGCATGTTAATAAGAATCCCAAACAAGTACCAAAGCACAGGAATAGAGCACAACACTAAAACTTATCATTTAAGAAAAGTTCCTGAAATAAAAATTAGCTTGAACTAGATATTGAAGACACATTCTGCATTCTGGGAAAATTGAGCCAGAAAACTGGCACTGAGACATATAACAGTAAAACTTATAGACTGCAAAAGAAAAGAAAAAACGTTTTTGACATTCAAGCAAAAAGACAAAGTCACTTACAAGGGGGTAATATCAGATTGCCTTCAGACTTTTATAAAATAGCACTTCATGCTAGAAGACAATGAAATAACACATGCATGATATTCAAAGACAAAAAATATGAGCCACAGATTTTATGTCCAACCAAACTGGCCTTGAGGTAGAAAGGCTGCAGATAAACAGTTATAAACATGCAAAAACTCAGGAGTATTGTTTTCATGAGCCCTTCCTGAGCAATCTACAAGAGGAGAACCTCAGAAGACCAGAAAGACCGGGAAAATATTGACATAAGGCCAAGTACTCTGCTCACTGAAAAAGCTCAGAACAATAACTCAGCAGCAATGAGTGCCCATAGCACCCAGGTTGTAGTCTCTAAATACAATTTTACATTTAAAGGAACCAAGATGAACCCAAAACATTTTGTTTTGCCAGAAAGCAAGGGAATTATCAAAGACACTGAGATTATGTCAGTAGAAAATAGAATCCAATTTGAATGCACTTCCACTGGCCAAAGATGGGAGAATTTGAGCACCACAAAGAAAAATAACTGCAATTGCATGTACTAAGTCAAATATATTTTTAATGTTCATCATTACAGCTTATTCCAAAAATTGTCAAAGGGAAAGAATCAAGCAGTTATGCTGACTTTCATATACAAAAACTAGATTTCAGAGTAACCTAAACAATTGAGGAAGGAAAGTTATTTTTCTTTCCTTCTGTGGAGTCAGGATCTCACTATGTTGCCCAGGCTGGTCTTGAACTTCTGGGATCAAGCAATACTCCCACCTCTGCCTCCCAAAGTGCTGAGATTATAGGCATGAGGCACCATTCCCAGCTGGAAACTTCTGTCTTTATAGAATAATTCCAACTAAAAAATATCTCATAGAATATTGGATCTAGGCAATCATATAAAATGGATGTCAAAACAACTAGTTGCAAAGTTGATGAGGAGGGGGCAGAGCTAGATAGCCAAATAGAAGCCTCCAGTGATTGTTGCCCCACCACACACACACACAAGAATGCAAAATTGAACAACTACCCACACACAAAATCACCTTCATAAGAACCAAAAATCAAGTAAGCAATCACAGTACTGGTTTTAACATCATATTAAGGAAAGAGACACTGAAGAGGGTAGGAAAGACAGTCTTGAGTTGCCCACACCACTCCTCCCCTATCCCTCAGCAGCAGCTGCATGGCAAGAAGAGAGAATCTGTGTGCTTGTGGTGGGGAGAGTGCAGTGATTGTGGGACTTTGCATTGGAGCTCAGTGCTGCCCTGTCATAGCAGAAAGCAACTCAGGGCAGAACCCAGCTGACACCCATGAAGGGGTTTAGACCAGCCCCAGCCAGGCAAATTGTCCATCCCAGCAGTCAGAACTTGAGTTCCAGCAAGCCCTGCCACTGTGGGCTAAAGTGCTCTGGGGTGCTAAGTAAACTTGGAAGGCAGTCTAGGCTGCATGGACTGCAATTCCTGGGCAAGTCCTGGTGCTGTGCTGGACTCGGAGCCAGTGGACTTGGAGTGCATGCAACCTAGTAAGGTATCAGCGGAGGCAGCCAAGAGAGTGCTCACATCATTCCTCCTGTAACCCCATGCAGTGCAGCTTGCAGCTCCAGGAGAGACCCTCTCTCTCTTCTTGAGGAGAGGAGACATGAGAGTAAAGAGGATTTTGTCTTGCAATGTGAATACCAGCTCAGCCATAGTAGAATAGGGCACTAGGCAGAGTCATGAGGCCCCCATTCCAAGCCCTAGTTCCCAGATGACATTCTAAATAACCCCTGGGCCAAAAGGGAACCTGCTGTCTTGAAGAGAAAGATTCAGTCCTGGCAGAATTAATCACCTGCTGACTAAGAGCCCCTGGGCCCTGAATAATAAGTAGTGGTAGCCTGGCAGTGCTCACCAAGGGCCTTGGGCAAGACTCAGAGCTGTGCTGGCTTCAAGTGTGACCCAGCACATTCCCAGCTATGATGGCTATGGAGAGAGACTCCTTCTGTTTGAGGAAAGGAGAGGGAAGAGTAAAGGGGACTTTGTCTTGCCCCTTGGGCACTAGCTCGGCCACAGGTGGGTGGAGCACCAAGTGAGCTCCTGAGTACCCAGTCGTAGCCCTTGGCTCCTGGACAGTATTTCTGGACCTCCCCTGGGCCAGAGGGAAGCCTACTGCCCTGAAGGGAGAGACTCAGGACAGACAGCATTCCCCACAGGCTGACTGAAGAGCCCTTGGGCCTTGAGTGAACATCATAGGCAGTAGGCAGGCAGTAATTGCCATGGGCCTAAGGCAGTGGTGGCCATGAGGACAGACTCCTCTACTTGAGGAAATGGGAGGGAAGAGAGGGAGGGAAGAAGGGGAAGGACTTTATCTTGTGGCTTGAGTGCCAGTTCAGCCACAGTAGAATAAAGCATCAGGTAGACTCCTAAGGTTTCTGACTCCAGGCCCTGGCTATCAGATGGCATCTCGGACCCACCTGGGGCTAGGAAGAACTCATAGCCTTGAAGGGAAAGACACAAACCTGCCTGTATTTGTCATCTGCTGATTGTATAGCCCTTGGGCCTTGAGTGAATATAGGTGGTAGCCGGGCAGTGGTCACTGGAGGCCTTGGGCATGACCAAGTACTGTGCTGGCTTCAGGTCTAACCCAGCACAGTCTCAGTGATGGTGGCCACAGGGGTGCTTGTGTCACCTTTTCCCCAGCCCCAGGCAGCTCAGCACAGAGACAAAAAGAGAAAGAGAGAGACTCTGTTTGTTTAAAGGAAAGTAAGCAAAGAGAACAAGTCTCTGCCTGGGAATCCAGGGAATTCTCCCAGATCTTACCTGAGACCACCAAGGTGATACATCTAAGAGTCTGCAAGAACCACAGCATTCCCGGGATTGGGGTGCCCCCTAAAGCAGATATGGCTGCAGTGACCAGAAAAACACTTAGATCACAACACCCACGTTCCTTCAAATACCTGCAAAGCTTTCCCAGGAAGGACAGTTACAAACAAGCCCAGACTATGAAGACTACAATAAATACCTAACTTTTCAATACCCAGACATCAGCGAACATCCACAAGCATCCAGCCCATCCAGGAAAACATGACCTCACCAAACAAACTACATAAGGCACGAGTGACCAACTCCAGAGACACAGAAATATGTGAACTTTCAGACAGAGGATTCAAAATGGCTGTTTTGAGGCAGCTCAACAAAATTAAAGGCAACACAGAGAAGGAATTCCAAATCCTATCAGATACATTTAGCAGAGAATGAAATAATTTAAAAGAATCAAGCAGAAATACTGGAGATGAAAAATGCAAATGGCATACTGAAGAATGCTTCAGAGTCTCTTAGCAGAAAAAAGAATTAGTGAGCTTGAAGATAGGCTACTTGAAAATACACAGAAGAGACAAAAGAAAAAAGAATAAAAAACAATGGAGGATACCAACAAGATCTAGAAAGTAGCTTCAAAAGGGCAAATCTAAGAGTTACTGGTTTTAAGGAAGAGGTAGAGAGATCAGGGTAGAAAGTTTATTCAAAGGGATAATAACAGAGAACTTACAAAACTTAAAGAAAGAGACAATATTCAAGTACAAGAAGGTTATAGAACATGAAGCAGATTTAACCCAAATAACATTTCAAGACATTTAATATCAAACTCCCAAAGGTCAAGAATAAAGTAAGGATCCTAAAATCAGCAAGAGAAAAGAAACAAATAGCATACAGTGGAGCTCTAATACATCTGGCAGCAGACTTCTCAGCAGAAACATTATAGGCCAGGAGAAAATGGCCTGACATATTTGAAGTGCTAAAGGAAGAAAAAAAACAACTTTTATTCTAGGATAGTATATCCAGCAAAAATATCCTTCAAACATGAAGGAGAAATAAAGACTTTCCCAGACAAACAAAAGTGGAGGGATTTCATCAACCCCATATCTGTTCTACAAGAAAGGCTAAAGGGAGTTCTTCAGCCAGCCACGGTGGCTCACACCTGTAATCGCAGCACTTTGGGAGGCCAAGGTGGATGGATCACCTAAGGTCAGGAGTTCAAGACCAGCCTAGCCAACATGGTGAAGCCCTATCTCTACTAAAAATACAAAAAATTAGCCGGGCATGGTGACACATGCCTGTAATCCCTGCACTTTGCGAGGCCGAGGTGGGTGGATCACCTGAGGTCAGGAGTTTGAGACCAGCCTGGCCAACATAGTGAAACCCCATCTCTACTAAAGATACAAAAAATAAGTTGGGTGTGGTGGTGCACACCTTTAATACCAGCTACTCAGGAGGCTGAGGCAGGAGAATACCTTGAACCCAGGAGGCAGAGGTTGCAGTGAGCCAAGATCGTGCCACCACTCTCCAGCCTGGGTGACAGAGCGAGACCCTGCCTTAAAAAAAAAAAAAAAAAAGGGTTGGTGGGGAGTTCTTCAATCTGAAAGAAAAGGACATTAATGAGCAAGAAGAAGGACCG
Organism: Homo sapiens; assembly: GCF_000001405.40. Lineage (NCBI taxonomy): Eukaryota > Metazoa > Chordata > Mammalia > Primates > Hominidae > Homo > Homo sapiens. The sequence continues at coordinate 98,407,257 of NC_000002.12, forward strand.
TGAAGGTCCAAAACTCACTGGTAACAGTAAGTATACAGAAAAACACAGAATATTGTAACACTGTAATTTTAATGTGTAAACTACCCATATCTTGAATAGAAAGATTAAAAGATGAACCTATCAAAAATAATAACTACAACAACTTTTCAAGACATAGCATAAAAAGATGTAAATAAAAACAACAAAGAGTTTAAAAGCGAGAGGATGAAGTTAAAGTGCAGACTTTTCATTCGTTTTCCCTTTGCTCATTTGTTTGTTTATGCGATCGGTGTTAAGTTGTCACCAGTTTCAAATAATGGATTATATATATAATGCAAGCCTCATGGTAACCTCAAGTCAAAAAACATACAACAAATGCACACAAAATTAAAGGCAAGAAATTAAAACATGCCATCAGAGAAAATTACCTTCACTAAAAGGAAAACAGGAAGGGAGAAATGAAGAGAAGACCACAAAAACAACCAGTAAAACAAGTAACAAAATGGCAAGAGTAAGTCTTACTTATCAATAATAACATTGAATGTGAATGAACTAAACTCTCCAATAAAAAGACATAGAGTGAGTCAGGTGCTGTGGCTCACGCCTGTAATCCCAGCACATTGGGAGGCCGAGGTGGGCAGATCACCTAAGGTCAGAAGTTCGAGACCAGCCTGCCCAACATGGTGAAACCCTGTCTCTACTAAAAATTCAAAAATTAGCCAGGTGTGGTGGCGGGTGCCTGTAGTCCCAGCTACTCGGGAGGCTGAGGCAGGAGAATCACTCGAACCTGGGAGGTGGAGGTTGCAGTGAGCCAAGATTGCACCACTGCACTCCAGCCTGGCTGACAGAGCAACATTCCCTCTCAAAAAAAAAAAAAAAGGAGAAATGGTTACAAATTAAGACTTGAGTAAAAACAAACAAACATAACAGAAACCCACACTGTTTAACTCAAGTCACAGGAACAGCCACGATTGTTTGTTGGATTGTTTTAAGGAGAAAAGCAGATCAAAGCTAAAGTTGGTTTGAATCTGGAACAAATGGATGACTCCAGAGAAGTAAGTTCCCTCTTGTAGCTTATCCTGATAATGGCCACAGGGTGTCAACTGCAGAGTGAAGGTGGGAGGGGATCAGGGTGTTTTCAGATACTGTTTTCTCTCCCACCTTGGCAGTCACGGCTGCTTATGTTGAGGGGCGGGAGGATGCCACTTGCTATTTATTCTTGTTCTTTATCCGAAAGCTGAACTTTTCTCTGCGATAGTGTAACTCTTCACCTTAAATGACTAAAGCCAGTCTTGTGAAAAACAGACAGCATTAGTCAGCTGGCTGAATTTTATAAAAAATAAACTTCAAGCTTACGTATTGTGAAGAAGCATTTTGATCCATAGAGTTTCTAAAGTAATTTTAAGAAAATCCCCAAAACCAACAAGGTCACTACTCAGAGTGAGGTCGCTTTACTAGCAGCATCAAGTTCACCTGGGATCTTGTTAGAAAAATGCAGAATCTTGGGCCCACCCTAGACTTACTGAGTCAGAATGTGCATTTTGACAAGACCCCAGGGGATTCGTGTTGTCCATTAGCATTTGAGAAGCACTGGTATGAAGTACTTGAAACTATCTGCAAGTATGTTATCTGAATCTTTCCAACTTACACCTAACTCAATTGCTTGCTGAATTAAATATGTATATTTATATATATCAAATACATATATATATTTGAATAGTTAAAATACAACAGGATAGCAATGTTATTGTGAGCCACCACAGTGTAGAGATGGCATCTGAGGATGTTCCTAGCAGTTATTGTGCTGGCTCACCCAACACTGTGGCTCAAACGTGGAGGCTCAGTGCTTGTACCATGACATGAACTTGACCTAACATGCCTGTGTGTGTGTGGGTACGTGGAGGATGATTGCACTAACATTACCTTACTCTGTAGCTTTAAGTATAACTTCTTTTTTTTAGACGGAGTTTCGCTCTTGTTGCCCAGGCTGGAGTGCAATAGCGCGATCTCGGCTCACGGCAACCTCCGTCTCCCAGGTTCAAGCGACTCTCCTGCCTCAGCCTCCTGAGTAGCTGGGATTACAGACATGCGCCACCACACCCAGCTAATTTTGTATTTTTAATAGAGATTGGGTTTTTCCATGTTGGTCAGGCTGGTCTCGAACTCCCAACCTCAGGTGATCCACCCACCTCGGCCTCCCAAAGTGCTGGGATTAGTCGTGAGCCACTGCGCCCAGCCTGAGCACAACTTCTTATCTGCAACACACAGTCAGAAGTTACTCTGTAAAAAATTTTTCCAGCCATTAGACATGTAAAATTGTAAGCAGTTATCATCAACACCTAGTCAGATGGAATGCATGTCAGAAATCAGAAATATGCTTGATAATGCAACAAGTACAGTTTTAAGTACATCATAATATTTTCCTTTTTTGATGAGAATCACATGAAATTAGTCAGAATTCCAGTGTTTTGAAGTTCACAAATGTGCGGTGGGGCTACAAATAGTGACTACAGCTAGGCTAGTTCATAGAGGGAAAAAAATTGATAGACGGGTCTCCAAATTTAACAGCAATTCTGAAAATGTATTTAATACATACATTTACCAATGATGAGTTGTGGAGCCAAAATAAACCTTTCTGAAGCAGCAGTAATTAAAACAACACAATTTCGGATGAACAATTCTACAGGAAAGACACAATTTCTTCTATATTCTCTTTATCAAAAATTATATGGATTGTTGCTATATGAAGAAGCGATCAGAGTTGACAGCCAAAAAATGTAGCAAACATTGTATTAACCACTTGACTAATAAAATAGTAATAAAATACTAATAAAGTATTGTTCTGGATTTTGGGATGTTAGTGGCATTTTAAATTTATAATACAGTGTGATTTTTCTTGGTCTAAATAAATGCTTTTGTTTATGGTTTTGAATTTGTAATTCAGTATTCTTTTTTGAAATACTCTTCCCCTAGTGTGTAAAATTTATGCTCCCCAAATTCTGGGTCCTGCTATAATCAGTAGTGTGTTCTTTCATGGTTTCTAGCAGTGAGTTTGTTGTAATAAAATTAGAAGATGAGCTTTCGTTGGTGCATTTAAATACTTAAGCTACATGTCTAGAAATTAAAACTAAGTGATAGGTAGGCATCTATATTAAGATCGCCACTTTGATGTGGTGGTTTCAAATGCTAGTGCTGTAGAGTCAAAGGCTATATTAATGTTACTATTCAATGAGTCTATTAATCTTGAATTTAGTGGCGAGAGACTGAATCAATTAATAAACAGTAAAACCCTGCCCTGGTTCACTAACAATAATGCTAAATCAGAACAAAGAAGCTGGAGAATTTCCTTAATCAGCGATAGACAAGGAGAACCTTACAAGATTGGTCCTGAGCTCCAGAGAAGCCAAATATCTGGGTGGGATGTAAATACTTGGGCTTATTAATGAGGTTATTCTGATCTAGGATTTTTTTTTAAATTTCTATTTAGATTCCAGCATACTGTGGCACTTCTTTCTCATAACCTCATCTCCTGAAATATGGTTTTTTTTTTTGTTTGTTTGTTTGTTTGTTTTCTGAGACAAGGTCTCGCTCTGTCACCCAGGCTGGAGAGTGGAGAGCAGTGGCATGATCATGGCTCACTGCGGCCTCGACCTCCTGGACTCAAAGGATCCTCTCACCCCCACCTCAGTCTCCCAAATAGCTAGGACCACAGGCACATGCCACCATGCCCCACTATTTTTTTTTTTATTTTTTGTAGAGACGGGGTTTCACCATGTTGCCCAGGCTAGTCTCGAACTCCTGGGCTCAAGCGATCTGCCTGCTGCAGCCTCTCAAAATGCTGGGATTACAGGCGTGAACCACTGCTCCCAGCCAAATATGTTCATCTTTATAGAAAAGTAGGCTTTGGGCTGGCACAGTGGCTCATACCTGTAATCCCAGCACTTCGCGAGGCCAAGATCACCAGAGGTTGGGACTTTGAGACCAGCCTGACCAACATGGAGAAAACCCGTCTCTACTAAAAATACAAAATTAGCAGGGTGTGGTGGCGCACACCTGTAATCCCAGCTACTCGGGAAGCTGAGGCAGGAGAATCGCTTGAACCTGGGAGGCGGATGTTGCAGTGAGCCGAGATAGTGCCATTGCACTCCAGCCTGGGCAACAAGAGCAAAACTCTGTCTCAAAAAAAAAAAAAAAAAAAAAAAAAAGGAAAGAAGACTTTGGAGAGGTCCCAGGCCCTCACATTCTATCCTTGGATCATGTGAGGGTGAACACCTGCAATAATAAGGGTATTCAGAGAGAGGCCTGGCAAAGGTGGAGTTTGCCACAACCTGTACCCACCACCTTAGATGCTGTTCTTCTGAAAGAGTGAGCAGAAAGGAGCCTTCCAAAAAGCCTGTTCAGGGGTTCTCAAAGCCATGTTCCATGGAATACGTGTGTGAGTCACACAAGTACTTTGCTTTGGAATTTAGGAAGAGCAGTCTTTTGCCAATTTTCAGAAAAAAGTAATGGCTTCAATTTTTTTCATTTTTCTTCCATAAAAGTTTCTGTAACTTTTGCTCCATGGTATTACTAGTCATTTACTGGCCAACAAAATGCGTTAAATGCATTAATAGCAAATCATATTAATTAAGATAATGCTAGCCACTGTGATGAATAACCTCCCAGCATTTGGTGGCTTGATGCAATGCAAGGTTCTCACTCAGCAACAGTGCAGTATGAGTGCTCCCAGATGGCAGGGCTCCAGGCACTATTTTTCAGCTTTGCCCTTCCCTCAGAGTGCAGAGCTCTGCAGGCAGCCTGCAGGCAGGGCAGGGGAGACGGAAAAGGTACATCTGCTTCATATTCACCTTGTAGAAGAGACACGTGTCACTTCTATTGGTGAAAGCTTGTCACATCTAGAAGCAAGTGGGGGTGAGTGGAGAAGAGGGAGGGGAAATTGTGATCCTTGACTAGGTGGCCACTTCCCAGTGACAACTCTGCTCTCTGGAAAGGGAACAGTCACAACATAGATATCTAGTTGTCCATGCAAACTAAAATCAGCTAAGAAAACCCTCAGAATTCACATAATTCCACAGCTTCCTTTCATGTGTTCATATTTGCTCTCAAATTTGATGCTATTTCATATACACATAATAGAGTCAGTCATATTTTCTGCCAGCTAAATATGCCAGGAAAACTGAGTCACCCCTTATATAAGTGCTGGGTAAGGAGGTGATCAAAAGTTGTCAAAACTGGGCCAGGCACAGTGGTTCACACCTATAATCCCAGCACTTTGGGAGGCTGAGGCGGGTGGATCACCTGAGGTCAGGAGTTCAAGACCAGCCTGGACAACATGGTGAAACCCCATCTCTACTAAAAACACAAAATTAGCCGAGTGTGTTGGCCGGTGCCTGTAATCCCAGTTACTCAGAAGGCTGAGGCAGGAGAATTGCTGGAACCAGAGGGGTAGATGTTGCTGAAATCACACCACTGCACTCCAGCCAGGGCGACAGAGTGAGACTCTGTCTCAAAAAAAAAAAAAAAAAAAGGAGTCAAATTACCATAGGAAATCTCTTGAATTGCCCTCTGCATACAGTCTGGTTAGGTCCTCCATAACCAGTATTCCCTTCAGTGGAGCAGATTGATCACTCTTTGGCTGGGACCCAGAGGAAGGAGTCAGCTTGTTTTTAATGACCATATTCAGGAATGCCACATATGGTTGCTCTAGTTGTGCACTGCCCAAAAGGGACCTTCTTAAGAGGTGTCCCGCAGTCTCGCCATCATGGATTTTTTTGATATTTACTATGGCAGATTTCCAGCAGATGGCAGTAGAGGGTCTATGCTAATGCGCCGTATACTATGACAATTCTTGAGGGCAGAAGGTCAAATTCTTATCTAGACAGGGCTGCTTTGCATTAATCCTTTTCCCATAACAACAGAGACATGGGTTCTTAATCAGAACTAATGTTTTGACTCCCACCAGACTTGCAGCATACTGGCAGCAATATTTATTGAATTCATTTCTGAGTTCTTTAGCATATATTTAACTTAGCCAGTAACAGTTGCCAGTGGAGAACATAGCTTCTCAAAATTAAAGTTACTTTAAAACTTCTTAAGATTTACAATGTTGCAGGAAAAACTGGCAAGTGCAATGATCATTTCTATTAAAAAAAAAGAGAGAGAGATCACGGAACACATATGCATTAAAACTGTTGAAGAATTTCATTTCCACAAAAGCAAAATGTGCATCTATTTCATGACAGATTAATAAATCTTAGTGATTTTGAGTCACTGTTACCAAGAACTTGAAACTTCTATTTTATGTTGGATGTTTTACATAATTTTAAACAATGGCTTTATGTTTGTTATCACTGTTCATATTGAAAAATTAATACTATATCAACTTAAATAATACTGTGTGCCTGGGTCCTGGGGTGGTGGCTGTCAGTGTGGTGAGCTGCTCACTATCTGAGATGCTCTCAGGATCCCCGCTCATTTCAGCAGCAGAACACCAGGCAGAATCTTCACAACTGTTCAGATTATTTCTCCCCTCCCATGCAGTCCCAGACTCAGAGAGTTGGATTTGGAGGATTTAAACAAGCAAGTGGTACTGTTGCGGGAAGTCAGGGACCCTGAACGGAGGGACCTGCTGAAGCCGTGACAGAAGAATATAAATTGTGAAGATTTCATGGACATTTGTTAGTTCTCCAAATTAATACTTTTATAATTTCCTATGCCTGTCTTTACTTTAATCTCTTAATCCCGTTGTCTTCATAAGCTGAGGATGTATGTCACCTCAGGACCCTGTGATGATTGCATTAACTGCACAAATTGTTTGTAAAGCATGTGTGTTTGAACAATATGAAATCTGGGCACCTTGAAAAAAGAACAGGATAACAGCAATGTTCAGGGAACAAGGGCGATAAACATTAGGTCTGACTGCCTGGGAGCCAGGTAGGACAGAGCCATATTTCTCTTATTACTGCAAACGGGTAAGAGAAATATCGTTGAATTCTTTCCCCAGTAAGGAATATTAATAATTAACAGCCCTGGGAAAAGAATGCATTCCCGGGGGGGGCCTCTAAAATGGCCGCTCTGGAGGGTGTCTGCCTTATGCAGTTGCAGATAAGGGATGAAACACACCCTGGCCTCCTGCAGCACCCCCAGGCTTGCTAGGATTAGGAAATTCCAGCCTGGCGAATTCCAGTCAGACCGGTTCTCTGCTCTTGAACCTGTTAAGATGTTTATCAACGACAATGCGTGCACAGCAGGACATGGAACTTCATTAGTAATTCTAGTTTCACCGTGACCTTGTGATCTCACCCTGACCTTCTGCCTTGTGATCTTTTGTTGCCCTTGAAGCATATGATCTCTGTGACCCACACTCTATTTGTACACTCCCTCCCCTTTGAAAATTGCTAATAAAAACTTGCTGGTTTTACGGCTCAGGGGGCATCATGGGACCTGCTAACATGTGACGTCTCCCCCGGACACCCAGTTTAACATTTGTCTCTTTTGTACTCTTTCCCTTTATTTCTCAGACTGACTGACAGGGAAAATAGAAAAGAACCTACATTGAAATATCGGGGGCTGGTTCCCCTGATATGGTACCATGTTTCCAGACGTTTTGTCAGCCAAAGGCACTGCGTTCAAGGCTCTAGAGGGGGGTTAACGTTGCTGCCAACAGGCTGCCTTCAGGGCTATTGCATCTCCCTGTGCCTGGAGAAATTTGTTGCTCACAGCTCTGGAGGCTGGGAGGTCCAAGATCAAGGTGCCAGCAGATTCGGTGTCTGGTGAGGGCCTCTTCCTGGTTCAGAGATGGCATCTTCTCTTTGTGTCCTCACATGGTAGAAGCAGTGAATGAACTCTCTAGGCCTTCTTCTACAAGAATATGAATCCCATTCATGGGGACTTTACCCTTCTGACTTAATCACCTTCCAAAGGACCCGCTTCCTAGTATCATCACCTTAGGGGTTAGGATTTCAACATACAAATTTGGGGGGAACATCCATGTTCAGTTCATTGACACAGGCATTTCATGATGAATGGATTTCACAAGACTACAACAAAGCAAGACTTTTAAGAAAAAATCCATGCCCATGGCATGGGTCTTTAAAAGTTGCCTGTCCCTAAGACAAGGCAGTTACACCAGAAACCAGGCTTTGTGTCTAGTAACTGCTACACAGTGGCAGCTGTAGTTGACAAGAATCTGATGACAGCATCCTTAAATGTGTGGCAACCCTGAAGCTCACTGGCTCCCAGACAATGATGGCTTTAGATTCTGAGGATGAGCTCTTTTTAAAAAGGAAGCATGGGCTGAACATGGTGGCTTATGCCTGTAATCCCAGAACTTTGGGAGGCCAAGGTGGGGGATCACCCGAGGTCAGGAGTTCGAAACCAGCCTGGCCAACATGGTGAAACCCCGTCTCTACTAAAAATACAAAAATTAGCCAGGCATGGTGGTGTGTGCCTGTAATCCCAGCTACTTGGGAGGCTGAGGCAGGAGAGTCGCTTGAACTCAGGAGGCAGAAGTTGTGGTGAGCCAAGATTGTGCCACTGCACTCCAGCCTGGGCAACGAAAGTGAGACTCCATCTCAAAATAAAAAAAAAAAAATAGCATGTATTTCAGGCCGGACATGGTGACTCACACCTGTAACCCCAGCACTTTGGGAGGCTGAGGCAGGCAGATCACTTGAGGTCAGGAGTTCAAAACCAGCCTGGCCAACATGGTGAAACCCCATCGCTACTAAAAGTACAAAAATTAGCTGGGTGTAGTGTCACACACCTGTAACCCCAGCTACTCAGGAAGCTGAGGTACGAGAATTGCTTGAACTGGGGAGGCGGAGGTTGCAGTGGGTGGATATCGCACCACTGCACTCCAGCCTGGTTAAGAGAATGAGACCCTGTCTTCAAAAAATAATAATAGTAATAATAAGCCGGGTACAGTAGCATGTGCCTGTTGTCCCAGCTATTCAGGAGGCTGGGGCAAGAGAATCGCTTGAGCCCAGGAGGTAGAGGTTGCAGTGAGCCCAGATCACCCATTTTACTCTAGCCTGGGGGATAAAAGTGAAACCCTGTCTCAAAAAAAAAAAAAAAATTCAAAGCTCTTTTGACAGTTCCTTTGAAATAATCCTAGTTCTGTTTCACCAAGGCAATGACTGTAAGATGAGAATTTCAAGATTTTCTTAAATGTTGGAAATTTTTTTAACTTCAGATATACTTTCAAGTGTTAAAATGAAATTTTAATTCATATGTTAACAGAAATCTTATACTCCCAGTAAAATTGCCTAAGACTAGACAGTTATGAATGACACATTACAAGTCATTTGGATGGTATTTTGCCATGGGTTCTGGTATAGCCACTGAGCCATGTGGACCAGCTCTTCATGGTTGATGGCAGCAGTTGTAAATCTTAGACCCAGACAACAAAGTTTGCTTTGACAGAATGATTTAATTTTTCCATCCATTTTGGGTGGTTATGCAAATTTTTATTCATACATTTGATTTGCCAATGTTGGATTTAAGCACAGTCCATATCTTTCCTAACTGAATCAGAGGAGAGAAATCTTGTGCGTGTGACTGTTGTATACAAAGACAGGCTAATAATCAGGGAAGAGAATTCCAAGAACATTTTTGCCAGTGCCTGGAGTGGTTTTCCAGCATAAGGGAAGGGTTGGGCTGAGCTGTGCACATCTTCCCACCCATTATCTCCCCCTGGGTAGGGGAACATGAGTCAAAGACAGATATAACTAGTTAGAGTGGGATGCAACAGCTCTTCTCCATGCAAACCTCAGCTTTCAGGGGGCTGTCAGTGAGGCATGGTTTGGTCTTTTTAGCACATTATTTTCAGTAATAAGTCAAAATGCCAAAGCAAGAATGCCACTGACATCATTTGTAGGATTTAAGATCCAATGGCTAATAATAAAGGAACTTCGGTGTGTTTTTCCTTCTTGGTGAGTGGGCTGGCTTTTGGTGATAGGGTAATGGTTACATCACCTTCTCTTCTTCCTCACCTCTAGGTGAGGCAGTGAGGGACTCACCCTCCTCTCACCACACCATGGCCTCCTTACCTACCAGCCACCGTTGAAGTTAGGCTGATGAGGTGAGCAGAAGTGGTGTCGGTGTCTGAGTGTGACTGTCCCATGATTTTCTCCTCATTTGCAGTGGCTGTGCAAGCCTTGAATTAAAGAACCTGGATCAGAAGGAGAGGGGTGCATGATGAGAAATTAGTTAATGGGTACTATGCACATTATTCAGGTGATAGATAACCTAAAAGCCCTGACCTGACCACCATGCAATCTATGCATGTAACAAAACTGCACATGTGCCCCATAAATTTGTACAAAAACAAAAAACAAGAGCCTGGATCTCTGAGCCATTACTGCCACCCACGAGACTGTGATATAATTAAGAAATAAACCTTCACTGTGTAAAGCCAATGACATTTGATATTTGCTGGTAACTTTTTATAATATTTGCCTGTGTTAGTCTGTTTTCACACTGCTGATAAAGATATACCCGAGACTGCACAATTTACAAAAGAAAGAGGTTTATTGGACTTACAGTTCCACATGGCTGGGGAGGCCTCACAATCACAGTGGCAGGTGAAAGGCACGTCTCATATGGCAGCAGACAAAAGAAGAGAGCTTGTGCTGGAAAACTCCCATTTTTAAAACCATCAGATCTCGTGAGGCTCATTCACTATCATGAGAACAGCGCAGGAAAGAACTGCCCTCATAATTCAATCACCTCCCACTGGGTTCCTCCCACAACGTGTGGGAATTATGGGAGTTACAATTCAAGATGACATTTGGGTGGGGACACAGCCAAACCATTTTACTGTCCTTGCTTTTTTCTCTCTGCAGATATCCTAAAACTTTTTTTCTAAGCCAAGGAGCACTAGAAAGCTTTTGGAGGTGATGAATATGTTTATTACCTTGATTGTGGTGATGGTATCACAGGTGCATGCATATGTCCAAATTCATCAAATTGTGCACATTAAATATTTGCAGTTTTTTATATATCAATTTCACCTTAATAAAGTTGTAAAAAAGATCTGAATATGGAAGGAAACATTTTCCTTCCTGTGCCAGTGAGTAGGGGTTATATTTTTATATATTGTCATTTCCAAATCTGCCTCCTGAGCTGCAATGCTCCTGAGGGTGCTGTCCTCATCCTCAGGCTCTGATGGTGTACTCTGCCCATCACCACACATAACACCTTGGGTCCAGAGACCTAGCAGTTATTACTACCTGTGGGATGGCCAGGGATGTCCTCGGGTAGGGGAGAGATGTGGGGAGGATGAATGGGGGGGGATAAAATTATACCCACATTCAGATGGGGAATTGAGGCTTAGCAAGACGAAGTCATGTATGTGTCCAGAGCATACAGCTTTGAAGCCAGGTAAGGATTCCATGCTAAATTATGCTAAAAGGAGTAGGGTCAGCTTGACAAGTTCAAGCTGAATGTGTCCAACTGCTTTCCTTGCAAATTTACTGTGATTCTGTAGAAAACATTGTTTTTTCAAATTATGGGCTGCAATTCATTACTGAGTGATTAAATCAATCCAATGATAAGTTTTAGGAGAATACAATAGAAAACAACAGATCGCATTGGCACCATTCTTTAAAGTATTGCCCCTGAAAGTTGTTTGTTATTCACATACACACGTGTTTGATTGAGGTGTGCACCACATCTCTGGCGACAGATAGCAGTCAACAGAGTCTGAAATCACTGTGAGGAGAATTAGGCTTTAAATATTTGTGAAGTTAAGAGAATTTTTAAAATGTTACCTTTGTGGGTAACTTGTGATGTCCAATGAGCCAGCCCTTAAAAATTTCCCTCTGTTCCTTTGTCCTAAGAGCATGAGGTGAAAGAGGCTGCTTTATTTACTCTATCTTGGAAGGCATTAATGCCAGCCTGCTCTGGCAACCAGATCTGCTCCAGCCCTCCAACACACAGGCCTGAGGATTCCTCTAGTATACCTGAATCTTTCCTAAGGAATTGGCAATATTAGAAACAGGAGTCATCCTTACCAAACATCCCATCCCAAAGACCTCCCATATCCTGATCCTCAATGTACCAAGAAATGCTTCCATCTTTCCAACGGCCAACCACACCTTCCCTCTTCCCTCCACACCCAAGGAATCCTGTATCCACTATCTCATTTCATCCCTCCCTAATCTCAGCCTGCTTCACACGGGACAGTCCATTTTAGCTGGAGAAGAGAATATAATATGACGCCTTTTTAAGGGTAGTAAGTAAAGCAGAGTGATTGAGAAAGAAAAGAAAATTCACAGTGTGCAAGGAACTGGACATTTGCATGATATCTACAGCACTGTTTCTTAGACCTTAATGTGCATGCAGATCATTTGGGGATCATGTTAAATGCAGATTCTGACTCAGTAGGCCTGGGCCTGACATTCCATATTTCTAGGTTCCCTGGTGATGCTGATGCTGCTGGTTCACAGAGCACACTTTAAGTAGCAAGCGTCTGTTTGCACAGGGGCTGGCACAGAGTGGGCACTCAAACATATTTACTTAATTGAATTAAATTGTAGAGGAATTTGGGCTTTATGCCAGGACTCATCAGCAAGAAGAAGTGTGCTAAGGTAAAGCAATCAGCTAAACCACCAGCTCATAATCCCAGAATCACAAAAATTCACCCAGGGAGTCATTTAAAAATTCCAGTGCTTAGGACCCCGTCTTCAGAGATGCTGATTTAATTAGCCTGGGGTGAAGACTGGACAACCAACATGTTAAAAATATTTCTAAGTGATCCCAATATGCAGCCAGGTTAGGGAAACACTGAATTCAGTGAAACTGTGTCGTTGCCTTCTATGTGTCAGGCATCGAACTCTGAGCAAGGCACTGAAAGTACAGAGCTGACTGAGACCAGGTTTCTGCCCTCAGCAAACTAATAGGGGAAATAGGTCCACACGTGACTCCAAAGCAAAAAAGCGCTACAGTATACTTATGAAAACTGTTTTGGGAATACAGATGAGGAAGGAACTGATTCAGCCTGAAGGAAGTGGGAGGAAAAAAGGCCAGTGACCAAGAGTGAAGACATTTGGATTTTAAAGGATGGCTGGGGGTTGCCAGGCAGATATGTTCTGTTCTTCCAAATCTCTGTTCTTCCCCATTATTGGCCAGGTAAATAATGCTTGACCAGGACTCAGGCTCCCAAATTCTGTACTAGCTGCCTCCTGCTGCCACAGGTTTATGACAAAGATCTGTCCACAGGGAATAAGGTCAATCCAATGAATATCCTTTTTTACCAGCTGGGGATATTTGTAAGGCCATGTACACGCTGTTAGTGTGCTGTCTGAGTCAGAGTGCAGTCAGGAAAACAGCCCACATCAGATATTCGATACAGTGAAATTAATGGGGAACTAATTATTTGATAGAGTTGCTGAAAATCCAAACAAAGAATCATAAAGCAACACAGATATTAGCAAATGCAGCATGCCCAAAAGCTCAAGGGATGCAAGGAGGTGATGGGATTAATAAAACCCAGGGGTCAGAGATGTCTGACAGGAGCTGGAATCACAACAGAGACTGCAGAGAGGGAGCTGGACTGACCAAGGAGATGGAGCCATTTCCAATAACACGAGAATGACACCCAAGGGGGAGGCCAGAGGGAGACAGCTGCCTTTCCCTTCCTTCTGCTCCACAGTCTCCCATTAATGCATCCCATTGGCTAAATCCAGCCAGAAGACAGTTGACAAAGAAGCCTAGGTGATATAGTTTTCAGGAGTTGGCCTCTGAAGGGTAGGGAGTGAATCTGGGTGTTTGTAAGCTTAACTCATGTATTCTAGATATCTGGCTGAAGGCTTACACCAAAAGTGGACTGAGTAATTTCCTTGTCCCTCTCCCCTACACCTAAAACTTTATCTTGGCCCAGAGTAGAACTTATCATCTGGTGTACTGGAGACACTTGGGTCAGAATCCCCAAGCAGGGCACCTCAAGCTACAAGTGGATTTTTTCATTTACCCTAGGATGCTAGACAAATATATATGATCTGTGTGCCACGGAGTAAACACATTTCAGAAGCAATACTATAAGAACAGGCAAAGAAAGAGGGATTAGAGGAAACTCACATCTAGGAAGCTTCTCCTTGAGCAGAGTGAGCGTCAACCGCCCAAAGTGAGGAGTTCCAAGATGAGGCAGTTCCAGACTCAACCAATAGTACTAGCAAAAAGAAAAGCAATCAAAGAAGACAGCCACTATCGAAGGAGAGAAATGTGATTAAAATCCATTTTCTTCACATAATCCTGATGAAGGATGACTTAAAATAAAACCAAAAGTTTCCAAGCATCAGGTTTTGATATAAATAACAGGGCTCTGTAGAATGTTCTGTATCATAAACAATTGTTTCTTTCAGTTCCTATTGTCAGGCCTCTGAGCCCAAGCTAAGCCATTATATCCCCTGTGACCTGCACGTACACATCCAGATCTCCGGTTCCTGCCTTAACTGATGACATTCCACCACAAAAGAAGTGAAAATGGCCTGTTCCTGCCTTACCTGATGACATTGTCTTGTGAAATTCCTTCTCCTGGCTCATCCTGGCTCAAAAGCTCCCCCACTGAGTACCTTGTGACCCCCACTCTGCCTGCCAGAGAACAACCCCCCTTTGACTGTAATTTTCCTTTACCTACCCAAATCCTATAAAACGGCCCCACCCCTATCTCCCTTCGCTGTCTCTCTTTTGGGACTCAGCCCGCCTGCACCCAGGTGAAATAAACAGCCATGTTGCTCACACAAAGCCTGTATGGTGGTCTCTTCACACGGACGCGCATGAAACCTATACCCACAGAAACAAAGTGTGACACACACATGGGGAAAAAAACAGGCAATGGAAACTGCCTAGGAGAGGGCCCAGATTGAATTGAACAGACAAAGACTTTAAGTCTATCATTACAAATGTGTTCAAAGAACTAAAGCAAACCAGGCTTAAAGAAGTAAAAAAAGGATTATGACAATGTTTCATCAAGCGGACAATATCAATAAAGAGACTTTATTTTAAAAAAATTAAAATTCTGGCATTAAAAAGTACAGTAATTGACATGAAAAAAATCACTAAAAGGGCTCAACTATAGATGTGAATTGGCAGAAGAAAAGAACAGCATAATTGAAGATAGGTCAATAGAGAGTATGAAATCCAAAACAGAGAATAAAGAATGAAGAAAAAGAAACACAATCTTTAAGAAATGTGGAACACCATTAAACATATCAACATACACTTAATTGGAGTAACAGAAGGAGAGGAGAGAAAGGAGCAGAAAAATTCTACCCATCCAAGATCAACCAACTCTAAGTAGAATAAATGCAAAGAGATCCCCATGTACAAATGCATCACAGTAAAAATGCTGAAAATGAAAGACAAAAGGAAAATTTTGAAAGTGGCAAGAGAAAATGACTTGTCACATACAAAGAAACCCTAATAAGAATGACATCTGATTTCTTATAATAAATTATGGAGGACAGGAGGCTATGGGATAGCATATTCAAAGTGCCCCCCCACCAAACAGCCAAGACTCATATCCAGAAAAACTATCTTTCAAAAATAAAGGTGAAATAGCCAGATGCAGTGGCTCACATCTGTAATCCCAGCACTTTGGGAGGCTGAGGTAGGTGGATCATCTGAGGTCAGGAGTTCTAGACCAGCCTGGCCAACACAGTGAAACCCCATCTCTACAAAAAATACAAAAAATTAGCCGGACATGGTGGTGCATGTCTATAATCTCAGCTACTCAGGAAGCTGAGGCAGGAGAATCGCTTGGGCCCAGGAGACAGAGATTGCAGTGAGCCAAGATTGCACCACTGCATTCCAGCCTGGGTGACAGAGTGAGACTCCATCTCAAAAAAAAAAATTAAAAATTAAAAACAAAGGTGAAATAAAAACATTCCCAGATAAATAAAAAGTCAGATAATTCATTGCTGGCAGAACTTTTTCCTACAAGAAATACTAAAGCAGTTTTTTCATGCTAGAAGCATAAAAACACCAGACAGCATTTAATAATAGAAATAAATTGGAAAATTCACCAATACATAAAAATTTAAAAACATGCTCTGAAAAAACCAATATGTCACTGAAAAAAACCACAAAGGAAATTATTAATAGAAAATATTACACATGAATAAAAATGAATACACACCATAGAAAAACATGAGACTCAGTTAATGCAGCAGTTAGAGAGAAACTTATATATGCCTACTTTAAGAGAAGAAAATAAATATTTCAAATCAACAACCTAACACTCCACCTTAAGACAGTGAAAAAAAAGAGCAAAAACCCAAAACAAGCAGAAGGAAGGAAATAAGGACTATAGCAGAAATTAATGAAATACATAATAGAAAGATAATAACAATTATCAATGAAACAAAAAGTTGCTTCTTTGAAATGATCAATAAAATTGACAAATGTTTGGCTAGACTGATTAAGAAAAGAGGACTAAGACTCATATTACTAAAATCAGGAATAAAATAGGGTATATTACTACCCACCTTAGAGAAATAAAAAGGAATATAAGGAAATACTATGAATAGATGTATACCAACAAATTAGATGACCTAAATGAAATGGACATGTTTCTAGAATGATACCGGCTACCAAAACTGACTCAAGAATAAGCAGAAAACCTGAATACATCTATAATAAGTAAAAACATTGAAACAGTAATTTAAACACTATCTACAAAGAAAAACCCAGGCATAGATGACTTTACTGGTGAATTATACCAACATTTAAAGATGAATTAATACCATTTCCCAACAAATTCTTCCAAAAATGGAAGAGGAGGGAACACATCTCAATACATTCTATGAGGCTTGTGTTATCCTAATACTGAAACTGAACAAGTACGTACAAGAAAATAAATCTGCATACTAATATCTCTTGTGCATATAAATGTAAAATTCTTCAACATAATACTAGCAAATTAAATCTAGCAATATATATGTTTTGGGTTTTCTGGAATTTTGGGGTTTGTTTTTTCAGACATGGTCTCACTCTGTTGTGCAGGCTGGGGTGCAGTGGCACAATCATAGCTCACTGTAGCTTCAAACTCTTGGGTCCAATTGATGCTTCCATCTCAGCCTCCTGAGTAGCTGGGGCTACAGGTGTGTGCCACCACACTCAGCTAATTTTTTTTGTAAAAATTTGTGTAGAGACGGAGGTCTTGCTTTGTTGCCCAGGCTGATCTCACACTCCTGGCCTTAAGTGATCCTCCTACCACAGCCTCCTAAAGTGCTGGGATTGCAGGCATTAGTCACTATGCCCAGCCCACATCCAGTAATATATAGAAAGGATTATAACCATAACCAAGTGGGATTTATCCTAAGAACATAATGTTGATTTTATATCAGAAAATAAATTAATATGATACATCTTATCAATAGAATTAAGGAAATAAACCGCATTATTATCTCAAAATAATTTTACAAAATTAAACTCTTGATGATAAAAACACTCAAAAACTAGGAATAGAAGGGAACTTCCTTAACCTCATAAAAGGCATCTATGAAAAACCTACAGCTAACATTACACTTAATGGTGAAAAGTTGAAGGCTTTTGTGCTAAGATTGGACATAAGAAAAGGATGACCACTCCCACCACTTTATTCAACATTGTATTGGAGGTTCTAGCAAGCACAATTAGGAAAAACTAAATAAATAAAAGGTATCTAGATTTCAAAGAAAGAAAGAAGTCTCTAGCTGCAGATGCCATGATCTCATATACAGACAACTCTAAATATCCAGTAAAAAGCTTTGAGAACTACCAAATGGGTTTAGCAATGTTGTAGGATACAAGACCAATATACAAAAATCTACTGTGTGTTCATACAGTAGGAATGAACAAACAAAAAAGAAAATTAAGAAAACAGTTTTGGCCCAGTGCAGTGGCTTGTACCTGTAATCCCAGCACTTTAGGAGGCTGAGGCAAGTGGATCACCTGAGGTCAGGAGTTTGAGATTAGCCTGGCCAACATGATGAAACCCCATCTCTACTAAAAATACAAAAATTAGCTAGGCATGGCGGTGCACACCTGTAATCACAGCTACTTGGGAGGCTTAGGCAGGAGAATTGCTTGAACTTGGGAGGCAGAGGTTGCAATGAGCGGAGATGTGCCACTGCACTCTAGCCTGGGTGATGGAGTGAGACTCTGTCTCAGAAAAAAACAAAAACAAAAACAAATACAAAAACAAAAAACAAAGAAAACAATTTCATTTGCAATGCCTCAAAATGAGTAAAATGGGGCAGGACGCAGTGGCTCATGCCTATAACCCCAACACTTTGGGAGGCCAAGGCTGGCAGATCACTAGAGGTCATGAGTTCAAGACCAGCCTGGCCAACATCGTGAAACCTCATCTCTACTGAAAAAAACAAAAACAAAAACAAAACAAAAATTAGCCGGGTGTGGTGGTGGGTGCCTGCAATCCCAGCTACTCAGGAGGCTGATGCAGGAGAATTGCTTGAACCCGGGAGGCAGAGGTTGCAGTGAACAGAGATCACACCACTGCACCCCAGCCTGAGCAACAGAGGGAGACTCCGTTTCAAAAAATAATAATAATGATACAATGGGAATAAAGTTAACAAAAAAATGCAAAAGCTATACTCTGAAAATTATAAAACATTGTTGAAAGAAATTTTAAAAGACATAAGTAAATGGAAAGACATCTATGTTTATGGATTAGAAGACCTAGTATTTTTAAGATGACAATATTCCCTGGACTTATTTAGACTCAACACATTTCCTAACAAAATTCTACCTGGCTTCTTTGCAGAAATTATTAAGCTGATGCTAAATTTCATTTGGAAATTCTAGGGACCCAGAAGAACCAAAGCAATCTTGAAAAATAACAAAGTGAGAGGATTCACACTTCCTGATTTCAAATTTTACTACAAAGCTAGTAATCAAGATAGTGTGATACTAGAATAAGAAAAAATGTACAGATCATTGGAATACAATTGGGAATTTAGAAATAAGTCCTCATATTTACAGTCAGTTGATTTTTGGCAAGAGTGTCACTGGAATTCAATGGAAGAAAGAATAGTCTGTTAAACAAACAATGCTGGAACAGCTGGCTATCTAGAAGACAAGTATGAAGTTGTACTCTTACCTCACACCATATTCAAAAATTAGCTCAAAATAGATCATATATCTCATGTAACTATAAAATTCTTAGAAGAAAACATTGGCATATATCTTTTTGACCTTCGAATAGGCAGTGGCTTTTTAGATATGACACAAAAAGCACAACCAACAAAATAAAAAATAGACAATTTAGACACTATTAAATTAAAAACTTTTGTTTTTCAAAAGATGCATCAAAAAATTACAAAGCACCCCAGAGAATGGGAGAAAAATTTGTAAATCATATATCTGAGAAGGGATTTGTATCCAGAATATCTAAAGAACACATAACTCAATAATACAAATAATACAATTTAAAAACAGGCAAAAAATCTGAATAGCTATTTCTCAAAAAAAGAGATATACAAATACCCCAAATTCATATAAGATGCTCAATTATTATTTTCTGCGTTGAATTGTCTTGGCATCCCCATCAAAAATCAACTGACTATAAAAGTGAGGGCTTATTTCCGGACCCTCAATTCTATTCCACTGATCGTCATTTCTATTCTTACATCAGTGACATACTGTCTTGACTACTGTAGATTTGAAACTGGGAAGCGTAAGTCCTCTAACTTTATTCTTTTTCAAGATTGTTTTGGTTATTCTGGGTCTCTTGCATTTCCATATAAATTTTAGATCAGCTTGCCAATTTCTACAAAGAAACCAGCTGGGATTTTAATACGGATTGCTTTGAATTTTAGATCAAGTTGGGGGAAATATTGCCATCTTAAAATATATAGTCTTCTGGCTGGGCACAGTGGCTCACACCTGTAATCGAGCACTTTGGGAGGTTGAGGTGGGCAGATCACTTGAGGTCAGGAGTTTGAGGTCAGCCTGGCCAACATGGTGAAACCCTGTCTGTACCAAAAATACAAAAATTAAGTGTGGTGGTGCATGCCTGTAGTTCCAGCTACTCGGGAGGCTGAAGCAGGAGAATTGCTTGAACCTGGAAAGTGGAGGTTGCAGTGAGCCAGGATCATGCTGCTGCATTCCAGCCTGGGCGACAGAGCAAGAGACCATCTCAAATAAATAAACAAAATAAAATAAAATAAAATATATAGTCTTCCGATTCTTTGACACAAATGTGTTTCTATTCACTTGGGTTTTCTTTAATTTCTTTCAACAGTGTACAAGTTTTTGGATTTTCAGTGTACAAATTTTGGATTTATTTCTTTTCTTAATATATTCCTAAGTATTTTATTGTTTTTGATGCTATTCTAAACGGAGTTTTCTTAATTTCATGTTCAGATTGTTGCCTGCTAATTTATAGAAATATTTCTATAAACTAGAAATGACGATCTTGAATCCTGCATCCTTACTGAACTGGTTTGTTAGTTCCAGTGTTTTCTTTTTGGTGAATTCCTTAAGATTTTCTATATACAAGATTATGGATATAGAAATGCACCTGTGTACAAGTAGCTTGTATACATGAATCTATACACAAGATTGTGTCATCTATTAATAAATATATTTTAATATCTTCCTTTTAAGTTTAGATGCCTGTATTTTATTTTCTTTGCCTACTTGCCCTAGCTAGAACTGCCAGCACAATGCTGCATGGAGTGGCAAAAGTAGGTATCCTTATGTTGTTACTGGTCTTAGTGGTAAAACAATCAGACTTTCTTCAGTTAAGTATAATATTAGCTGTAGGATTTGTCAGTGTTTTTTTGTAAAATATTCTTTGTTAGTTTCTTAGTCTGTTCTTGGTTTCTTGAATATTGGATGTTGAATTTTGTCAAATGATTTTTCGGCATCTAGTGATATAATTGTTTTTATCTTTTATTTTATTAATAAGGCATATTACATTAATTGATTGTCATTAATTGATTAATTTTCCAATGTTAAACTAACCTGTATTCCAGGGATAGTTCCACTTGGTCATGGTGTATAATCATTTTCATGTGTTACTAGATTCAATTTGCTAGTAGTTTTGGAGGATTTTCAGGTCTACATTAATAAGAAATGTTACTCTGTGGTTTTCTTTTTATTGTGATATCTATCGTTTTGGTATCGGGCTTATACAGGCCTCATAAGTAAGTTTGGAAATGTTCTCTCCTCTTTTAATTTCTGTAAGAGTTTGTAAGGATTCTTATATATTTGTTAAAATTCACTAGTGAAGATGTCTGTAGCTGAGTTTTTGTTTATGGGACGTTCTGAAGCTACTAATTCAATTATTTTTGTCTTGTTATAAGTCTACTCATATTTTCTGTTTCTTCATGAGCTGGTTTTGTTAATTTATTTTTGTTTCCAGGAATTTCTCCATTTCCTCCAAGTTATGTAGTTTGTTGGCATACAGTTATTTAGAGTTTTCTTTATAACCGTTGTTATTCTATGTAAGGTCAGTAGTGAAGTCTCCTCTCTCAGTCCTAATTTTAGTAATTTGAATCTTCTCTCTCCTTTTTTGTTGGTCAGACTAGCTAAAGATTCATCAAAATTGTTGATATTTTCAAAGAATCAACAACTGCTTTTGTTGATTTTCTCTATTTTTCTATTCTGTATTTCATTCATTTCCATTCAAATGTTTATTATATCATTCTTATATTTGCTTTGGATTTAATTTGTTTTGTTTTGTCTTCCTTCCTTCCTTCCTTTTTTCCCTTCCTTCCTTCTTTCCTTCCTCCCTCCCTCCTTCCCTCTCTCTTTCTTTCTTTCTTTTTTTTTTTTTTGTCAGAGTCTTGCTCTGTTGCCCAGGCCTGAGTGCAGTGGTGCAATCACAGCTCACTGCAGCCTCGACCTCCCAGGCTCAAGCAATTCTCCCACCTCAGCCTAACTAGAAGCTGGGACTACAGGGTTGCACTACTACACCCAGCTAACTTTTCTGTATTGTTCTGTGGAGAAGGGGTTTCACCATGCTGCCCAAGCTGGTCTGGAACTCCTGGGCTTCAGCGATCCAACCACCTCTGCCTCCCAAAGTGCTGGGATTATACCATGTTTGGCCTATTTTCCTATTTCTTAGGGGGTACAGTTAGGTTATTGATTTTAGATCTTTGTTTATTTATTTATTTTTAAAGGTAGGGTCTTGCTTTGTCACCCGGGCTGGAGTGCAGTGGCACCATCATAGCTTACTGCAGCCTGAAACTCCTAGGCTCAAGCCATACTTCCGCCTCAGCCTGTGGAGTATCTGGTATTACAGGCAGGAGGCACCACATCCGGCTTTTCCTTTTTTATTATAATACAGTTTTTCCCAACTATAAATTGTTCTCTAAACACTGCTTTATCTGCTTCCAGAGGTTTTGCTATTGATAGATGCAGGGGGAGGATAAGAGGGAGGGTCCCCAGAGAACTTCCCGCTGGCCTGTGCACTGGGAGAACCGGGTGGAGCCGGGGGAATTTTGGGCCGTTTGCAGCCAGGAGAAGCCTGGACTCTTCAGTTTCTGTGTGGTGGCCTGGGATTCAATCTGTGAGGTGGTGGGCCTGTTAGCAGGACTCCATCTCACTTTGCTGAGTTTTTTTTTTTTTTCTTTTTTTCCCCTTTTTGCCCAATAAAATCCTGCTCTACTCACCCTTCCATGTGTCCGCGTGCCTAAATTTTTCTGGTCGTGTGACAAGAATCCAGTTTTAGTTGAACTAAGGAGCAAAGTTCTGCAACATTTTGGCGCCCAGACGTGGGGCTTGAGGAGGGGTAAGATGTGAACCAAAAATTCTTTTTCCCTTTCACTTCTAAGCCTTTTTGTCCTCAGACTTCTTCTGAGGTAGAGGAAGCTGTGCAGGAGCCCACCCCAATGGCTGCAGGCTCGAGGGATGAATGGGCAAACGGGGACTCCCCTGCCTTGCTCCCGGCCAGGGCTAGGAACCCGTTTGTATAAGAATAAGAGGTTCTTCCCCCAGGCATCTTTCCAACTCTGCACTTTAAACTTTTTTTTTCCTTTTCTCTACACTGTCAGCAGTACACTTTTAAGTGAGAGGGGTTTTTTTTTTGTTTTTTTCTTCCTTTTCGAAGATGTTTTACTAGGCCAGGAATGAGAAGGATCACTGTTTATAGTCTCTGCAAAGTTTTGATTATGAAAAAGGATTTGTGAGGTTGGTCTTAAGGTGTAGCCAATCTGGTGTGCTTTGCACGCCTATGTGAATTGTCTGTAGCAAACTTTGCTGAAGGCTTCCATCTTGCTTTATGCCCTTGGAAGCTGGCCTGTAACCACGTGGCAATGCTTTGTTTAGCCTCTGCCATTTTACAGTGTAGCCGGGGTTCAATCCTGGCTTAGAGACTCAGTACTTTAAGGTTGATACCTGTGTGACTTTTGCCATTTGCTGACTCTCTTCTTCTCCATGAACAACGTCTAGGCTTTTTCTTAAATCTTCCTTTCTCTGGGTCATCTTTAAAGGTTCTAAATTTTGTGAGAACTGCTTACCCCGTTTGAAAATACCTCATATACTCACGGTTAAATCATAGTCTTAATTGAGGCTTGTTGGTTTCACCTGCAAGGTTACTTTCAGTAAGATTTGAAAGCCAGAAATATTGGCCACTTGGCAGGGCTAAAGTCAGGTAATAAGGGAGTTAAAGGGATTTTCTTAAAGAGTGCTCAGCTTAATTAAAAGTGGATATCCTAGTTATAGGTATATTTAAAAGGCCTTTATGTTTTTCTTTTCTTGGATCTTGTTTTGCTGGAAACGGGTTTTTTCTCAGTTGACTAAATTCTTTTTCTCCATTTTCTCTTGCTACTCTCATTATATATGCATCGTGTGTGTAATGTCTATAAAAAGACCTCTAATTAATTGGCCTAAAGGAAGATCAGTGCTTTGCCGAGACCAGCTCGGTCGGGGAGACCCTAACCCAGCAGCGCTAGAAGAATTAAAGACACACACAAAGAAATATAGAGGTGTGAAGTGGGAAATCAGGGGTCTCACAGCCTTCAGAGCTGAGAGCCCCGAACAAAGATTTACCCACATATTTATTAACAGCAAACCAGTCATTAGCATTGTTTCTATAGATATTAAATTAACTAAAAGTATCCCTTATGGGAAACGAAGGGATGGGCCAAATTAAAGGAATAGGTTGGGCTAGCTAACTGCAGCAGGAGCATGTCCTTAAGGCACAGATCACTCGTGCTATTGTTTGTCACTTAAGAATGCCTTTAAGCTGTTTTCCACCCTGGGCGGGCCAGGTGTTCCTTGCACTCATTCCCATAAACTCACGATCTTCCAGCATGGGCTTTATGGCCATCATGAACATGTCACAGTGCTGCAGAGATTTTGTTTATGGACAGTTTTGGGGCCAGTTTATGGCCAGATTTTGGGGGGCTTGTTCCCAACAGTGCTTGGATCAAATATTTTTTAAAGGGAAAATAAAAGCTGTGGTACCTTTTAGTTCACATGACTTTAATCTTTGAGAAATAAAAACAGCCTTAAAAATTATTGGTGAAATGCAGATGTCCTCAAAATGTAAATAGGTGAACTAAATTATGCAGGTCAGATACTAAGTTTGCTAAATGTTTTAAGGTTATAAACTGCCTTTTTGGTTTTTGAGAACTGTTTGACTTGCCTGCTTCACAATTGGTAAGGCCTGGGAACATATGGAATTAACCATGCCCTTAATTATGCTGGAAGCAGTCAAACCTTGGCTGCACCCAGCACATAATTAAATTACTAGGTTTTGCATTAAAGTTAAAAATCGCTAAGAATGACCATTATAACATGAAATTGAAAGTACTGGAAATAGATTTACATGTGAGGTGCATAAGAACAGTAAGATGTGTTTTTAGTAAAAGATTGTACAAAAGCATGGAAATGTAAATCCTTGCCTAGGGTTAAAGGATGATTTTTGAATTAGATAAGATAAAGCTGAAGGTTTAAACAAATAATGGAAGGATTGTAAAAATTAATCTTGCAAAAATTCCATGTGTGAATATATTGACTAAATTCAAAAGGGTATTATATGATTTTTCTGTAAATTGAGCATTGAAATAAAAGCACAGCAAGGTACTCTTAAGGCACTAATATTCTCTTTAGCAAAATTTGTTAGGGTTATAAAAGGTTTTTGTTTTTTAAACTTCTGAGTCATCATTTTGGCAAAATAAGTAACATGGTAATCTGGAATTCTATTTCATAACATCAAGTGTTTTAAACTTCTAACATATTTTAACAGACTTCCTAAAATCAAACTTCAGTTTCAAAATTGTCTTTCCTGATGCCTGACATTTGGATGCTACAGAGGGCCCCTGGAGTATCCAAAAGAGAGGTAAACAGGATTATTTGACATATTTAGTTACATGGGATTGCCAAAATGGTGTTCAATCTTCTTTAGGTTATATTTTGGTGAATAATACTAATATATATTCCAAAGTTGTATGGGATTTCTAAAATTCTAATATCTAAAGTATATGCTAAATCATAATTAAGGTGGTTATGTTATTTTAAACCACAGACATTACCAAACATTTTTGCCAATTGTGTTTCTGACTGTAACTACCCTGGACATTTTGTTATTCACAATTGTTGTCTTGTTTTGATCCTTTTCAAAGTATGGACTATATTAAGCTATAGGACTCTGACAGGTGCTTTCAAATACAGGTTTCTCATAACCTTGGAGACTGTGACATTGGAATAAAGGAAAAACATATAGGATTCATTTAGAGCTGAAATGTTCACCAATATCAAGCAAAGCAAGAGCTACTGGATGGACTGAACTAATAGAAAATTGAAGAAATCTTTTTGACTGTGCTTGGAACATGCTAATCCTTATTTTGTTTTTCAGAGCCAAGGAAGCTTATTTTGAGCTATTTATGGTCTTTAATAATTGAGAAAGCTATACTCCTGTGAACAAAATTTGGAGCATGTTTGTTTCTCTCTGCCTGGTTCCTCTAGAATTTGGAAACTATCTGTGAGTATTCTTGGCTTATGGCAATATAGTTGTTTGCATGAGTGCAGTAAGAATCCATTTTCTTTTGCAACAGGTTGCAATTGAAGAAACTGGTTGTTTTACCAAGGCTTAGACTAGAAAGGTATGCTTCCCTTTAAGGAGTTGTATTAGTCTGTTTTAATGCTGCTGATAAGGACATACCTGAGACTAGGCAATTTACAAAAGAAAGAGATTTAATTGGACTTAACAGTTCCATATGGCTGGGGAAGCCTCAAAATCACAGTGGAAGGCAAGGAGGAGCAAGTCCTTTCTTACATGGATGGCAGCAGTCAAAGAGAGAATGAGGAAGATGTAAAAGTGGAAACCCCTGATAAAACCATCAAATCTCGTGAGACTCATTCATTACCACAGAATAGTATGGGGGAACCACCCCCATGATTCAGTGATCTCCCAGCAAGTCCCTCCCACAACACATGGGAATTATGGGAGTACAATTCAAGATGAGAATTGGGGGACACAGAGCCAAATCATATCAGAAGTCAAGCTTGACTTGCAGAGCCAATAAAAGCCCCTTGGGAAAACTGGCCTCGTACTTTTGTCTACACAGTCCCCCTAGAGGGTTCCTAACCTGTGATGAGTAAAAAATGTCACTCTCCAACAGGCTCAGGAACCACATGCTCTTGGGACCTCAAGAGAAGAGGAGTTTACCCAACTCACAAGTATTTGAGGATACAAACCCATGGCTGGGCTCAGCTTTAAAAGGTCTTATCTGAGATTTCTTGTGGAACAGAGTTCCATCAAAGCCAATCTAAAAGGCCTATGTATAAATAATCATTTTTGTTGCACTTTATGCAAATAATCAGGCAAAGTATAAGACTAAATTCTATTGTGCAAACAACACAGTCTTATCATGATTTGTTTTTAATAGAAATGATGACTAGGGAGAGAGAAATTATAATTTATTTCAAAACTTATCATCATTAGATTCTAGACTTGTTAGTTGGTTTTAAGTTTTTGTCTACATTTTAGACTAACCCTGCTTGTTCCTGTGAACCAACCAGCAATCTCTGGCTGCAGCTCAGAAAGAACAATAGGGATGTTATATAAAAATCTGGATCAATATTCTAGTTCTGAGCAATTATCCTGCAAATCCTGCCAGGTGATGGCAATAAATAGGATGCCCATCACCTGGAGGTTTCCTTTTTGGGAAAGTAAGACCAAGGGAGCTAACCAAAGCCAAGTCCCATGCACTCAAATCTTAGCAAGCATAACTATAGCCACCAGTTATCTGGGTGTGTCACAAGACATCCTTTTCTTTCCCTTGTTGGAGGAGGACTCAATTCCACAGCTTAACCTTAGCATTGAGCTTATGATAAGGAGTCCATACAATCGCCCCAAGACACATTTTTGTCCCAAACTCACTTCCAAGCTTCGGGTCAAAGCCGTAGGAAAGAAAACAGGATCCCAGGATTCCAGAGGCAGTTCATAATGGAAGTTAAAAGGCACAGTGCAGGTGAGCATGACTAATTCCTGCCCATTAAGCCAAGCTTCTTGTTTCATGGATAAAGGTCATGCTAGAATCCATGGCATAAATGAAGTCTAGGGAATTCAAGGGCTACTGACAGCAGGGGAGATAGGGATATTCCCACCCCCAACCCCCAACTCCCACTAACATGGATGAAAGCCATTTTGACACCCATGCATGGCACTCTGTGGCAGTTGCTGGGACTCAGGGATACAAGGATGGAGGAAAGAAAAAGGAACACCTAACTTTTCCTCCCTCACATACACAAGGGATTTGCTAGGAAGAGAAAGGAACCAGGGTCACCTGCTACCCTCTTTCTGGATGAGTAGCCATTCCTCTGCAGTGCTTCCTGAACCCCTGAGACTTCTCTGAAAAAATGCCTCCTTTTTCCTCCTTTGTCCTGTTCACTGATAGTTAATTGTATCTCTGTACTATGGGACGCTCCCTTCAGATGCATCCTCCAAACTGGGAAGAGTTAATTTCCCAAACCTTAGACTGGTTGGCTTAGGATTGGGCTCAGGGGAAGGGAACCCAGAAGTCTAATATGGGGCAAAAGAGTATAAGTTTTTTTAGCAGTCAGACTTTTGGTGTCTCCTCCCTGCGCAAACTGGTAAAAGGCCTCAGGATTTTTGAGCTGCCCTTACCCCCGCTGTTGCAGGAAGTCAAGGACCCCGAATGGAGGGACCGGCTGAAGCCATGGCAGAAGAACATAAATTGTGAAGATTTCATGGACATTTATCACTTTCCCAATCAATACTCTTGTGATTTCCTATGCCTGTCTTTACTTTAATCTCTGAATCCCGTCATCTTCATAAGCTGATGATGAATGTCGCCTCAAGACCCTGTGATGATTGCGTTAACTGCACAAATTATTTGTAGAGCATGTGTGTTTAAAAAATATGAAATCTGGGCACCTTGAAAAAAGAACAGGATAACAGTGATGTTCAGGGAACAAGGGAGATAATCTTAAAGTCTGGCTGCCTGTGGGCTGGGCAGGACAGAGCCATATTTCTCTTATTACTGAAAATGGGTAAGAGAAATATCGCTGAATTCTTTCCCCAGTAAGGAATATTAATAATTAACAGCCCTGGGAAAAGAATGCATTCCCAGGGCGGGGCCTCTACAATGGCTGCCCTAGGAGTGTCTGCCTTATGCAGATGCAGATAGGGATGAAACACACCCTAGTCTCCTGCAGCATGCCCAGGCTTGCTAGGATTAGGAAATTCCAGCCTGGCAAATTCCAGTCAGACCGGTTTTCTGCTCTTGAACCCTGAAAATGCATGCACAGTGGGACATGGAAGTTCATTAGTGATTCTAGTTTCACCCTGACCTTCTGCCTTGTGATCTTTTGTCACCCTTGAAGCATGTGATCTCTGTGACCCACACCCTATTCGTACACACCCTCCCTTTTGAAAATTGCTAATAAAAACTTGCTGGTTTTACGGCTCAGGGGGCATCACGGAACCTGCCAACATGTGATGTCTCCCCCGGACACCCAGCTTTAAAATTTCTCTCTTTTGTACTCTTTCCCTTTATTTCTCAGACCGGCCGACACTTATGGAAAATAGAAAAGGACCCTCGTTGAATTATCGGAGGCAGATTCCCCCAATACCCACCCTTATTTCATTTTGATACACATTTTCTTTCTTTTCTTCTTCTTTTTAATTTTTTTTCTGAGACAGAAGCTTGTTCTGTTGCCCAGGCTGGAGTGCAGCGGTGTGATCTCGGCTCACTGCAACCTCTGCCTCCTGGGTTCAAGAGATTCTCCTGCCTCAGCCTCCTGAGTAGCTGGGATTATAAGCACCCACCACCATACCTGGCTAATTTTTGTATTTTTAGTAGAGACAGGGTTTCACCATGTTGGCCAGGCTGGTCTTGAACTCCTGGCCTCAAGTGATCCGCCCACTTTGGCCTCCCAAAGTGCTGAGATTACAGGCATGAGCCACCGCACCTGGCTGATATATGTTTTCTAATAACCCAGTTTGTCTTTTCTTGCCTTCAGGCCGTGAAACTCCAAACGGTCATGCAACTGGAGCCTTGGACCACAGCCCCTTCTGCCAGGGACCCTTAGATAGGCCTCTGAGGGAGCTCTGACTGCCGTTTTCCTCAAACAGTGCCTCCTGTCAGCATGAAGCAGTTAAGATCGGCCTTTGTCCTGATCCTTATTCTTATTCTAACAGCAGTTAGATGTACTTCTTTAGAGGGGGAAATGATAGATGCAGGAGGCAGATAAGGGGGAAGGTCCCCAGAGAACCTCCCATGGGCCTGCACACTGGGAGAACAGGGTGGAGCCAGGGAAAGTTTGTGCCGTTTGCAGTGGGGAGGAGCCTGGCCTCTCCTTTCCTGTGTAGTGGCCTGGGATTCAATCTGTGAGTCCTGTTAGCAGGACTGCGTCTTGCTTTGCTGAGTTTTTTTTTTTTTTCCTTTTTTGCCCAATAATATCCTGCTCTACTCACCCTTCAGTGTGTCGTCTGTGTGCCTAAATTTTCCTGGTCTTGTGACAAGAACCAGAGTTTAGGGGAACTAAGGAGCAATGCTCTGCAACAGTATGTTGAGTTTTCACATTAATTTTTCTCAAAATATTTTCTAATTTCCCTTCTGAGTTCTTCTTTGACCCTTTGGTTACCGAGAACTGTGTTGTTTAATTTCCATTTACTTGTAAATTTCCCAAATTTCCTTCTGTTGTTGATTTCTGTTTTAATTCCATTGTGCTCAGAGAACATAATTTGTATGACTTCAATTCTTTTTTATTTATTTAGGCTTTTAAAAGTCCTACCATATAATCTATCCTAGAGGATATTTCATGTACAGTTGAACATGAGGTATGTTCTGTTATTGTTGGGTGGAATATTCTACAACTTTGTTAAATCTAGTTGGCTTATGGTATTGTTAATGTTTTATATATCCTTTTAGATTTACTTCATTATTTTATCCATTACTTAAAGTGGAGTACTGCAATAATCAATTACTACTATTACAATGTTCACTTCTCACTTCAATTCTGTTTTTGCTACATGTATTCTCGGGTTCTATTGTGGATGTATATATGTCTATAATTACTATCTCTTCCTCATAGTTTAAACTTGTTACAATTATAAAATGTCTCTGTTTGTCAGTAGTATTTTTGTTTTGTTTTAAGTTTGTTTTGTATTATATTAGTATAACTTCTTCAGTATTCTGTTGGTTATTGTTTCTGTGGTATACCTTTGTTCATCATTTTACCTTAAACCTATTTATACCTTAAAATTTACATTCATCTCTGTACACAATGTGCAGTTGGATCATATTTTTTAAAAGTCCATTCAGACAATCTCTGCTTTTTGATTGGAGTATTTAATACATTTTTACTGATCCATTGATTGATTGAGACAGAGTCTTGCTCTGTCACTCAGGCTGGAGTACTGTGGTGCAATGATAGTTCACTGTAGCCTAAAATTCCTGGGCTCAAGTGATCCTCCCATCTCAGCCTCCTAAATAGTTGAAACTACAAGTGTGAGCCACCGTGCCTGGCTAATATTTTAAAAAATTTTTCTAGAAATGGGGTCTCACTATGTTGCTTAGGCTGGACTTGAATGCATGACCTCAAACAGTTCTCCCACCTCAGCCTCCCAAAGTGCTGGGATTGCAGGCATGAACCACACACTCAGCCACATTTACATTTAATATAACTTGAGATAAAGTAGTACTGATGTCTGTCATTTGCTGTGTATTTTCTATATATCTTATATCCTGTGTGTTCCTCTATTACTCATTACTGTCTTCTTTTGTGGTAAATAGGCATTTTCTAGTATGCTATTTTAATTTCCTGGTTTTATTTAAATATGTATACATAAAGTCATTTTCTTAGTATTTGTTCTGGAGGTTACAGTTAGCTTCTCAATTTAAAACAATTGAGTTTTTAGAACTTAATTTCAATGACATACACAAACTGTGCTCCAGTTAAGCTCTCTTTACTCCCCCACTTCTTTGTGCTATTATTGTCATACAAATTCTATCTTTTTACATTATGAGCCCATCAACACAGACTTATGCTTACTTTTTATGCAGTTGTCTTTTAAATCAGTGAGAAGAAAGGCATTACACACTGACTTTAAATTTGCCTTAGTTGTTTTTCTTTGTATGAATTTGAGTTACTCTCTAATGACATTTTATTTCAGCCTAAAGGACTCCTTTAGTGCTTCTTAGTGGGTGGATCTGCTAGTAATGAATTCACTCAGTTTCTGTTTGTCTGAGGTAGTCTTAATTTCTCTTTCATTTTCAAGGACAGTTTTGCTGAATATAGAATTCTAGGTCTGCTCTTCCTTCCGTTCCTTTTATTACTTTGAATGTGTCATCTTACTGCCTTCTGGTCTCTATGGTTTCTGGTGAGAAAACAGTTGTTAATTTTATTGAGGATTCTTTGTACATGAGGAGTTGCTTGTTTCTTGCTGCTTTCAAGAGTCTCTCCATCTTTGGTTTTAGATAGTTTGATTATGATGTATCTCAGTATGCTTCTCTTTGAGTTCATTTTAGTTGACAGTTTGATTATGATGTATCTCAGTATGCTTCTCTTTGAGTTCATTTTAGTTGGAGTTTGTTGAAATTTTTGGATTATAGATTAATTTTTAAATCAAATTTGGAAAGGTTTTAGTGAATATTTTTTTCTGCACTTTTATCTCCCTCCTCTCCTTCTGGTACTCCCAATTGGTACTAGATATATCTTAGCATACTTGATGGCGTCTACTGATCTCTTAGGCTCTGTTCATCTTTCTTCATTGATTTTTCCTATATGTTCCTCAGACTAGGCAGTATCCATGGACTTATCCTCAATTTTGCTAATTCTTCTGCCACTCAATCCTGCTATTGTCCCCCTATAATGGATTTTTCATTTCAGTTATTATACCTTTCAATTACAGAGTTTCTTTATATATAGTTATATAATTCCTATATCTTTAACTACACTCTCTTTTTGGTGAGATATTGTTCTCATACTTTCCTTTAATTTTTGACACATGGTTTCCATCAGTTCTTTGAACACATTTATAATAGCTAATTTTAGGTCTTCGTCTAGTAAGTCTACAATTTATGCATTTTTAATGACAGTCTGTTGACTGCCTTCCAGCCTGTGTCCTTTTCTGCCTGTTTATGTGTCTTACAACTTTTTGCTAAAATATAGACACTAAAAATAATGTAATGTGGCAACTCTGAAAACCATGTTTCCCTTTCCCCCAGGGTTTGCTGTTGTTACTGTTTTTATTTCTTTGATGCCTTTCTTGGACTAATTTTGTAAAGTCTGTATTCTTTGTCATCTGTAGTCACTGATACGTCACTGTAGCCATTTGTAGTCCTTACTCAGTTAGCTTAATTGTTCACTAATGATGAGAGAAATGCTCTATCATTCCTCAAATGCTAGAATCAAAGATTTTTTTTTCCTTTGTTTATGGTGGGACTATGTGTGCATATTAATGCATGCCTTCAATTTTCAGGCAGACAATTCACAGCTTTGCCTCAGCCTTCACATCCTGCTTGCTCAAAGCCTCACAGTTAGCCAGAAGTAAAACCTGGGCATTCTCAGATTTCCAGAAATATGTTAATCTTTTTTTTTTTTCTGTTAGATGAGATCTTGCTATGTTGCCCATAGCATAGTTGAGATCTTGCTATGTTGTCCAGTGGCTATTCACAGGTGCAATCATAACACACTACAGCCTCAAACTCCTGGGCTCGAGTGATCCTTCCACCTCAGCCTCCTGAGTAGCTGGGACCATAGGCATGTGCCACCAGGCAGCTTATGTTAAATCTTTTTAATGCCCCCTCCCCATGGACATCTCATTCTTCATTTTTCTTTTTCAAGTTTTTCAGTCAGCCTATTGTTAGCTGTAACTGGTGTCACTACCTGAGGCTGCTGTAATATTAAACAATTGTTACTGATTGTTTTCAACAATGCCCTGTGGAGAGGACCATTTGCACAGGGCAAGCTCTGAGTTATGCCAATTAAAGACAAACCCTGGGAATGTAGCTTTTCCAGGAAGCTGCCAGACAAGTAAATAGTGCCAAGACTCTGGGGATGGGGCTCTTTCAGGTGCTCCACATCCTTTTTGTCCCTCCAGTGGCTGCTAGACTGCTCTTATGGTTGCAGGGCTGTTGGTTTTCAAGGTTACACATACTCTTTCTTCTTCTTCTTCTTTTTTTTTTTTTTTGAGACAGGGTCTCACTTTGTTGCCCAGGCTCACTGCAACCCCTGCCTCCTGGGTTCAAGTGATTCTTGTGCCTTAACCTCCTGAGTAGCTGGGATTACAAGCATGCACCACTATGCCAGGCTAATTTTTATATTTCAAGTAGAGACAGGGTTTCATCATGTTGGCCAGGCTGGTCTCAAACTCCTGACCTCAAGTGATCCTCCCGCCTCAGCCTCCCCAAATGCTGAGATTACAGGTGGAGCCACCGTGCTCAGCCTCAAGGTTACACATATTCTATGTAGTCGTCCCTCAGTATCCATGGGAGATTGGTTCCAGGACCTCTGGTGGATATGAAAATCCATGGATGCTCATGTCCCTTATATAAAATGGGGTAGTTTTTTTCATATAACCTATGCACATCCTCCTGTATACTTTCAATCATCTCTAGATTACTTATAATACTTAATACAATGTAAATGTTATGTAAATCATTGTTATACTCTATTGTTTAAGGAATAATGACAAGAAAAAAAAGTCCATACAAGTTCAGTACAGATGCGATTTTTTTTTCCAGACATTTTTGATCTGTGATTTGGTTGAATCCATGGATGTGGAAACCATAGATTTGGATAGCTGACTGTATCCCTACAAAAATATCCTGTTAAATGGCCTGAAGATAAATTCTCATGTAGGATGGTTCTAGTCCTAAAGATAACACTGTTCACCTCTTAATTATTGTATGTAGATAATCTGAATCAGCTTGCAGCAGGTCGAGCCACAGACAAAACTCCTTGACACTGAGTTAAAGAAGGAAGGGGTTTATTCAGTCGGCAGCACCGGCAAGACTCCTGTCTCAAGAGCCAAGCTCCCTGAGTGAGCAATTCCTGTCCCTTTTAAGGGCTCACAACTCTAAGGGGGTCCGTGTGAGAGGGTCATGATCAATCGAGCAAGTAGGGGTACATGACTGGGGGCTGCATGCACGGGTAATCAGAATGGAACAGGACAGGACAGGGATTTTTACAATGCTTTTCCATACAATATCTGGAATCTATAGATAACATAACTGGTTAGGTCAGGGGTCAATCTTTAACTAGCAGGCCTAGGGCGCGGCGCTGGGCTGTCTGCCTGTGGATTTCATTTCTGCCTTTCAGTTTTTACTTCTTCTTTCTTTGGAGGCAGAAATTGGGCATAAGACAATATGAGGGGTGGTCCCCTCCCTTAAGCTTACTTATTGTATATAGATCATTTAAGTCAGTATGTTCATCAGAATCCCTTGGAGGGCTTGTTAAAATACAGGTCACTTGGCCCCACTTCTAGAGTTTCTGATTCAGCAGATCTGGGATGGGGTCTGGGAATTTGCATTTCTAGCAAGTTCTGGGAGGATGTTGATGTGACTGGTTAGGGACCCCATGTTGAGAACTTCTGAAGGACTGAGATACTTTACCACCAGCATACTTAGCTATCACATCGTGATGCTTAGGGAAGATATAGCATGATATTGTAAACCAAAAGGTGTCTGAGACAGATCTGTCAATTTAGAGGTTTATTTTGCCAAGGTTGAGGATGCAACTGGGAAAATGAGGCACAAACTACAGTAGGATCAGTAGGATCTGTGGCCTATGCTTTTTCCCAAGAGGGTTTTGGGGACTTCAATACTTAAAGAGGAAAAAGTGGGCAGGAGGGGAAAGAAGAACAGTGAATTATGCATTTTTACATAAGGTAAGTAAACAGAGAGTAGAGGAAGAGGTCAAATATGCATTTGTCTTGGGGTGGGTGGAAGGATGATTCCTCCGCTTGTCTTTGTCCCATTCCTGTGACGATAAGCTGTTAATTTACATTGTCAGGGTGAGGGAGGCCACCTGGGGAGATATGTGGCCTTCTATCTTGCAGCTATCTCTTTAGGAACAAAAGGAAGGCAGTTTTTTTTGCATGATTCAGTTCCCAAGCTTAGCTTTTCCCTTTGGAGTAGTGAGTTTGGGGGTCCCGAGATTTTATTTTCCTTTTACAGTATTAACTAACACATGGCTCCCTTTTCTCTTGATAATTTTCATTCTACGGTGGAATTAGGGCCTCATTCTTTGCCACACTGAAAATGTGATTGATCTTTGAAGATTATCCAGAATTACATAACAGTCAAGTGACAGATGTTATTGGAAGCTGATCCTCATTCAGTGTTACTGTACTAAATGAATGAATACTGAAATTAGACTGATATCTATTTTTAAATCTTTATAAATTTAATTTTTTTTTCTTTTTTAAAAGTTAGTGTTTAACAACTTTCTTAGCTTGATTATGACTGCCAGGCGTGGTGGCTCACGCCTGTAATTCCAGCACCTTGGGAGGCCGAGGCGGGTGGATCACCTGAGGTCAGGAGTTCAAGACCAGCCTGACCAACATGGAGAAACCCTGTCTCTACTAAAAATACAAATTTAGCCAGGGTGGTGGCACATGCCTGTAATCCCAGCTACTTGGGAGGCTGAGGCAGGAGAATTGCTTGAACCTGGGAGGCAGAGGTTGCGGTGAGCCGAGATCGCGCCATTGCATTCCAGCCTAGGCAAAAAGAGCGAAACTCCATCCCAAAAATAAATAAATAAACAGCATGGCCATAAAATTTATTGTTTGAACAGGAATACATTTGAGAGTGAAAGAGGGCCCTATTAATAATTTTGCTGCAAAAAGATGTAAACTGGGGCTGTTCCAAGCAAACTAATTGGTCACAGTAATTAAAAAAAATGCAAAAATATTTTTGCATTTCTACAAATTTGATTTTCTTGGCTTTAACTTTGTACTGTGGAGTCAAGGTTCTGTCAATATTTCTTTCCATTTAGCTGGAGAAATAATAAGAGGGAACTGTTTTATTACTAAGTTACTTTTCAGAAGAGAAATAAAATAAAAAGTAAAGAAATAAAAATTTAAAACTAGGACATTTTCTTTTTCTTTTTTCTTTTCTTTTCTTTTCTTTTTTTTTTTTTTTTTTTTAGAGATACAGGGTGTTGCTCTGTCTCCCAGGCTGACACTGCAGCCTCAAATTCCTCTGCTCAATCGATGCTCCTGCCTCAGGCTCCCCAAAAAACTCGTTTTATATTTGTTTATTTTTATTCCAGACTATTGTCTGTATTTTGGTGACATGAGGAGGATCAGACATAATTCTAAATGAGTTCAGAGAATTCTTAATTTCCATTCCTAACTGGTTAATCTCTTTTGTTTTTGAAGCAAATTATATGTTTAAATGCTCTGCCTGAGAAGTATTCTGGTTTATTGAATTAAAATCATTTTAAGAATTTTTTTTTCGGATAAAATGTGAAGACTCAAAGATAAGGATACATTCAGTCCAGTATTTGCCCTTGCTCAAGGAGAAATGCTGTTTTAAAGTCAAAGTGAAAATTTTCTTCCAAAACTTCTGATTATTGTTTTTGTCTATGGAAAAATAGAAACTTGGGGCAAAGTGTAAGGACTGATGCTGTTGCAAGTCTGTTAGTGCACACTTATGCACACAGGCCAGAACAGGTCCGGAAGGACATACACTTAGAGGTTAGCAATTTTCTTTTTTTTGCAAGTCTGTATTTTCAAAGAATTAAGATTTTAATTTTTTGCTTGTCT
Organism: Homo sapiens; assembly: GCF_000001405.40. Classification (NCBI taxonomy): domain Eukaryota; kingdom Metazoa; phylum Chordata; class Mammalia; order Primates; family Hominidae; genus Homo; species Homo sapiens. The sequence goes on from NC_000002.12 coordinate 98,444,431, forward strand.
GGTTGGAATGTTCAGTTTCCTAAACATCTCCTGGGGAGTGAGTACGTCTGCACTTCAGGAAGTGCTCTTGTCCGGAGGGCAAAAGGTTGGGGGCGCATCCCCGGGTCGCGGCTCCTCCAGGAAACTTTCCCTTGGGGATCCGTCAGGGCCTCAGATGCCTCAGTGGATGACAGGGTGAAGATGCCATCGCTCAGTCAAGTCCAGAAGTTCAAGAACTCCTTGCAGGTGAAGCAGTCACAGGATAGGGTGGGATCTTGTGGGAACCTAGCAGTAGGAATTGGCGCGAGCAGCTCGGTCACCGGCCCTACTGTCTCAGAGGGCGGACCCAGCTCGGGCTGGTAGTGGGGCGGGGGTCGCAGGGCGCGGGCCGGGCCCTCAGCGCGCATGCGCGACAAGGGGGCGGGGCCAGGGCGGGGCTGCGCCCGGCGTCTAGAGCGGCGGCGGCTGGCTAGGGCTGCGGCGCGCGTGGAGGGTTCGCTGCTGGTTTGCCGCCGGGTCGGGCTCCGTGGGCCGGGGCAGGAGGACCAGCACCTGAGGCCGGGCCCGCAGCCCGCGACTTCACAGCCAGGCGGCGGCGCTGCTGCTGCTGCGGGGCTCTGGCGCGCAGCCCGGCGGGACAGCGGGGCGGCTGGCGCCGGGGGCCGGGGAGCGCCAGGTAGGTGGGCCGGGCCGGGCAGGAGGCGACGCGGCCGCCGCGGGGGCCGGGGCCGGGGACGGACAGCGGGCGCGGGGGCGCGTCCAGGTCCCCGCTGGGGCGGATGTGGACGGCGCCCGCGGTTTTCATGGAAATTGCACTGCCTAACGGTGCCAGTGGTCCACCTGCGGTGGCGTCTTTTGAGAACAATCCGAGCCCGGCCGACCCCCAGCCCCGTGAAGACGCGGCCGCCCCAGCAGGGAGCCGGGTGCCGAGCGGGCGCGTGGCCGCGGGACGCAGACGCGGTGCCTGCCCGATGCGGCTCCAGGGCTGGGTCTACGGGCTCCTGAAGCTGGAGGCCTTGCCGTGTTTGGGGTGGAAACATAACCGGGTGAAAGTAAACATGCATCTCCGTGTGGGAAATCTGGTCTCCATCCTCGAAACTCTTCCATTTTCTGCCTGCCTTTAGACCCCGACAACATTTCTAGCATCTTTGCTTTCTATATTTTATTTCTCTCTGGCTTTGCTAGTCAATTAATTGAGGCCTGAGAAATGTGCAGGGATCTGTGGCTGTCTCTTGAAAAGCCAGCCAGGAATGGGTAGGCCCCAGAAGACAGACGTTCAAAATGTCAGAGGTAAATTTGTGTCTTTGTGGGCGAAGGAAGGGAATGTTGATGGTCTCGCTTCCCTTCCCCTGTCGCCTGCCCTCTGACATTACATAATGATGGGTTCTTCCTGCCCCGAGTTCATCCGTAATGACAGACCATGAAAATGTTCCTCTGGGTAAGAAAGACCTATATGTGGTAGAGCCCATCTTCTCTTTTGCTTTGCCACTGAATGTGTCTTGTGTTGGGAACCTGCCTAAGAGTGGAATTTGATTTGTCGCCTGCCCCTCAGGGCATTTAAACCAAGGGAATGGGGGTGGGGTGGCGATTTGGGTGTTGCAGAGAAATTCTGACTGGTCCATCTGTTCACAGTGGGTTGTGTGGACCATGGGGAAGCCAGTGGGGTTGAGGACAGAGTGGGTTGACTTCGGTGTGAATCATGGTTCTGCCGCTTGCTGACTCTGGTTCTTATCTCTAAAAGGTGAGAGCAGAGCCTTTTTTGCTGAGTTTGTTTTGGAATCTAGCTGCTGTTGGCGTTGGCCAGTGCACGTAGAATTGCTTGCTATAGGTTGTCCTAGAATTGAGCCTAATTTTTCTTTGGTTGAAAAACACACTTTCTTTAACGGAAATTTTGTTTTTGGATCTAGGCTAGGGCATTTGTTTTGGGGGTTCTTTGCTGAAGTGTCGACTGCTAATGTACTGTTTTCTTTGAAGAAAGATGAATGATGGGGCCCATGTAAGAAGGGCAGTGTGGTTGGTCTGTTGCAGGAGTGGTGCCAGGAGGCCGTGATGCTGTCTGTCCCAGGGGTGGCGTTGCATGTGAACGGGCCTCTCGGTGCCTCATTCCCTGTGATGTCTAGTAAACACGCCTGTGAAGCCAGAGCTGCTTGGTAGAGTTTGGCTTGAAGAAAAGGCTTAAAGAAATGGATGTGGACAAATTCAAAGAGAAAGAAACATTGTGTTTCTACTGAGCTCCTTATAGAATTAGTCTGCTTACCTGGCCACCTTACTCATCATGTAGCTACTTTTTTCATTTAGATTATTCTGTCTCAGGGTGTTTAATCTGCTTGGGTAAGTCTTGTTTCCCAACTAGATTCAGAACCAAGGGCAGATATTATAGTGCCTCCCTGTTTTCAAAACTGGATATTTTGTAGTATTGCTGTTAAACTGAATATTAGCGTTTTTTAAAAAAAAATCACTTTAAGGAAGGATGAAATAAAATAATACACGAGAGCTATTTGTAAACTGTAGAGCACTAGAAAAATGGGATGTGTATGACAGAGAACTATCAGCCCTGCAAGTCCCTTTAACCAGCTGCCTGCCTAAGAGGGAGCGTTCTCAGCCAACATCTCTTCAAATGCACACGGGAATGGACCTGAAGGCGGTGTGGGACCGACTGCCCCACTGATCCCCAGCCCAGGGCTTAACATCTCAAGAGTTCAGTGAGGCAGAGTGGAGGGGGAGGCTTTCCACCAAGACTGTTTCATCCTGTTTTCGTTTTTAAATGAAAAGCTCCTTTTCAGTTTAGTATTCCAGAAAAGTTGCCACAACATCATCAACTACTCATGGTGTCAGGAGGCTTTGACTTTCACTGAGAAAAAAATAGCACAAATCTGCAGCGAAAAAGGCTTGATTATGTTGGTGCTTCTGTAGAACTTGATTAATGAGCTGGTCTTGAGAGAGCCTTCGAAACGGCTTTTTTTTTCAGTGTCCTAAAACAGAAGTTCTGTGAGGAAAACATATTTTGAGGAGACCAATATTAACGCCCATGCAGGCTTGCTTCATTTTGTCTCTGTGTTTTTAAGGAAAATACCATCATGAAGCTAATCCCAGGGAATTTACCTATATTTCTATTCATATGCACATGTTATTCTCTAATTTTTTTTTTTTAGTATTTTGATATAGTTTCAGACTTACAGAAAAGTTGCAAGAATAAGCCAAAGGTTTCTCAGATTCTCCAAATGTGGACATTCTGTTACACTGCTTTATCATTCTCTTGTATTCCTGTGTGTTACTACTTTTTCCTGAACTGCTTAATAGTAAGTTGCAGGCTTGAGGCCCTTTTACCTCTAAATACTTCACTGTGTATTTCCCAAAAAACAAGGATATTCATAACAGCAGTAATCCCCGCACTTTGGGAGGCCGAGGCGGGCGGATCACAAGATCAGGAGATCGAGACCATCCTGGCTAACACGGTGAAACCCTATCTCTACTAAAAATACAAAAAATTAGCCGGGCTTAGTGGTGGGCGCCTGTAGTCCCAGCTGCTTGGGAGGCTGAGGCAGGAGAATGGCGTGAACCTGGGAGGCGGATCTTGCAGTGAGCAGAGATCGCACCACTGCACTCCAGCCTGGAGGACAGAGTGAGACTCTGTCTCAAAAAAAAAAAAAAAAAAAAAAATCATGGCCGGGCGCAGTGGCTCATGCCTATAATCCCAGCAATTTGGGAGGCTGAGGTGGGAGGATCACTTGAGTCCAGGAGTTTGAGACCAGCCTGGCCAACATGATGAAATACTGTCTCTACTAAAAATACAAAAATTAGCTGGGTATAGTGGCGTGTGCTCGTAGTCCGAGCTACTTGGGAGGCTAAGGCATGAGAATCTCTTGAACTCAGGAGGTGGAGGTTGCAGTGAGCCGAGATCACACCACTGCACTCTAGCCTAGGCAGCAGAGTGAGACTGTCTCAAAAAAAAAAAAAAAAAAAAATCATGAAATTAATGTTGATATAACACTATTTAGTGTACAGGTCGTATTTAGATTTTGTCAATTGCTTCGATAATGTCCTTTATAGCAAAAGAAAATCCTAGATCATCTGTTTTGCATTAAGTTTTTCTGTCTCTGTAGTGTCCTTTAATCTGAAAGTTACCACGTCTTTCTTTTGTATTTCACGACATAGACATATTTGAAGACTACTGACTTTTTAAGATAATGCCCTCAATTGGGTTTCCTGTGGTTTCATGATTAGATTCAGGTTATGCACTTCTGGCGGGAGTAGCACAAGGTTGAAGCAGTTGTAGTCTTCTTTTCTCTCTCTCTCTCTCTTTTTTTTTTTTTTTTTTTAAAGAGACAAGGTCTCCCTTCGTTGGAGTGCAGTGGTGCCATGGCAGCTCACTACAGCTTGGACCTACTCCACTCAGTGATCCTTCTGCTTTAGCCTCCTGAGTAGCTGGACTATAGGTGTGTGCCATTGCACCTGGCCAATTTTTAAATATTTTATAGGGGCTGGATCTCACACTGTGTTGCCCAGGCTGGTCTCAGACTCCTACTCTCGCCATCCTCCTGCGTTGGCCGACCACAGTGCTGAGTTTACAGGCGTGAGCCACTGTGCCCGAATAATGCTGCAGCCTTCTTAATGTATCCCATCAGGAGGCATATGCTGTGATTATCCCATTCTCTGGCCCTGCTAACTTTGATCACTTGAATTAAGGTGGTGTCTATCTCATGGAAAAGTTACCATTTTTCCCTTTGTAGTTAATCTGTGTCTTAAAGGAAGAGAATTTGAGACTATGTAAATATAGTTACTGCTCATACAATTAACTGACTAGTTTCAGAATTCATTGATGTTTCTTACCTGAGTCAATTATTATGATAGTAGGCAGATGATGATTTTCATGGTTCCTTCTATATTTATTAGTTGGAACTGTACTGAAAGGAAGAAACCTTCCTTTCTCTATTATTTACTTTTTGATTTACATCACTGGACTCATGAATTCTTGCTTTATTCAATAGATTATAGTCCATTACTCCCATTATGCATTTTGTTGCTCAAATTATCCTAGATTTGGCCAGTGGGAGTCCCTTCAGTCTGGCTTTTGTGTCCTTTTGACAAGTGCTCATCATTCTTTGAGGACTTTTCTTCCAGGCACAAAATCTTCAAGGACTCAGCTTATACTTTCCTTGTCCCAGCCCTGGAATCAGCCATTTCTCCAAAGAGTCCTGGTTTCCTTTAGTGGAGAGTGGTATAAAAACCGAGATGTAGGCACTATGTATTCTCGTTGCTACTGAGGTGTCACCCATTCTAGACCTTCTCAGGGGATAGATGCTCTCATTGTAAACATAAATGTAGTCACATTACACAAAATTTTCTGTGGCTTGCTTTTTAAATTTGTACTCCTTCCATTAGGCTTTGAAACTGTCTGTTTCCCTTTAACTTGGCCAACATTTAAGAGAATAAATCTTGTTAATTTTGCCAATCTAATGGGCAAGGAAGACATTATTGTTTTAATTGCATTTCCCAAATTACCAAAAATATTGGATACCTTTTCTTGTTAATGTATATTTTAACTTCTAATGAATTACCTGTTTATATCCTTTGTTCATTTTTTCTTGTTGGGCTGTTTTTCCTTATCTTACTAGATTGTGGAAGTTACGGTAACTTTGAATTTTATTCTTGGCAGCTTTAGAATGTTTTTTTAAGTGTGATGCTTTTTTAATTTTTTTTTAAAGTCCTAAATGACAAGGAACCCAAGCTTTTCTGAGTACCCCCTGCATGCCAGGCCTCCCTGGACATCCTGTGGGAGGTTCTGTCCAAAGGTGAGCTGTGGTGTTGAGGAGTGGTTAGAGCATCCCCCGAGGGTAGTTAAAAGAGGCTCAACTGGGACTAAAACCCAGTTATATCACCTAACTTCCTTCACAGGATTGAAAAATGAAAGCTTTTCAATGAGGGATAAAAATTGATTACCTGGATTTGCCAGTATCAACAATTTCTGTTTTCAGTATTTTGGTTTATAAATCAGGAATTTCTTTTACACAGTCCTTTTTGCTGAGCATACACATCTTTCGAAACCATTTATTTTATCCCTAGAACTATTGTGGACTCTGGTGCTGCACTTTCTGTGAGCATCCAGCTAGCTGTGTGACTTTGGGCAAGTGGCTTAATCTTTCTGTGCCTCAGTTATTTCATCCACAAAACTGGGCTGCTGGTAGTAGCAGCCCCAGAGGCTTGTTGGGGGATTAAATGAATTAACATTTAATCCTGGTGCCTAGTAAGTGTGCAGAACGGAAGCATTACAATGGATTCGTATACAGAGTGTGGGTGGTTGGCAGAGCTTGGAATTAGATCAGCCTTTCCTCTGTGGATTTAATCTCTTAGTTGTCTCTTTCTGTTTTTTTTGAGATGGAGTCTCACTCTGTCGCCTAGGCTAGAGTGCAGTGGCTCTAGCCTGCAACCTCGGCTCACTGCAACCTCCGCCCCCTGGGTTCAAGCAGTACTCCTGCCTCACCCTCCCTAGTAGCTGAGATTACAGGCATATACCACCATGCCTGGCTAATTTTGTATTTTTAGTAGAGACGGGGTTTCACCATGTTGGCCAGGCTGTTCTTGAACTCCTCACCTCAGGTGATCCACCCACCTCTGCCCCCCAAAGTGCTGGGATTACAGGCATGAGCCACTGCACCCGGCCTTAGCTGTCCCTTTCACCATAGCCTGTCTGGGATTGGAAAGCCAGGGTCCTGGGTGCAGTGTGCATGTCTCTTTCTGGTCTTTGCACATACCTTTGTCATGCCCTATCAGGCTGTCAGGCCCAGGCCTGCCAGCCAGCCAGCCCAGCTGGCCTCTGGTGTTTGCCCACAGCCCTAACCTGGAGCATGGGTGAGACTGCTGGCCTTTTAATATGAAACTTGTTCAGTGAGGCTCACCTGGCGAGGGACTTAGGCACAGTAAGCAGATGTATATGGTGGGGGCAGTGGGGGGATCATGCTCTGGTGAGGTCTATTTTCTGGAATAGGGTCAGGAAGACAGGGATGTCCTCTGATGTCCAGGAAGAAGGGTGGGGACCTCTGAAAGAGGAAAGTGTTTACCCGCTGCCAGCTCCGGTCCTGGGATCCTCCTAGAGCGCTTTCCCTGAGACACCTGGTAGTTTTCCTGACCTCCGGTTGCTGCAGCGCCCCTCTTTTTGCACCTCACTAGGTGGTATTCTGATGTCTCCTGAAAACCCCCTGCCCCTTTCCTGCCCCTCCCATAGCCCTCACGCAGGTGGTGTCAGCTGCTGTTATGGAAGCTGTCTATTATTAATTCACCCTAGCATATTGAACGCCCTTCTTTCCCTCTCTCATGTTGCTTGCATCTCTAAAGGGTGTATTCTCAAACCAATTAATTTGAATTTTCAAGAAGGATGACCTAAGTGTATAAACTCTGGAAATGTGAAGGAAGTATTTAGGCAGATGGTTGTTTCTGGGAAACAGGGCTCTACTAGGAAACAAGGATGCCCAGTTCAAGCTTCTCCCTGGATTATGGGGTGTGTCAGTTGGGATGCTTTTGGTTGCCAACAGTGACATTTATTATCTCAGAGAACTGGAGTCTCCATCAGCATGTCAGCAGTTTCATCAAGGACCTCGATTCTGCTCCTCTGTCCAGCCATCACTGCCGGTTTCATCCTAGGGGGTTAGTCTCCTCATGATTCTGAGATGGTCGTTGGGGGCAGTGGGACTGCGTGCTTCCTTGTTCCTGTCCAGCAGGAGCAGGGAAGGAGACAAAGCAGCTGATTCCCCAGCCACAGTGTCTACCAGTCCTTCCCTCTGGCCTGTGGAGCAAAGGGTCACGTGGCCTTCCCTGGACCAGCAACATGAGGCTGTGAGAGTGCTGTGTGCTGGTTGGCTTAGGCTGGTGGTCCTCCAGGTGTGGTCCTCAGACCAGTAGCATCAGCATTACCTGAGAACTTGTTAGAACTGGAGATTAGTGGATCCTACCCCACCCACTGAATCAGAAACTCTGGGATGGGGCCCAGAAAGCTGTGCTTTAAGAAGACTTCCAGGTGATTCTGATGCAAGGTCACATTGGAGAACAGCTCTTTTAGTTTAATCAAGACTCCCCTACTCCCCAGCTGGAGACAGGGCTGACTTTTCCTGAGGACCGGGGAGGAGGTTAGGTCCTAGAATAGCAAGAAGGAAGAGAGGATGGTGGGTGGCCAGCCCACAGTGTGAACTAGCCAGTGTTTACGGCCCTGGGGGCCGCTTTGCTCTCCGGAGTCCTTCCCCTGCCCCCCATTCGCCAGCTTGTCCACCCATATAAGTTTCTCAGCCCCCTTGCCTCAAGCTTCTCCAGCTCCTCCAAGCATGGCCTGTACTCTCCCTGTACAGCTCGGTGCTAAAGGAAGCAACCTCAGTAACACTCCAGCTCCAGGTCCCTCTCTGGCCTAGCAGGGATGGAGTCTACCTGGCTGGTGCTGAAGAGTCCCAAAGAGCTGTTATGACTCACCTTCTGAAGCCATTCCTGAAGTGTGTTCATTTGTGTAGGGGTTGCCTACGCTGCTACTCCTTGCTCAGCTAGGAAAAAAGAGCAGTGCAGTTAGTAGGTGCTTGAGAAATATTTAGGGAATTGGCCTGGAGACAGCCCAAGTGACTACTTTCAGTGGTGATTTTTACCTGTGTTATGTCCCCTTTTTTGCAAGTACAACTCCAACTTGATGTTTGGGTGAAATAAATAGCCACCTCCACGGTGTAATTTGTGAGATCACAATGACCCACTTTTCCGAATTTTTCCTGAAACTAAAGAGTTGAGATATTTCTGGGTTTTCAGCTTTAAAGATTCATCTTAATACATAAAAATAACGTTTAGGAGTAGTCTTGCACTGAGCTCTAACCACATTAGCACTAATTATTGCGGAAGGAAGGGCACCTGAGGAGGAAACATGCTAGAGAAGGGTCCACACAGCATGTTTCAAAATGCAGTGGTTCATGAAATCAATTTGAGGTTGTAACTGGCATTAAAAAGCTTTTTGAAATAGCAAATATCCAAGTACGTTTCCTATGGGAAGGATAAGCATTTTTTGGTAAAACATCTAGTTATTCACATGTAGTGTATTTGGGGTGTTGTTATGGTGTGACTGTTTCTTAGAGTGGATTTTGGTAAAGATGTGTCAAACCCTAGGGCTGAGTGCAGGGGGTCCTAACCTGTAGGAAGGTGGGGCCTACGCTGGATGTGTATACACTTGGGGTCTTTTCCTGGGCGTGCGACCTGTGACTTTTGTCAGAACCTGGTGGTCTGTGACTCGCCATAGATCAAGAACCAATGACCTAAAACCAGAGGAGACTTTCAGTGGTGAGGGCCAGTGGGAGTGGAGCTGGGGGCGTGAGGAGCAGGCACAAAGTCCTGAGCCTGGTCCTGCTCTGGCGTATTGTTCGTGGTAGTAAGCCATCTGAGCCAAATCCTCCTGATGAGGAGTCCTCTGCACAGCCACACTGACAGACAGGAGAGACAGTGGCAGGCAGTGTGTTGATCACCTGAGGTCGGGGGTTCAAGACCATCCTGGCCAACGTAGTGAAAACCCGTCTCTACTAAAAATACAAAAATTAGCTGGGTGTGGTGGTGCACACCTGTAATCCCAGCTACTTGGGAGGCTGAGGCAGGAGAATCGCTTGAACCCAGGAGGTGGAGGTTGCAGTGAGCCGAGATCACATCACTGCACTCCAGCCTGGGTGACAGGGCAAAACTCCCTCTCAAAAAAAAATTTAACTCTGGATGCCAGATGGGTCCTTTACCTAACAGGTGGATCAGCATATTTCTACATAAGAGAGAGAGAGAGAGTCTCCTTGTTTGGGGCTGGCCCCAGTGAAAGCATTGCTGCTTTTGACTCCCCGCTGGAATCCTCTGTGCCTTAACACTGTCAGGACAGTTCCCAAGGCTGGCTTAGAGTCAGCTATGATCCCCATTATTTAATGCAGGCGCTAGTCTGGTTTGTATCACAAAGCTTATGTAGTAGTGGCTTTGGCATGTCTGTGTTTGTTTTTTGGGGGTAGGGGCAAGTTGGATTGTAGTGCTGGATGTGAACCCAAGTCAGCTTTCTCATCTGTAAAATGGGGAAGGTGCTAGGCTCACAGGAGGGTGGTGGGGATTGATAATATACATAGGAGAGGGCTGTGAACTGCAGTGCACTGGACCGGTGCAAACATGAATGTTTCGACCCCTGCTCCACTTGACAGTCTTGGTAACTGTTTTCCCCACAGTACTCTTATTTTTCACATGTGCTCAAAGGGCTGGAGTACACCCTATTGTTGACTCCTGCTCAGGGTACCTTCCAGGGGAAATATCACAGAAGAGGGAGGTGCTGAGAGGCAGGGACATCCAGCGAAGTTGAGAGGAGAAGGATGTGGGCGGGGGGTGGGAGGAGGAAGTGGAGGGCTTGCACTCTGTAAACTCTTAGTCAGCTGGTCACTGACCCAACTGAGCCTTTTACTGACACTGTTTTTTTAAAGAATGGAAGGACTAAGGATTGTATGAGCTGAAATGTTGAGTATTTTCACATTTCTTATTCATTCTTCGTGCTCTGTGTATACAAATGTTAAATGATCACATTACATAATTGGGTGATACTCAAATGGCAATACAGTGGTATGTTTGACAGAACCCAATGTTTTAAAATAGGGCTAGGTGCCAAGAAATGTCAGGATAGGCTGAGTAAGGTGACTCAGGCCAGTGATCCCAGCACTTTGGGAGGCCAAGGCAGGAGGATCTCTTGAGCCCAGGAGTTCAGACCGGCCTGAGCAACAAAGCAAGACCTTGTCTCTACTAAAAATTAAAAAATTAGCCAGGTATAGTAGTGCACACCTATATTCCCAGCTTCTTGGGAGGCTGAGGCGGGAGGATCACTTGAATCCAGGAGGTCGAGGCTGCAGTGAGCTATGATCGCACCAGTGCACTCCAACCTGGGTGACAGAGTGAGACCCTGTCTCTACAAAAAAAGAAAAAAAAAAGATACCCCAGAATCTTCCAAATATTGTCATTCCTATGGTTTGGAAGAGGGGAGTGAGTAAATGGATTGGCCTTAGGGACGACACCTTGCTGGTAGACTGTGCCCACCTCAGGTAGAAGGGAAGCGCTAGCAGTCTCATTTGTGGTTTGTCCCCAACTTGCCAGTGACTTGGTGAAGTCATGCCTGAATCTCACCCTCCTCCTTTCTTGTTCATCTAGTGAAGGTGATTTCCTTTGTTCCTCCCCCGTCGAATCCTCCCTGACAGTGGAATGGAGTGGTGATAGTGCCCAGGGGCTACATGGGTGAAGTGTGGTATGTTCTTGATTTAGTTGGCATTGGACTAAGACACACACACACATACAAGTGTCTATTTAGGGAAGTTGTTCTTTGGTCTGTTGCCTTGGAAATACTGCCTTTTTATTCTTTCACTTTCTCTCCCCTCTGCAGTGATTCAGCAGTAGCTTTCTAGAGAAGAAGAAACATAGTGTCAGAGACCCTGGAGTACCAAGGATATGTCAGTGGAGAGGGAAGCTGCCTGTGTGTCACACAGACCACATTCTTCCTGGTCCAGCTAGAGCGTCCCGTGCCTTTCCTTGGCTTTTCCAGCCTCTCTCCATCACTCCTTCTGAGGCCCTTTGCAGACAGTCCCCCAGTACAACTACAGCATTTTTGTAAGTCCAGCCCTTGTCATTTTCCCATTGACTGATGGAGACCACTTGACTCCAGCATACTTTATGCACACTTATCTTCTGGTTCAGGTCTGGACTGTCTTTCTCTTTCTGGCAGCTTTCTTTCCTGTTAGCCATTCCTGACTTGTTTCAAAAAGGATACATGGACTTGAAATTACCAGTTAAAGCAGAAAATGATTAAAAAGAAAAAAAGGGCTTCAAATGTCAAATGGATACAACTATATAAGTTGTAGAAGGTGCTCTGAACACGTTACAGGGAGGTTGCCATTGCTAAAAGCTTTTACATTTTTTATTTATTTATTTTTAGAGACAGAGTCTTGCTGTGTTGCCCAGGCTGGAGTGCAGTGGTGTGATCATAGCTCACTGTAGCCTTGACCTCCTGGGCTCAAGCATCCTCCTGCCTCAGCCTCCCAAGTAGCAATGACTGCATGCGTGTGCCACCACACTTGGCTAATTTTTAATTTTAATTTTTTCTAGAGACTGGGTCTTGTTGTGTTGCTCAGGCTGGTCTTGAACTCCGGGCATCAAGCAATCCTCCTGCCTCAGCCTCCCAAATTGCTGGGATTACAGGGCATGAGCCACTGTACCCAGCTACTTTTACGTTTTTCATTCTCACCCCTTTCTTCTGGAAACACTGCAGAGACCATGAGAACAGGAGCTTGTCTTACTTGATAGTGCAAACAGTCTTACAAATAGTGTTCAACCATCGATTGCCCAAAACACGTGTTTTGTGACTATTATTGTAGGTGCCTTTGAACTGTATGGTGTGTTAAATAACTCCATTGGAGGGAGGAAGATCTTTGTGTTTTGAGTTGATTATTTAATTATTCTTTAATTAGTCTAATGTCTTTACCAAGCTAGATATTAATATCTTTTGTCAAAGAGAGAAGAAAGCCAGTGGATGGGTTGTGAAGTGGTGAGGGGCCACTTCACAAATGGTGAGTGGGTGGGTTTTTATTTCCAGCAGTGTCACTGGAAACAACTTTGTACCAACTTGCATGGTAAGGAGCATTCAGGTTTTAAAGTTAATCTCATTCAGTTTCTCCTGTGGGACAACATTGGCCTTTCTCATTGGGGATTTGACTGTTGGGCCTTGTCCCTGGGTATGTCCCAGCCCAGACACTCAGGGCACTGGCCACCCTGCCTCAGCCCCTCTGGAGCAAAGAGAGTTTTAAGCAGTAGTGGATGTAACTCATTTAAAATAGGATTAGATCTAGCTGGGTTAGCTTAGTGGCATGCACCTGGTGAGGCTGTATTCTCTAGCTACTTGGGAGACCGAGGCAGGAGGATTGCATGAGCCCAGGAGTTTGATACCAGCCTGGTCGGTATAGTGAGACCAGCCTGTCTCAAACAAACAAACAAAAACAGGATTACATGAGCTATGACTAAATTCCAGGGCAGTAACTGCTGTGTCATTCTTTGGGAACTGGTCATCCCAGGATTTGATCAGTGTTTCATATCATAGGTTGGCTGTTTTGTAAACTATTAGGATTGTACCAGTGTTTGTCATGGGAACTAGCAGCCTGTGACGTAGACTGTGAACCTAACTTAATTGACTACTGTAATGAATACAAACAGTTGCTATTTTTACCTCAGAACGTAGATTTGTCTGCAAATTAAACATTTGAGACAATAAACAGGAGTTTGGTTTATTAAAGCTGTTTGAGCTTGCTACTTAGGCAGGCCTAGAAATAGGATTGGCTAGCTTTTTCTGATTATGTAGATGTTGACTATATTAGGGAGAAACTCTTATTTTTGTTTTATTTTATTTTAGAGACGGGGTCTCGCTCTGTTGCCCAGGCTATAGTGTAGTAGACAGCCATAGCTCGCTGCAGCCTCAAACTCTAGGGCTCAAGCAGTTCTCCCACCTCAGCCTCCCAATTAGCAAGGACTACAGGCATATGCCACTGTGCCCAGCTAATTAAACAAAAATTTTTTTTTTTTTTTTTTTTTGTTTAAATGAGGTCTTGTTATGTTGCCCAGGCTGGTCTGGAACTCCTGGCCTCAAATGATCCTCCTGCCTTAACCTCCGAAAGTGCTTGGATTGCAAGCATGAGCCATCACACCCTGCCTAACTTAACGTTTAAACAAGGCTTGAGCCTGGGCAAAATAGTGAAACTTCATCTTTACTAAAAATTAAAAAATTAGCTGGGCATGGTGGTGCACACACATCTGTAGTCCCAGCTGCTCAGGAGGCTGAGGCAGGAGGATAGCTTCAGCCCAGGAGTTCAAAGTTGCAGTGAGCTATGATTGTACCGCTGCACTCCAGTCTTGGTGACAGGGGCTTGCCTCTGCCTCAGAAAAAAAAAATCATCAAATAGCCCTTTCTCACCTTCTCTACCCTGGGAGTGGCTACGGATAGGCAGCAACTGAACACAACACGTTTCCTGGTACCCAAGATGAATCATTGCTGCCTGTGATGCCTGAGCCTAGTGATTATCTTCCAGATTGTTTTGCTAGCCAGTTCTTTCTCCATAAAAACATTCAGATTTTTTTTCCTCTTTGAGAGTGGAGTATTTTACTTGAGGGAGCTGACCACCGAACTTCATAGAAATGCCTTCCTGCCCCTTCATGGCTGTGCTGTTCTGTGTGTTTTTTGGGGCTTGCTTTCCCATTCTGCTGGTATCCTGGGTGAGACTCTGGCCCAATGAATGGGATGCTGCACATTTTTTTTCCAGGAGAAACAAAAGGTGTTGGGACCCCTAAGTATGCAGCATGTATGCAGAGAGTGAGGCATGGCCAGGGGGGATGTGGCTCTGATTTCCACATTGCATCTCCAGACCTTAAGCGGGTAGGCAGCATCGGCGGATCATGGCAGGGAGAGAAGTACAGCGGAGGCGAAGTTCTCAAAGCATGGCTGACTGTGGAAGGTGGCTCTCAGCACACTCTTTGTGGCCCGCTAACACCCGTCAGGATGGTAGCCACCACACGCCCAAAGGCACCCGAAGTGCTTGATTTTGACTGACTTTTACCACATTTGCCACCAGTGTGATTGGAGCATTCATGGAGCACAGAATATGACACCAAGTCAGGATTGCATAGTGCTCAGGCAGAGCTTTGTCCTTCGGAAATGCCGCTCACTCATGAGACAAGATGGATAGTTCAGGTCTGGACTGGCCCAGGAGTGGGAGTGACACTGAGTAGACCTCGGCCAGGGGCTTGCCCCTAAACCAGTGGTCCCTGCACCTGGGAAAATCAGCACTCTGATTGCCTCACCTGGTTTCCCGCCCACTCCTCCCTACCCTGGTTGAGTGGCCTAAGGGAGGGTAGAGTTCAGGGAGCTATTAGGAGGAAGGGGGTCGCTGCTGAGTAGCCAAAAGGAAAAACAACATGAAAGTAAGAAAGTCTACCAGGACACCCTGGAGGGCTGGCGTGCAGAGTGCTGAGGGGGACACCTGTGTCCGTGTTTGGGAGGCCCTCTTACCCTCTCCTCCTTGGTGTGCAACTGGTTAATAGTAATTCCTTGAGGGTCTGGAGAAGTTGCTCAAGTGTTAGATTCTACTTTACTGCATGCTACAGGGGCATTGTGTCCCACAATGGCATTCACAGTGTGAAGATTGCCAGAGTTCTCTATGGACACACCCTGCGAACATCATGGATCTGGGCTGTCATAAGACTTAAGCATCCTTCAGGGCAGGGACAATAGCTTGGTTTTCTTTGTAGGTCCAGAGTGCCCCACTGTGCCTGGCACAAAATAGGCATATAATCAATGTTTGTTGAGTGAACGAATGAATAAAGCTAGTCTGTCCTTGTCAAAGTAGCAAGAAAAGCCTCAGCCTCTCTTGGGAAGACAGCCTGCTTCCCTGAGGTCAAGTTGAGGTTCAGTCTAACTGAGGAGAAGGAGGGGAGACCAGAATCCACTGCACAGCTGCTGCCCCAGTAAGTTCTCAGGGAGAAACCAGAACTGTCAGTTTGCTGAGTCAAAGGCAGAAGCCTGTTCTCAGCAGTGACCTTTTTTATCCTTGGCACACAAGCCCTTTTGTCCAGGTGGCTGGAACCTAGGTCTGCTTCCACTTCTGGGTGAGAAGGTGCCACACCTTTGGGTTTGGTCATCGTGTGTGTGTGTGTGTGTGTGTGTGTGTGTGTATGTTTAAAATTAAAAGTAAAAATTTTCCCCATATACATGTACACATATATGCAAGTGTGGTATTATAGGTGCAAGGGTGCAGAGAAGCCTAGTAGGGTAGGGGCACCCAGGAAAGGTGGCCTCTTCCTCTTGTGGGTTTTGGGGAGCATCACAGGGCCTCAGGGAAGGGTGAGTTATGTGTCATGGAAGGGCAGTGGCTCAACCTGGGGGTCTTCAGAGATAAATGAGGAGGGACTGGGGCAATGCATCAGGAAGGAGGCTCAGGAGAGGCAGGGCCAGATCACCCGGGGGGCTCGAGCCCCTTCAGGCCTTTTGTAAAGTTTGGGAATTCATTCATCCCACACTGGAGGGTGTCAGACTTTTTTAAGACTCTTTCATTCTTTTTGTTTGTGTCATTACTTTAAGTGACAGAAGCAGTTCCATAGTCATTTTCATGGTTTGGGGAGACCCTTTCTTGGATCATAGTAATTCTTACAATAATGCCTGTGCTCTAACCACCAGTTTTAGGGGATTGTGGGCCGCGACTTGGCCTCCTTGTCTCCGCTCTGTGTTGGCTTTACAGTTGTGGATGCTGCGGCTCACCCAGCGCTGTGTGGCAGTGGGTCCTGCTGCAGGATGTCCACAATGCAGACCACAGGGCAGGGTGTCCCTGGCACCCATGGGGTCAGGGGTGAAGCTGTTATCTGTGAAATGACAGAAATGAAACCCAGCATTGGAGAAGAATCGTCTGCGCCCCCTCTAATCCACCTGTGAAACACTGTGCTGAAACACCATGAGGAAGAGGAAGCATTGGGGTGTAAAGAAACCCAGAAATGCTGGTTTCTAGAAATGGTATTAATTGTCTCAGGGGCTCTCCCTACAGTGTGAAATAGCTGGCTGGGCAGCTGCAGCCGGTTCCATCTTCTCCATAGCCACGCCCTTCCCGTGACCTCATGGGGTATCTGCACAGTGGGTGCAGTGCAAAAAGACACAGTCAAGCCTGTGAGCCAGTAGCTGGCGAGGGGGTGGTTTGGTAGTGAGAGATGATTACAGGGACGGGGGTTGGCTCATGGTTCTGCCACACCACCCTCCATCTCTAACTGGGACTCTGACTTGGAATATAGACTTCACTATGCCACATGATGTAGTGACATGGCAGAGGAGGCAAACAGAGTGGAAGGAGACAAGTCAGAGAAGAAGGAAGTGAAGGGCGGAGAGCAAGGGATGCTCATTGCCAAGGCCGTGGCAGTCACTGCCAGCAACAGGTGTGGGCCTAGCTTTGATTCTGTCACCTGCAGGGGTGCCTGCCCCAGAGCAGGGCTCCTTGAAATCTTCCATCCCCTTATTGGCTGTGCACTAATGTCTCTTGGAGAGACTTCTCAAAAACCTCCCTGTACTTAACTTGGTTTGACAAATTTGATAACATTTTATGTTTTAATAGGCAAACATTTTCATGGCTTAAAAATTGTAAAATATAGCAGGATATGTGGTAAAGCCTGTTTCCTACCCTATCCTCTAGCCATCCATGTCCCCTCCCTTAAGACACCAATGCCATGTGCTTGTTGGGTTTTTTTCTGAAGTTATGCTGTGTATATGCCAGCAGGCCTGCATGTGCAGACATGAGACAGTTTTCCACATCCCTGGTGCCATGCTGCGTGCTCGCTGTGTGCCTCTTCTGACGGTTTCACTGGCCCACAAGGAGTTTTGTGTTCCATTGTCCAGCTGCATGCTGGCCTGCTGCCAGGCTGTGCTGCAGATTCTTCAACCAGTGCTCTCTGGATGCCTGTTAGCTTCTTTCCAGCCTGTGCTTCACACTAATACGTTAGTTTTGTGAAGGAAGCTGCACCCCCCTTGCTCTGAGGTCTGGGCCTAGGCTCTGGCTGGATTGAGCATCATTCTAGCTGGAAAAAGAGGGTGGGGTTAGACGACGTGTTTAAGCTTCTGCCCGTTTATTTCAATTATGACCTGGCCTGTAGGGTTTTCTTTGGGAAATGGGCAGTTAATGGTTAGATACTATTTGTAAGGCACATGTCTCTAAAATATTACCTTCTAGTGGCCAGGCGTGGTGGCTCACGCCTATGATCCCAGCACTTTGGAAGGCCAAGGTGGGCGGATCATGAGGTCAGGACATCGAGACCATCCTGGCTAACACAGTGAAACCCCATCTCTACTAAAAATACAAAAAATTAGCTGGGCGTGGTGGCAGGCGCCTGTAGTCCTAGCTACTCAGGAGTCTGAGATAGGAGAATCGCTTGAACCCGGGAGGCAGAGGTTGCAGTGAGCCGAGATCGTGCCACTGCACTTTAGCCTGGGCAACAGATGGAGACTCTGTCTCAAAAATAAATAAATAAATAGATAAAAATAAAATAAAATATTACCTTCTAGTTACACACAGACCTTTTATTTTTTTAATTATTATTGTTTTTTTTTTGAGACAGGGTGTCACTCTGTCAACCAGACTGGAGTGTAGTGGCAGGATCATGGCTCACTGCAGCCTCTGCCTTCCAGGCTCAAGTGATCTTCCCACTTTAGCCTCCTGAGTAGCTGGGACTACAGGTGTATGCCACCATGCCTGGCTAATTTTTAATTTTTTTTTGTGGGTTTGGCTATGTTGCCTAGGCTGGTATTGAACTCCTGGGCTCAAGCAATCCACCTGCCTCAGCTTTTCAAAGTGCTGGGATTACTGGTGTGATCCACCATGTCCAGCCAACACACAGACATTTTATTTTTTATTTATTTTTAATTTTTAATTTTTTAAAATTTTTATTCAAGACAGAATCGTGCTCTGTTGCAATCTTGGCTCACTGCAACCTCCACCTCCCGGGTTCAAGCCATTCTCCTGCCTCAGCCTCCCAAGTGGCTGGGATTACAGGTGTGTGCCATCACATCCGGCTAATTTTTGTATTTTTAGTAGAAACGGGGTTTCACCATGTCGGCCAGGCTGGTCTTGAACTCCTGACCTCAGATGATCTGCCCGCCTCGGCCTCCGAAAGTGCTGGGATTACAGACGTGAGCCACCGCGCCCAGCCCACAGACATTTTAAACTAACCTGTAGCATCCTGAGTGAGGCTTGTCAAAGCTGCTTTTGACCCCAGTTTCAGGTACATTGGCTCTGTTGGGCTTTCCTCTGCCTGGCCTATCAAGCGGCCAACTCAAGCTGCAGGTGCAAGGGCAGATGGTTCTGCAGGGACCTTAATGACAGCCAGGCCCAGGAACACACAGTGCTTGTGTGGAAGTCTACATTTCAGCTGTGATGGTGTCTCGCTGAGGCTGGTTCTGGCCATGCCCTCCCAGCATTTCAGCTGTTCCAACCAAGGTGCTCTACATCTCAGAGGGAAGGCAACGGCCTGGGCAGCACGTTGCACGTACATTTTGGAGTCATGTTGGTTGGTGGTCTTCAGTTTCTGAATCTGTGATATGGCATGGTCATTCATCACAGGCGAGGTGATGCAAAGTTACCAACTGGGAGCACACCTGCCCCTTCTCATTCACTCACGCAGCAGGTAGTTTTCAGGCACAAAGGAATTGACTTGTGGAGCTGGCCCTGGGGTCTGTCTGTAGGAGAGCAGGAAGTAGTAGCCACCTGCGGAGGGCTCACAGGCATGTGCCTGCGAGACTGCTTACAAGCCCCTGTGCGGGATTTAGGGCAGACCAGAGCCATGAGCGTCCATGGTCAAGTGAAGGTCTGGTAGGTGTGAGCTGTTAGCCCTAGGGTCTGCTGCATGCGGTGCCAGGGGCTGAGGAATGCTGAGGCAGCTTTTCCTCCAGTCTCTGCTCGCTCCGTGCACAGCCCTTGTCTCCTGCCTGATAGTGGTCAGTAGTCAGTTGGCTTAGGGTACACGGTCTCCACCCAGTGAACCTGGCGCTGGCAGAAGCTTGTAGAAGAATGGGTGCAAAAAAGATATCTCAGAGGGCCTGCAGATGGCTGTTTTTAGGAAGTGAATAGGCTTCTTCTTTTTCTTCATTTTTTCTTTAAGATACTCTTGAGGTTTTGAGGCTCCACCCTGAGCTCTTTGTGGCTGAGGGCTGCTGTGGCTTGATGAAGGGGACAGTCTTCAAATCTTGCACAGGCTGGGGAAGGTTGGGACAGCACAGCCCTGAGTCTCGAACAAAATGGGGCAGAGGGGAGGGCAGGAGAGCCGTCAGATTCATGGGGCCACATCCTCGCAGCAACCCAGGGGAAGCTGAGGCCCCAGGGTCTGCATGATGGAGGCCGAGCACGACGGAGGAAGTGGAATTATTGCACATGGTGGGTTTCGACACTTGGGACTCGCTCCTCAAAGAGGAAAATCGAGAGTGGGGGTGCACAGAGCAAGGGCTGAAGAAACAAAAAGCAGGGGGTTTAGGGGAGAGATAAACCTCTTTGCATGAGTCAAGCTGAAAAGCAGTTTGGAAGGTCAAGTGCTAGCCAGTGTCTTTTTTTGCCTGCCCAGCCTCTTCTTCTGCCATGTCTGCCCTGACAGGGGCAGAGTTCTCAGTTCCCATGTCAGAACTCGGCACCAGCTTCTCTGTTGACAGTTGCAAGGCCTGTGGCTGAGAGAAGTACTTGTGCTGTGTTTCTGCAAGGTAAGATGGCCCTGATCACAGCTCATGATGCCTGAGATCAGGAGGGTCTGCTCCATGAGATATCAGCAGAGGCCATCCTGTGAAATATTTTAACTAATTGAACTGAATGTTGAAGACAAGGCCTGTGGCAGTGTTGTATTTATATGTGACAAGCCGAGAGTCCTTGGACAACCTTGGAAACTCCTTTTTAGGACAGAATCAACTGAGACGATACACACGAAGGAGCTTTTGTGAGCAGAGTACAGAGCTCGTTATTGCAGTACAAGGTTGTAGGTTTTCACACAGCTTTTGAGGATGGGTTGGTGGCCCAGGGAGGATGTCAGGAACTGTCCTTCACTAATGGGGATTCTCGAGTTCCTACCACGTGCCAGATAGCGTGCTGATTGCTTTGTATCCACTTCCCTTTTAATCCCTTGTATTAGCTTCCTGTGGTTGCTGTAACAAACTCGGTGGCTTAAAGCGAAAGGAACTTATTCTCTCACTGTTCTGGCCTCCAGAATCACTGGGCTGAATCAAGCTGTGGGCAAGGCCATGTTCCCTCCAGTAGCTTAGGGCGGAATCCATTCTGTGGCTGCTGGCTTGCCTCGGCTGCCGGCCCCTTCCTCATCTTCACACCAGCAGGGTAACATCTTCTCTCCGTGACTCCGCTTCTCTCTGCTTCTGTCACACGGCCCTCTCTTCTCTCCGAAATCTCCTGCCTTCATATAAGGACATTTGTGATGGCATTTGGGGCCTACCAGTGTAATCTAGGATAATCTCATCTCAAGATTCGAAACTTAATTGAGTCTGCAAATCCTTTGCTGTATAAGGTAACATTAATAGGTTCCAAGGATTTGAACGTGAACCTCTTTTGCAGGGGGCATTATTTGACCTGCCATACCTCACAGCAGCCTGATGAGGACCATACTGTCCCACATACAGTGGGCTTAATGAGGAAGCTGAGGCTTGGGGAGGCCTAGGGGTGGCCATGGTCCTTTCCTCTCCCAGACTCTGGGGTAGCTGACTCTGGGGTCATTTTGTCATGTTGCTGGGCACTCACTTGGTGAACAGATAATCCCCTGTCATTTTACTATGTTGTTACATGGGTTTGAAAAAAGAGTTTTTCAACTCTCTGGCTGAGCCCCTGTTCCTGTGAGGGCCTGTGGTTTTTCCTCCCGGCTCCACCCTGGTTTCGGCGCAGTACTTGAGCAGACGGTGGCTTGGGTCTCACTCTAGCGCCCTCCCCCTTCCTCTCTGGCTGTGTGCCCAGGCTGGCCCTGCCCACCTTGCTCAGTCTCTGCTCCATCTGCCACAAGTCTCACTCCAGCCCTCCCCCCAGTAGCTTAGGAAGGGACCTTCTTGTTACGTTTTTTGTTTTGTTTTGTTTTTTGTTTTTTTGTTTTTTTGAGATGGAGTCTCACTCTGTTGCCCAGGCTGGAATGCAGTGGCGTGATCTCTGCTCACTGCAACCTCTGTCTCCTGGATTCAAGCGATTCTCCTGCCTCAGCCTCTTGAGTAGCTGGGACTACAGGCGTACGCCACCATGCACAGCTAATTTTTGTATTTTTAATAGAGATGGGGTTTCACCATGTTGGCCAGGTTGGTCTTGAACTCTTGACCTCAAGCAATCTGCCCGCCTTGGCCTTCCAAAGTGCTGGGATTACAGGCGTGAGCCACCGTGCCCGGCCTTGTTATGTTTTTTAAGCTAACCCTGTAGAGCACTCACTGTGCACCAGCACCTGTTGGCTCAAGGGGGTGACAGACATTCCCTATCACAGATTACAATGAGTCACCGGCATTTTTGGAATTTCACTAAGCGTCGTTGCTGTGCTGTGCCTCAGCATGCAGCACTTCATTTAATCCTCTGGACACCTTGAATGATAAGTGTCTGTCATCCCATTTTACCCGTGAGAGAATTGCGGCTCAGAGAAGTTGTCACCCAGCTGGTTGGTGGCAGAGGTTTCAGAGGTCTTTCTGTGCATAAAACCCTCACTTATGGTTATGCCAGGTAGGCCTTGGAGGGGATAGACCCATCGCCAAACTCACAGGAGAGAGAGGAGGGCACTCACAGGTGATGATGTCTATCTGTCTTCTTTCTGGTGGGGACCCAGAGTTTTATTTCCATCTCGTTTTCTTTATGAATGCTTGTCTCACACTTATGTATTTTTTGGGCAGTCCCTGAATAACTACACCAGGCTTCTGAATGCCGAGTTTCTTAGAGTAGCCGGGAAAGGGCCTTTTTCTTTTCCTCTTGGATGTTCTCTTAGTCTGTTTTGTGCTGCTATAAAAGAATACCTGAGGCTGGGTAGTTTTTAAAGAAAAGAGGTTTACTTGGCTCACAATTCTGATGGCTGGAAGGTTCAAGACTGGACATCTGCATCTGGTGAGGCCTCAGGCTGCTTCTACTCGTGGTGGAAGGTGAAGGGGAGCTGTCGTGTGCTGAGCTCACATGGCGAGAGAGGAAGGAAGGGAGCGGGTGGTGGTGGTGGTGTCCCAGGCTCTTTTCACAGCCAGCTCTTGTGGGAACCAACGGAGTGAGAACTCACGCACCCTCAAAGCGGGGGGTGGTTGGGGGAGGGCATTAATGTATACATGAGGGATCTGCCCCCATGACCCAAATACTTCCCATTAGGCCCCACTTCTGACATTCGGGATTAAATTTCAGTGTGGAGTTTGGAGGGGACAAACATTGTCCTCTTGTGCCTGTGCCACACTTGCCCCTCCGTCCCCCTCATCTGCTGATGATTCATCACACTGTTAACTTGGTCTCTACATCTGTTTAAACGCTTTCTCCTTTCCCCTATTATGTTGCTGTTAAGACTGTGAAGCTGTCAGCAATGTTAGCGACACCGTCCACATGTGGGGACAACAGGTCCAGTGAACCTAGCATCATCAGTGTCCTTTGCCCTTGGAACTGAGTGGAAATTATCTTCTCAGCCTCCATGGATTTAACTTCTGTGTTCTTGATGTGAAGCTTCTTTTCCTTAAGTTAGAGTTTTTGCATATACATCCCACACATACACTTGCATTTGATTTTCTTGTCTGTATATGCACACACAACACACACTTGATTTTCTTGCACCATAATAACGTTTTTCTGATTTTAAATTAGAAAAGGACAAATGAGTTGAATAGTTATCTATTAGTTATAGATAATTATCTATTATCTAATTATTATCTAGTTCTCTATTTAATAGTTATCTATTAGTTATTAACTGTCTAATAGTTATTTATTTCTTGGGAACTTAAGTACCAACTTAGTGGTAATTTTACATGAAATGAAATGTTCTCTGGGTTCCAGATAACTTATAAATGGGCTTTTAGAGTACAGCCTGTTGGTTGAACAGGCCGTAAGTTCAGCCTCATCTTTGTCGAGTTCCACAACTAAGTTTTACAATTATTTATGAATGATAGTGCTTAGCATACTTTCCAACTCAGTGAGACCATGAACTAATTGAATTTGTAATAACCCTGAGTAAATCTTAGTGGACTAATAGTAAAACTTTGAGGTTTTACAGTAAGAAAGTGAGATCCTTAGATATACCAATTTTAATGTCTCAGTAAAGAAAACAATTTTATTGATTGATTGATTGATTGAGACAGGGTCTTGCTCTGTTGTCTAGTCTGGAGTACAGCCATGTAATCATAGCTCATTGCAGCCTTGAACTCCTGGACTTAAGTGATCCTCCCACCTCAGGGTTCTGAGTAGTTGGGAGTACAGAAATGCCTTACCATGCCTAAATTTTATTTTTTATTTTTTTGTAGGGATGGGGGTCTTGCTTTGTTACCCAGGGTGGTCTTGAACCCCTGGCCTCAAATGATCCTCTCACCTTGACCTCCCAAAGCGCTAGGATTTCAGGTATGAGCCACCATGTATGGCTGAAAACAGAAAATTTATAAGGTGCCACTAGGGGAGGGTAATAAAGGAAGGAAGGGGAATGAAATCCAAACCAAAATAAATGCTGTTTAGTGTGTGGCTGGTGGGTCGCATTTCTCATTCTAAGAACTGTGGCATTTCTTTTTGATGGTTCTGTTGATCCTGAAACCAGTGAGACTGCAGTTTGTGAAGGATGATGATAGAAGTCGATAACTCCTCATGGTTCATTGCTGGACCATGAGTTTAGCTGTAACTAGATGCAAAGCTCATGGCTGAGATTGAGAGCCAGAGAGACCCAAAGTCTCTACATCACGCCCACACTGGTACTTCCAGCCTAGGAGGCGTGGTGAATGCCTCCCACAGTGGTTGCTGAGATGGCTTTGAGCAGAGCAGAGATGAGTCAACCATGGCAGGATAAAGTGAACAGCTGGGAAAAGGGGTTTTGGGGGCTGGGGGTAAGGGGAACTGGAATAGTGTTGCAATTTTCCCCATCCTGGCTGTACCTTACCATCACCTAGGGGCTTTTGAAAAACATGGCAGCCTGCCCTCCACCCATGCTGTGCTAATTAGTGTAATCCTGGGTGGGGCCAGCATGACATTTGCCACCTTTCCCATGAGGTGATTTGGAGGTACAGCTGGGGTGGAGAGCAGTGGGCCTTAGAGGTTTAGAACCCAGCCTCCTGGCTGGGCACGGTGGCTCACGCCTGTAATCCCGGCACTTTGGGAGGCCGAGGTGGGTAGATCACGAGGTCAGGAGTTCAAGACCAGCCTGGCCAAGATGGTGAAACCCCATCTCTACTAAAAATACAAAAATTAGTCGGGTGTGGTGGCTGGCATGCGCCTGTAATCCCAGCTTCTCGGGAGGCTGAGGCAAGGAATGGCTTGAACCTGGGAGGCGGAGGTTGCAGTGAGCCGAGATCGCGCCATTGCACTCCAGCCTGGGCAACAGAGCAAGACTCCGTCTCAAAAAAAAAAAAAAGAACTTGGGCCGGGTGCGGTGGCTCATGCCTGTAATGTCAGCACTTTGAGAGGCCAAGGCAGGCAGATCACCTGAGGTCAGGAGTTCGAGGCTAGCCTGACCAACATGGAGAAACCCTGTCTCTACTAAAAATACAAAAAATTAGCCGGGCGTTGGGGCGCATCCCTGTAATCCCAGCTACTTGGGAGGCTGAGGCAGGAGAATCCCTTGAACCTGGGAGGTGGAGGTTGTGGTGAGCTGAGATCACGCCATTGCACTCCAGCCTGGGCAGCAAGAAAGAAATTCCGTCTCAAACAACAACAACAACAACAAAAAGAACTTGGCCTCCTGATGAAATAGGCCCACCTGTTTCAAATCCCCACATATTGGTGTTGAGCCAGTCTCTTAGATGCCGAGCCTCAGTCCCCTCCTTCTCTCAGGCTGTGAAGGTGAACTGTGATGTGCAGAGCTGCAGCATGTTCTGCTGTGCACCAAGGAGGGTTCCACAGTCATAGAGGCATAGTCATGACTGATGTGAAAGGGCCAACGCACGTGACCTCCTGCCCCTGTCCGTCCACATCTCACTTGGTAAAACCACAGCCCTGGTTCTGGCCACTTCTCAGCACAGTGGCCTGTGGCTGGAGAAGAACACATGACATGTTGATGAGTCTGTAAATTCATGACCACAGAGCTCCAGTGAGCCATTGGGAGTGCTTGGCACTCAGAGTGTTTCCCTGTGGTCCTAGACTGGGGAGCGGCCCCTGGATTTTAAAGAGCTCTGGACCCAGTGGTGCAGGTGGGGAGACCTGGCCCCTGGAGGCTGACCCAGTGCACGTGCAGCCCCACCTGGGGTTCCCCTGATTGGACTCCTGCCTCAGGAGGGGCATGAGACTCACTTGGCGCTGCTTCTGAGCTCTAAGTCCTTGCTCCTTAGTGGTCTGTCCCTTCCCTCCGCAGGGAGGCATGGCCCGCTGGGCTTCGGCCCCTGCAAGGAGGCCTGGTGGGGCCTTTCGCCTTCTCAGCCAGGCACTGAAGGAGCAGGAAGGGGAAGCATGATACCAGGACCACAGGAAGAAGTGGTGCTGAGTTGGGTGGTCACTTCCTTGGTGTGACCTCTGGTTAGACGTGGTTCAGGGCCATGTTGCAGGAGGAGCTGGAAGACATTTCTTTTTTTCTTTTTTTTTTTGTTTTTTGAGACGGAGTCTTGCTCTGTTGCCCAGGCTGGAGTGCAGTGGCGCGACCTCGGCTCACTGCAAGCTCCGCCTCCCGGGTTTAAGCTGTTCTCCTGCCTCAGCCTCCCGAGCAGCTGGGACTACAGGCACGCACCACCACGCCCGGCTAATTTTTGTATTTTTAGTAGAGACGGGGTTTCACCATGTTAGCCAGGCTGATCTCGAACTCCTGACCTGGTGATCCACCCACCTTGGCCTCCCAAAGTACTGGGATTACATGCGTGAGCCACCGCACCCAGCCACTGGAAGACATTTCTAAAGAAACCATCACCATCCTTCTCTGAATAGGTTTCAGTGTGGTTTTATGTTTGTTGCAACCTTGTTGACCTGTAGTTTCAGAAACCAGAATGGTTTGGCCCAAGCTTTTGATTTGAGATCACACTAAAATAGTTTTAGCTGAGGGTGTTGGAGGTGCCTCCTGTGTATATGAGTGTGCGTGTATGTGGTGTGCCTGTGCGTGCATGCATGTGTGTGTCTGTGGCTTCACTGTAGATGGCCGTTGTGAATGATGTCCTGACCTGAGTCCTGTGAGAAACACTGTTGAGTTACTTCACAGTCATTCCACACAGGAGAAAAGGATGAATGACCCTGTTGGGTTAAAAAATTGAGCTTTGAAAAGCTTTTTTCCCTTTGTACTTGGCAATCTCGCAAAGCTATCAGGAGAGAATGTGGAATTAAAATATATAGCAGGTGGGAGTATGGTTTTTTAACTTACACTTAAGGTTTCTGTGGTATCTCATCATATGTGGAATATTTCTGTTAGACCATCTGAGAATTTTAAGCTCTGGTGGATGGAAGTAAGGTTGCTTTTGAACAGAAGTCTGCCATGCTGCTGCTTCTCACAGGCTGCAGCCTCAGGTTGAGCGCTCAGGAACCAAGGTCAACGCTCAGTGTGTGTTTGCCAAGTAGACTGTGTAGATTTGAAGTGCTTAGACTGGCTGTCTGTAAGCTTTTAAAATTCTTCATTTAATAATCTATAAATGTCGAAGCCTCCCAAGACGTTGCTGGCCCTGTTAGTAAGTTTGCCGCAGCCCCCTAGCCGCCAGGAGTGCCCGAGAACCCCTGTTGGGGCTGAAGTCACAGACAGCACCGTGGAGTTCGGGACTGTAGCTCTGAAATTCTGCCACAGGCCAAGCAAACTGCCAGGGGTGTGTGGTCTGGGGTGAGGACTGATTGAAGAAGTAACAATCTTGGATGACTTTGAAAAGCTCTGGGAGTTGCCATTGACTGTGATGTTGATGCTGGGAGTGTGCTGGAGGGCCACCTGTCCTTGTCCCTCTTTTTGTGCCCCACAAGGAGGGTGTAGGAATCAAGAGTTTCAGCTGGGCATTGGTCTGCTCCAACAAGGCCTCTTTTTGATCTCCCATGTGACTCCATTTTCTCGTTCTCTCCTGTGGCTGGGCCTGTTTCTGCCTGCCGTGGAGCAGAAGTATGGTCCACATGGGTGGAGACCTACAGGGGCCAAGGAGGGCTGGGCCTTGAAAGTGATGAGCTTGAGTCCCTGTTGGGGTCCGGGGTTGGGGGAAGGGCACAAGGTACACAGCTGGGCTTGACCCAGCCCTGCTCCTGGGAGTTCCCTCAGAGAGTGCCCAGAGCAGAAGAGTCTGTGCTGTGAGCACACCCACGGCAGCGTGCACAGACTCGAGTCCCCCAGCAGATTCTCTTGGCTGCCCTGGATGGAGATAGGGTGAAACTCTGCTGGGGAGAGCACAGTCCAGTGGAGAAGCCAATCTGATGTGGACAGATGAGCTCTGTGGCAAGTGTCCAAGGAACCAGGCTGGTGGTGCAGATGTCTGTCCCCTTCTGCTGAAGTGCTCTCTCTGTCATGCAGCTGTTCTTCATGTGTCCTCTGTCCTCTGGAAGATGACTTCCTGAGGGAGAGGCCACAGCACATATGTCTGTGTCCCCTCCCCTAGCCCCAGCCCAGGGCTCACTGAGGGTCTGTGGTGGGTCTTCAAATCTGTGCATCCTCAGTAGGAAGCATCTGCAGAAAGGAGGAGTGAGGTTTGAGAACCTGATATTCTCCTCTTACAGAAGAGGGCATTGGGGCCCAGAAAGGGCAGTGACTTGCCCAGAGTCTTGCAGCTTAGCTGGGGCATGGCTGGCTGTGGAGTCCAGCCTCCAGGCCTCCCTCTCCATGAGGTGCTCTTTCCTGCTGCCCTGAGCTGCACTTCTGCTTGCCACAGTGTGGGAGTGCCCTAGGCAGGAGAAAGGAGTGTATTGTAGGTGCAGTGTAGAGTGAGGAGGGCAGTGCGGGTGCAGTGTAGAGTGAGGAGGGCAGTGTGGGTGCAGTGAAGAGTGTGGAGGGCAGTGTGGGTGCAGTGAAGAGTGAGGAGGGCAGTGTGGGTGCAGTGGAGAGTGAGGAGGGCAGTGCGGGTGCAGTGTAGAGTGAGGAGGGCAGTGTGGGTGCAGTGAAGAGTGTGGAGGGCAGTGTGGGTGCAGTGGAGAGTGAGGAGGGCAGTGTGGGTGGAGTGGAGAGAGTGGAGGGTAGTGTGGGTGCAGTGGAGAGTGTGGAGGGCAGTGTGGGTGCAGTGTAGAGTGTGGCGGGTAGTGTGGGTGGAGTGGAGAGTGTGGCGGGTAGTGCGGGTGGAGTGGAGAGTGAGGAGGGCAGTGTGGGTGGAGTGGAGAGTGAGGAGGGCAGTGTGAGGACAGTGGAGAGTGAGAAGGGCAGTGTGAGGACAGTGGAGAGTGTTGAGGGCAGTGTGAGGACAGTGGAGAGTGAGGAGGACAGTGTGGGGACAGTGGAGAGTGTTGAGGGCAGTGTGGGTGCAGTTGAGAGTGTGGAGGGCAGTGTAGGTGCAGTGTAGAGGGGCTGACACCGTGTGGTGGGCCACCTGCTTCCCCTCCTTACTCTGGGCACTGGCCATGATGGGTTACAATGTGGTCAGGGCCTCTCAGGAGGTGCCACTCAGTGAGTGACCTCACCCGGGCCAGATGGTGACCATAAGCCGGTTGCTACCTCTGGAGTCTTGGTGGGTGGGCGGATGGCACCCAGGGTCACACAGCATTAAAAAGTGGATCCAGGCCTTTAGTATCTTGATTTTCCACTTCACCAGGTGATTGCATGAAAACATGTTGGAAAGGTAATACATGTGATTGGGGAAGATAAGTTTATTTACTGTGGGACATTTTCATAACTTCTGTTTGAGGGCATTACATATCTCACATAATTACATGCTATGAAGGTATTACCTTTGGTCTCATTCAAAAATTACAAAGTGATATATCGAGAAGAATCACCTCTCCCACTTTGCCTTCCAGTTCCTCTCCCCAGAGGCAAGCAGTTTGCCCAGCATTTTTGTGAGCCCTTCGGGGGCAGTCTGCCATATACAGACATGGACGTTTTCATACCCTCTTTCTTCTGGAGTGTGCATTCGTTTGAGCAGCTTGTTTGGAAAGCTGTATATGCAGGTTGTGAAGTCACTTTTGGTTTTGATTTCAGCCTCCCATTCTTTCCCTTTCTGCATTTGTGGTATCTAATATCACTTTGACAGCCTCAAGAGCGGCCTGTGTGTGTGGGTTTTGGTGTCCATGGTGCAGTGGGCGAGGGCCACCCGCAGCCTTCCCAGTGCTTGGTGAGGCCCAAGAGTGGATTTTGTTTTTTGAAGCAGGATTCTTACACAAAAGGACATCTCTGAAGTAGTTGGGGTTGGGAGCTTGCTTTTTGCTCTATTGTGTTGTCTTCTCTATAATGTGGAATATCTTAAAGATCCAGTTCCACCTGTGCTACGAAGAGCCCTGGGTGGGATGAGCCCACGCTGGCACCACATGGCCGCTCACCCCACAGGCATTATGGGGAGAGCCAGAGCAGGTGAATGGCCTGCCCGGGCCCTCCTGCTTGGTGAGTGACAGACAAGACCCAAACCAGGCTTCTGGCCCTAGCCCTGGGCCTTTGTTGTACCTTGATGCCCTGGGAGGCAGCAGACCCATCTCACCTGGGTGCCATCACCCTGACATTTGGCAGCCTCTCTTTGCAGATTGCCATCAGCATCAGCCTAAGTGAGGTGCAGGAATTTCATAGTTACAGGTTGGTGTTTTTTAAAAAAATTCTATTTCATGGATAAAAACATCTTCAAATAAGTTTTCTTATGCACCAAACCCATCTGGGGCCCTGGGGGATACAAAAGTTATTTTTAATTAATCACTTAATAAAAGCTTATTTGGGGCTCCTGCAGTGGCTCAGCTTTGTTAAAGATGAAGAGTTAAAGATGACTTAGGCCCTTCTCCTAAGGAGCTACAGGAGACAAGGGTGTACACTGTATCAGAAGTTTTTTTTCTTTGTGGCAACAGAAAGGGCCATGTCACAATAAGCAGAGGGTATTTATTTCTGTCTGGAAGTGGGTGAAACTTTACAGGGAAATTGCTGTTTAAATTGGTCATGTAGCATGAGTACAAATTGTCAAGCAGACAAGAACAGGAGGGGCACTCTTAAGTGGAGCGGACAGCTGAGCAAAGGCATAGAGAGGGCACTTGTGAGATGCTGTCGGGAGCAGCTTGTGAGTGTGGTACTTAGGAAGCTTGGGAGACAGAGGAGGGCCAGGAGATCCATCCTGGGTGCAACTTCATGCTGCATTCTGTGTGTGCCGAGAGCCACAGAGGGGATTTAAGCCAGGGAGTTATTAGCCCATTAGATTTACAAATTAAGAGAGACCTCTAAAACCCCATGGGCGGTGTTTCAAGTTCTGAGGTCATCTTTCTTTCTCAGCTATTTAAATTTGTCTCTTGACCAACCAGGATGACAGATGAGGTAGGAGAGGGAGCATAAGCCTTGGAGGAAAGCAAAACTATGGGTAACACAGAAGTAGTCAGAATATAGTGCAAAATACATTTAATCTGGCTGAAATTACTTGTAAAATTTAGCAGGACATTGAACATTTACAGATACTTTGTTTTTTTGCTTTAGGCGTCAGTATTACATTGCATGACCAACAATGGTTGTAGTCTCCTGCTGTTTGCTGGGGCATGCTGGGCTGTGTGGGCAGGGCTGGGGTTCAGCCACCCTCTCCCTTCTACCTGCTTTTCTCACCTGGGGTGGGGGCTTTGGGAGGAGGGGAGCAGTACTACCCATAGTGGGCAGGGATGGGCCTCTGGGGCGGGGGGAGCCTGTGTGTCCACCTTGCCTGCCACTAATTTTAAATAACAGTGTGGAATGCTGTTATAATGGTTTTTATTTTAAATTTTTTTCCACAAATGCACTATCTTCTCATTTTTTTATCAAGGCTAATCTACAAATGTTTAATCCACCCACAGGTAATCCAGATTTGATGCAGAATTTTACTGAAATCAACTCCAAATAGCTTTGTGGTAACAAGTCTTTGCAATGTGATTTTGCCTATGTTTTTCTCCTTAATGAGTCAGACTTGCCACATGAAATTTTTACCATCCCAAAACTTTTTGAAGAATTTAATTAGAATGGGTACATAGGATAATGAAGATTCACATTGTAGAAACTTTTAAAATTTGAGTTTCGATTGTTCCTGGAATTTTAATTTCTCTTATTTGGTGCTAGGTGATTCCCAGTTTTAGGGCCAGGTGTTGCCAGGACACACAAGCCAGTGATAGTTTGACTAAGCTTTAGGGTTGTATATTAAAGTAATGCCTGGCTGGATGCCCAGTCAAACTAAGACATGCTAAGCTCCACATTTGAGCAGTAATGGCCCTGTTTGCTGTCCCTCGGGAGGGTTCACACCCAGGAGCTCAGAGCAGGGACTTTCTCCTCCAGGGTGGGCCCCTCGCTCTGGGGAAGAGCTCTCCTTCACCAAGCCCCCTTTAGGTATCTGGTCTCCAGCCACAGTCAGGGAGGCTCTCAGCTGGGGTGCTGGGACCCAGCCCTGGGGTGTGTGTGGGGAGGAGCCCTGCTTGGGGGAGGGGTGGCGCTCCTGGAGACCTCTCCTGGCTCAGAGGGGAGTGATGGGCATTCTGAAGCGTGTCCAGCAGGGCCCACCTCCCTCTGCGCTCATGGTTTCCACAGTGGTTTGCCTCATTCACCATCACCTGAGAATGGCCAAGATAGCCTTGCCTCCCTTCCTGTCTTCCAGAAATTCTCATGGGGCCCTCCAGCCCGTTCTCTTCCTGGCCTGTGACGATAGCGGGTTAAGTTTGTACTTTTAACAGTAATTAACCTTCTTCAAGGCCTTGTTTGCCGTTATAAGTGTTCCCTGTTCTCTGGGTACTCACAGCCCCTTCCTTGCTGTCCTTGATCCAGCGGCATGGCCTGAGTGCCTCCATCCCCCTGTTTCTGGATGGCTAGAAGAGCCTCTGGGGTATCTGATTGTCAGATGGGCTTAGCAGGAGTGGTAGTAGTAATAGTGGCAAATACTTAAGTAGCATTTTTGTGCACTGGGCACATTTAGAGGGATTAAGTCATCTGATTCTTGCAGTAACCCCATGAAGTAGATGATTCTGTAACACCCATTTCAGGAGCAGGAGACTGAGGAGCAGAAGGTGAAATGAGTTCTCCCTGGGGACGTGTAGCGTGGCGGGTGAGCGGCAGTTGGGGTTGGAGCCCGGATGGTCTGGCTCTGGGGCCATGCACAGCATGCTGTGTGCAGCTCCCCCGCCGTCCCGTCTCCCTGAGCTGCCTGCTTCAGGCACGCTTCTTGGCTCTTTGTCCTGAATGGTGTGGTGGTACAGCTTGGTCTTCCTGCCTGGTAGGGAAACCATAGCCATGGGAGTCCTAGTACTGAGCAAGTGACTGTTCCTGACCCGTTTCCAGATTCTAGGGGCAGCTTTACAGCCTTTCTCTGAGATACTTGGACACCATGTTACCAGACCACAGCCTAACAACAGAGGATGAACCAGAGCCTCAATGTCGGCGAGTCTTGGGCCATTTTGGCTGTTGATTGCCTCTCTCCTGCCCTGTATCTCCAGGAACTGTCAACGTTGGTCTTGTAGAAACTGCTCTCTCTTTGTGAGTGAACAAGACCATGGCTGTCTCAGTCCCTCCGTTAGTGACTATCCTTGTTCAACCCAGAGTCCAGGAGTCTGATGAACAGAGGCTTTCTCCCTCTACCTCACCCTGCCTTTTACCTCTCCCTGCCCTGTGTGGGTCTTGCCCAGGAGACAGCGGTTGGATGAGGGAGGAGAGGCTAAGGGCCCCTCTAATGTGGACAGCCTGGGCCCTGCTGTGGGAAGAGAGCCACATGGCATGGATTGGAAATGGAGAGGGCAGAATTTGAGTCAGGAGGACCACCAGCAGCCGTGCTAGCTCTTGAGGCCTAGGTCTTCTGGCCTTTAAAATGGGACTGGAGTGGGAGGTGGATTCAGTGCGAGTGCAGTCCCTGCGGC
Source organism: Homo sapiens (assembly GCF_000001405.40). NCBI lineage: Eukaryota > Metazoa > Chordata > Mammalia > Primates > Hominidae > Homo > Homo sapiens. The sequence goes on from NC_000002.12 coordinate 98,478,012, forward strand.
CTACAACCTACTGTTATTGTGCGGTGCTGGTCTCCAAACTCCAGGTCTATTTTGTAGCCTATTGAGGAACTGCCTCTGATCTCCCTAAAATAGGATGTGCTATTTTGGACACTGCCGTAGGTGGGAGGGATGTGTGTTTAAAGCTAAAATAGAGCGCACTTTAATTTGCGGGTGTTTCCTTTTTCTTTCTCAGCCACACTGTGTTTAAGTCACAGTGTCCTCCCTCCCACCCAGGAGCACAGCCTCAGGCAGGCCCTGCTCTTGGTGGAGGCCTCGTCATGACTGATGAGGGAGGTGGCCACCAGAGAGGAGGATTCCTGTCGCTTGGGACCAGGACTGCTCCAAGTCCAGGGAGCTTTTACAAGGCTCTGTTCCTGGATGGCTTCTCTGCCGATCTGAGGTCCAGGGTGTGAGAAGCTGAGCCAGCCTTGCAGTCCAGCTGAGTGCCTCTCCACCAGACCTGCGCTGCTGTTAGAGTCAAGGCGAGGCAGGGCTGTGGGGGTAGGGGTGGCAGAGCACACCCCTGATCCCTAGTTAGTGGAGTTAACTCTGGGCACTCCCTCCCCCGACTTTCTTTGCAACAAATCATGGTGATCTCTTTTGACCTTTTTGATGGTTACCAATGTGGCTGTGAAGAGGGTCCCTGCCCCAGCTGGGGAGAATAGGGTGAATGGGAGTAGGAAGGTTGAGGGGGTGAGGGTAGAAGGGTGTGATGGATTTCCGAGAAGGTTGCAGGTATGTGTCTGTCCTATTCTGTCCTGACTTACTCTGCATTCAGTTCTAGCTGAGCATGAATGCAGCCCGCACCCATGACTTTCTGTGGTGGTGCTATTTTTCTGTTTTTTGAAAAGAAAGAGGTCCGGTTTTTTTGTAGATTGTTAGGACTTAACTGGAAATAATTGTGTAAGTCTTCAGGCATCTTTCGAAGATGGCAGGCTAGAGATAGCTACTCCAACTTGAATGCCTAGCAGTCACCTAGAAGACTTGTTCAATGCAGATACTGGGCCCTACCCACAGGGAGTCAGCCTTCATAGGTCGGGCACTTCCTCCCGGCTCCTGGGTGGTACTGCTACTGCCAGTTCACAGACCACACTTCCAGTTGCCCTAGAGTGCTTGTTCCTGTTCCACTCCCCACTCAAGATATTATTCGCTGATTTTTATCACCTTCCCCAAACTAGGCTACTTATTTTGGTGCTAATTGGTGGCACTTCTAATTTTAGAAGTGTGGGGAGGTGCTCCTGTCCCCATTTGGCTGCAGTGGTGCTGATGGGGGGTATCTGCTGTGCCTTGGGTGGGAACTTCTCCTGTGTGTGCTTCGTGAGATATCCCGAGGCTACCCTACTTTGATGAGTTGAGCAAGGTGTCTTAGAAGCCAGGCGCTGACTGCTCTATCATAATTAGAAGACAGTTAGCAATAAATACATAGTCAGTGGCATCTCTGCATGGGGATGGCTGGTTTGAAGCAGCTTGCTCCAGCCATGGGAAACAGAGTTTTGACCCTACTATTTATGAACTGACAGTGTGGGCTGCATCAGGATCTTTCCAGGTATGCCAGGAGGCACAGAACCCACGTATAACCTGCAGCCCACAGTTTCTGTGACACAGAAAGTGTGGTCAGGTGCTGGGAAATCATTGTCTCATAGATAAAACATCTGACACGCACCAGCTTTTCTGAAACAACTAATGGTTGCAAATGGAATTCGGGGTACACAGGATAGCAACAGATTTCTTCCTGTCCTTGAAGAAAACTGTCTCCTTTGTCCCTGTTTGACCAACTTCGATTGAGCTGGAGCCCTTTGTGCCTGGCCCTGGGCTGTCCCTTCTGTCAGGGTCTCTGTCTGGTACAGGGGTCAGCTCTCCCTTGGGCTGTGCACTTACCTAAAACTGCCTCCCAGACACCTAGTTTGTGACTTCCTAGAAAGCCTGAGACAGGAAGCTATTTTCTTAAGGCTTTAGAAACTGCCCCCAAACAGCACAGAATGGCAGGGTCCTGCCCCCAGGGAGTGCTGCTTGAGGTCTGTTTCCTGCAGTCAGGGCTTCCAGCCAGCTTGCTGTCCTTGCCAGCACCTCCTCTGCTGCCCGCTAGACACGGAGCCTCTGGCTGACACCCTCCCTGCCAGCCCCAGAGGCCTGCCTTCTCAGCCTCTGCTGAAACTAAAGCTTTTTTTCTGTTTCTGTAGGGCATTGGGTGGAGCCTTGCCAGGGGCTCCTGGTTCTGACTGTCTTGGGTGGGTGGGGAACTCAGCCCTGAGAGGTTGGCTCACTGAGCATTTACCATATGCTGGGCATTGGGCCAGATGTCTGTCTAGGATCAGTTTATTAATCCCCAGCTACCTGATGAGGTAATTATTATTCATTTCCATTTTGCAGAGGAGGGAAGGGATGCTCAGAGAGAGGTGGAGTGACTTACCAGATTTTTATCTGGTGCCCTATCATATGCTCTTACGACACAGAGCAGCTTTTTGCTGTAGAAAGGACTGTCGTCATTTTACCTGTGTTAGGAACATCATCACTGACTGTGGTTCCCCTGCACTGACATTCTGGGCATTAAGGGCTGAGTCTGGGCTCTTTCTCCTATGGGTGTCTGTCCTCTCACTTGGCCCCAGGCCTTGGTGACCCTCTGTGCACTGAAGGAGTAAATGACTGAGGTGGCCAGCTAGCTCCCGTGCATTTGCACACATGGTCCCTCACTCCTGGCCCCCATCCCTTGCCAGGCAGAATGTGCCCGTCTCCAGTCCCTTGCATTGCTGGCAGCCTCAGACCGGAGAGCACTGAATCTTCCACTAGCCTGTCTTCTTGCCAGCTGCAGCCCCAGGGCGCGTGTGTCCGTCTCCGCAGCCAAACTCCCCCTGTGCTGGCCTGTGGAGGGTGAGTGGGGGGCAGGGTGCCGCACACTCTGGACCCTTCCAGCCCCAGGAAGGAGTTGTGGTGCTGCACGTGCTCCATTCTCACATGCTTCTCAGGCTGCAGGCTGTGCATTACCAGTGTGCAGTTTAGGAAACTGAGGCCCAAAGAGAGCAAAGCAGCACCTGGGGACTGACCTTGAGTTACACAGGTGTGCTTCAAGTTCTTCTGCTAGTTACCTTTCAATGCCAACACTGGGGAGGGGGTGTCCTAACAAAACATAATTTAATCAGAGCACTGTGAACTTTTCCTGCATCTGACACGTCCCTCTCAAGGTGGAGGGTGTCACCACCTGCTGCCCATTGTAATCCCTCACCCCACAGAGAGGCCAGGAAGTGAACAGGAGACTTGGAGGAATGTGGACCTGGTGTGATCCTGTGTGGAGCAAGGATGTCTTCCTCTGAAAATTCCCTGGGGGGAAAGAAATGGCATACATTTCCTATACCAGTGGGGGCTTGGTCCCTTGGCACGCATAAATCGACCACTCTTGGCAGCCAGAACCCTCGCTCCTCCAGTTTTATTCTGGTTGCCTGTGGCTCTTGGATAATCCTGTGGTCTCTTTGGGGTGCTGGTTTCTTTAGGGAGCTGCATTTGGCTTAAGGCTGGCATATGTTTTAGCTATCTGAAGTGGTTTTAGATATAAAGATTCAGTGACAGAATTCTCTATATAAAATGATTATATCACATTGAGCCTCAGTAACAGATTAATGGGGAAGGAAGGATTTATTATGTTTCCAAGTGATCCAATGTGAGCAAGCAGGCTTTGTACCAGGGGAGAATTCTAAGTGCTTGTCCTCCCTGTGGAATTGTGTTTTGCAGAATCCCAGGAAGACAGGGAGGCTGTGACAGCCTGTAAATGTGATGCTCAGCTGGCCTTGAGTGTCAGCTAGCTTGCTGGTCTTCAGGGTGCTCCCTGTCCACGCACCACCTCTGGCTGGGCTTTCCGTTCTCTAGTGAAAGGTTTTCTCAGCAGCACCTTTGCCTCTCCTTCTCCCTTCATTACGAGTTTGCCATGTTGGAGTTGGATTGTTTGATGTCTTGTCCTGGCTTAACAACTCAACACTGTGTACTTTAAAAGCTCCAAGTTTAGGCTCACACCTGTAATCCCAGTTTTTTGGGAAGCTGCAGTGGGAGGATCACTTGAGGCAAGGAGTTTGAGACCAGTTTAGTTGACAGAGTAAGATCCTGTCTTTAAAATAAATATAATTTTTTAAACTTGAAATTTAAGCAGAAGCCACGTTAAAGTGGCACAGCAGGTGATGTGAGGGACCCTGTTGGGCCACCTTGCTGTAAAATGTTTTCTGTATCCTGCTTTTTTCCTCTTTGCCTTTACACCTGTGGTTCCCACATTATTGGGCTGAGACTCTGGAGATCTGGGTAAAATCCCATCCTAGAGGGACAGCAGGTTAAATCACTTTTCCTATCTTGGCCAGCTGTGGTTTAGCTTATTGGCACCAGTCAGAGCAGGGCCTCAAGGGATGTTAGGATTGGTTGCACCTGGTTCAGAATATGGGGCCCTGCAAGGAGGGCAGTCTGAAGAAGAGTGGGATTAAAAACGAAAGCAGCCAACAGAAAGGTGGGCACCTAGAGGCAGGTGCAACTGGCTGTCCTGGAAAGCAGAGAGGGGCAGCTGTGGGCCTCTGTGCAATGGCCCCTCCACTTGTCACACCTGCCAGAATGGAGGTGTCTCCCCAGTGGGCCTGTCACAGGGAGGCCAGCGACCAGCCAGTCAGTGCTGACAGTAGGCAAGTGTGGTTGACATCCAGGGATGAGCCTCTGAGCAACCCTGGGATGTGATGCAAAAAGATATATGTGTCCTCTTGCATTTAAGAGAAATGCAAAGCTTTTGATCTAAGCTTACACTTGAAAAAATTATACTTACATTGCTTTTTTGAAAATAAGTGAAAGCATAATAGAGGTTGAACATCCCTGATCTGAAAATCCAAAATTTGAAGTACTTCCAAACCTGACACTTTTTTAGCACTGACATGACCTTCAGAGGAAATGCTTATTGGAGCATTTTGGATTTCAGATTTTTGGATTAGGTGTGCTGAATCTGTACGTATATAATGCAAATATTTCAAAATCTTAAAAAAATTCCAAACCCTAACCACTTCTGGTGTCAAGTATTTCAGATAAGGGATACTCAACCTGTGCTAATAATGATTTTGGCATGTACTCTATAATAATAAAATGTTTATTAGGCAGTCCTTTATGTGAAAAATGATAGGAATAACAATACAGTGAATCGCAACTCAGCTTTAGACATTTTCATGACCAATACACTTGAAACTACATATGCCTTCCCACCTTCTCTCTAGGTTACCATTACCCCAAATTTGCTTTTCATTTTTTCCATTCATCGAATTCTTTGTGTTTTGTGACCCAGTCAGTCCTACTAGTTTTCGTGCTAGGAGACAGGAAGCAAGCATTGCTTAGTTTCACTCTTGTGATGCTTGTGGTCAGAAACAGGTATTTCTTGAAACTGGGCTTGTGGCTGCAGGGCTGCCCCAGGCGGGGCAGAGATGGTCAAGTGCAAGGTGGGGCTGCTGTGGGGCCAAGTCCTGATGGATCATGTTCCCCCCCGGTCTTGTCTTTCTAATGTCTTGCTGCATGTGGGATCTGTCGCCACTGCCAGTGGGAAGGGCAGGCTAGTCTGTGTCCATCTTTGTTGCAGAGTTGGCTTCCTTCAGGCAGGTTCATCCTACACTGAATGTCCCTGTGGTCCATGCCTCAAAACACCTCATCATTAGTATTACTTCTGAGCCCTGCCTAAACATAGCAGCGTGGACCAGCTCTCAGTCCTTTCTCTTCCTGTCCCTACCCCACCTTCCTGTTGGCTACTCTGCTCCCATGGATGGTTGAGAGGGAGACCCTCTTCTGTGTGGCTAGCCAAGGTTGCACATTGGCTGCACCCAACAGATGGACTGCATCTGTAGTCAGTCTAGTGAAGTCCGGTCTTCCTCTCCACCCTCTTGCCTGAGCCTCCACCTTTGCATAAAGAAGCTCCTGCACCCCCATCCCTCCTTGCAGATGCCCCTGCCCACACCCCATCTCTTCACATAACTGAAAGATGGCTGGTTCTCCCAGAAGAGCCAGAGGCCTCTAAATGGAGTGAGGTCCTTTCTCTGCATGTCCTGTCTCTCTCCAGAGGTGGGCTTGGAATCTCTTTCGCTTTGACCGGTGACTACCATCCCCTCCACTCCTGTCCCTCCCCTGCATCACTCCATGTTACCCCTGGCCCCAGAGGTCTCTGAGGTCCCATCACCTTCTGATGACTCTGTCTGCAGGGATGAGTCTGTTGTTACTGAGCCGCTAGCCTTCAGCTTCCTCTCCCATGGTCATTCCCGAGGCTGCCCACTCCCCCTAGTTGCCCACAAGCCTTATGAACTCCCATCTCCGTTCCTCCTGTGTGGCCTGTTCTGGTTCCCTCTCCTCCCTGTCAGGCTCACTGTATCTTTGTTTCCCATGATCCTGCAGTCAGGGAAGACCAAGCCCCAGTTACTTTCCTGATGAGCTCAAAGTCCAGAATGCAGTCACGTGACTGGGGTGGGAAGCCATGCACAGGGCCCTGAGAGGGTGTGAGGGATTCGAGGCAGCCTGTGGAAGGAGAGCCCTTCCAGCTGAGATGAATTCAGCCCCAGAGAGGCACTAAACAACCTAAGGATGGTACAGTTCCCCAGTTATTAAAATTTTGCATACTTACTATAAAGGGTTTAGTAAAACATAGTCTAGAGGAAGAAAACCAGAAAAGCATGATGTGTCCATCTCCCAGTGCTTAACATTTTTATACGTGTTCTTTTCCTCTCTCCCACTCCGCGTGAGTGCTTCTATGTCTTTATATTGGTAGATCTTACTTAGAATCTGACTTTTTCGCTTGTCAAGTTGTCATAAAACTGATTTCCATTTCAAATGTCTATATGGTATTCACATATGACGGAGCCATTATTTACCATTTCCCTGACAGGCTTGTAGGCTGCTATTTAATCTTTCAATTTATGGTATAAAATCCTTTATAGTACAGGTAATGCTGCAGTGAGCATCCTTGTCTGAGATCCCACCGAGAGTAGTGGCTTCAGTCTTCCAATCAGTGGCTTTTCTCTCACTTGGCTGGCCTCTTGAAGCGAACAGAGTGTGTGTGTGTCCTGGTAGCTGAGTAAACTCCAGCTCCGCACATCTGCTTGGCGGGGCGGTTGGGATCTAAATGAGTGTGACCTCAGCTTTTGTGGTAGTGGAGACCATCCTGATCATGCAGGGTCCTTGCTGCTTGCAGGCCCGTGGCTGCTGAAGAGCTGAAGAAATGTTACTTCTTTGTAAGAAACATTTTAGACTGAAATAAAAACCTGTTATAATCATGCGGTCTGGTTGCAGCGTGAAATATGTTCACAGTCTAAGATTCAGGTGAAAAGGCAGGATGCCAAATCTTGTGTACTTGCTGATCTTATCTGTGTAGAATATCCAAGTCAGAACTGATTTTAGTTAAGGTATCTGTGGGGGGTGGGGTTTCCCTCTCTATATTTTCCAAGCCTGCAGTAAGAGAACTATGGCAATCATCTTTCTTTTTAACATATCCAGCTTACTGCCCTAGGTTGGCCACAGTCAGATTTCTTGAAAGCCCCTAGGGCTGGGCGCAGGTGTCTGGTTGTCCCTCCGAGACTCAGGGCTCACTCTCGCTTCGGGAACACTAATGCAACTCTTCTGGTGGTGAGAACCCAGCTGAGAGTTCCTTTATTTTGTTGATTTCAGGGTGTAGGTATTTAAATATTTGAAAGTATTTTGATTTTTAAATGAGATGTGTGGGAACTTTTTTGATTCATCACCCTTGGAATGGTTACAGAGTTTTGTTTTTATAATACAAAACTTTCTTGAGGTGAATCTGTGACTGAGAAAATAGACATCTATTTGAAATATCGTGTCTAAAGTACTAAAATATTGCTGGTTGCTAACCACTTAAATTGAGTATTTTTCTTCATAAACATTAAGTTTTATTGAAAGAGTTGCTGTGATTTCCAGACACTCTTCTTTACTGCTTGTTCAAATAAGGGGAGGGGGCCTCCAGATGAAAAGGTTAAACTAGAGTCAGGCCTGCTTGAAAGTTTTGAGTCAGGACCTTCAGTGGGAGATTTGCCAGAGTCCCACACAGTAGGGCACAGGCTACTGCTTCCTTGGGTCTCTGGGAGGAGGTTTCTCCTCTCTATAATGGAAAGTTGGATTTCTAGCTTTTTTTCTGGATACTTCATGGGGTACTGTAATTGTGTTGACTAATTGATGCTCTTTCCTGGAGTCTCACTCATTAATTGGGCCCATTTCTATGGAAGGCACAAATATTGTAATGTAAGAATCAGATATATGCTGGTGATGCTGTGTGAAGCAGCAGAGCTGCTGTGAACTCTCTGGGGTCCCAAAAGTCTAGGAAGTTTGGAAAATCCTCTTCCTTGTCTAGGCCTGTGCTTCCCTGTCCTCTCTGTTTGCTTTGCTTCCTCTGTCTTTCTCCTTTCCTTGCTCTTGGTTATCTTCTGAAAGATGAGGCTTCACTTTTCCACACCTTCCTGACCCTCCCTGTCCCCAAAGCAGCGATGCATCTGAAATGGCCTAAAAAGGCGTGGAAACCCAGGGGTTCCTGTTCTGGCAGAAGTTCCTCAGTTGCCCACAGGGCCTGAGGTCTGGGGTGAGGAACACCTGGTCCAGATCAAAGAGCTTTTAGGGTGTGGGGCTGGATTTTTGCATACAGGTTACATCAGGAGTCCAGGAGTAAAATTAATTCTTAGAAGGCCAGATTACATAAAAGGCAAGGCAGAGAGGGTTCTGCAAACACTAACCGCCTCTTGGGTGTCTGATGGTACTCCTCTCATGGCCTCAGCCTGGAGGGAGCTGATGTGGGAGGAATCTGTGGGCCCTGACCTGGAATGCTGCACAGTGGCCTCTGCCAGTGACAGGGGCGGGCAAGGCTGAGTCTAGAAGCAAATGCCAGCCCACAAATGTGCAGTGATTGGCGCCTACAGAGGCCAGGGATAGCTAAGTACTGTGGAGATATAAAATGTGGCTTACCATCCTTGCTCTTAAAAGAAAAAAGGGGAAAAAAAGCAAAGACTAGTTGATTCAGAGCTAAGGTTGCTTGTTAAATAAACTTTTAAATTTTAGAATAGTTTTAGATATACAGAAAAGTTGCAAAGAGTGCCTGAAGTTCTCCCATATGATACCTCCTGCCAGGCTGTTGTTAACATGTTAATCACCATGGTACATTGTAGTGTGTTAATTGTAACCAAAATTGATACATTATTCACCAAATTCCATGTTTTATTCACATTTCCCTAGTTTTTAACCTAATTGTCTTTTTCTGTTCTGGGATTCTATCCAGGATACCATGTTATGTGTATTTGTCATATCTCCCTAGGCTCCTTGTGGTTGTGAGTTTCTCAGAATTTCCTTGTTTTTGATGACCTTGACAGTGTTTAGAGACAGAATCAATTTTTATTTTATCTTATTTATTTATTTTTTTTGAGACAAGGTCTTGCTATGTTGCCTACACTGGTCTCAAACTCTTGGACTCAAGCAATTAGCCTGCCTCAGCCTCCCAAAGTGCTGGGATTTCAGGCGTGAGCCACCATGCCTGGCCTGTCTTATTTATTTAGTCATTTATATCAATATGGACTCAATGGTTTTTTTGTTGTTGTTGTTATTTGGGTTATAATTGTCAAAGTTGAGTCAAATATAGAGACAATTCTCTGTTTTATTTGGGAAGCAAGAATTGCAGTTCTGGGCATATACACAGACTGGATGGTCTTCCATATGTCTGAAGAACAAAGAAGGTTGGAGGTTTTATAAAAAGCAGAAATGTTACCCATTGTTTTGAGAGACAGTTCATTGGTACTAGTAATGTTTCGAGGAGCTGGCAAGCTCTGATTGGTGAGTGTAAAACTATTCTTAGACTCACAGCAGCTTGTTTCAGTAGCTATTAGATAAAACTGGTTTCAGGTCACAATAGGCAGTTTCAGCAGCTGGACTTGCGGAGAATTACCTTCCTGTGGCAGTGTTACGTGCCCAGGGTGCTCTGTCCCTGCTTGGCTTCTTGATTCTGTTTTAGTTGGATATGACAGGAATAACCCAATCCATATGATCAACTTTTATGTAATCCAGTACTAGGGTATTCATTGTGTTGCTCAGATTGTTCCAGCTTTGGCCACTGGGGGCTCTTTCAGTTAGCTCGTGTTCCTCTGACATACCTCCATTATTGTGGGTTGTTTGATTTTTGAGTACTTCCTTATTGGCACTGCAAGATACTCCAGGCTCATCTTGTGTATCTCCTATCCCAGCCCTAGAATCACCCATTTCTCCACAGAACCCTCATCCCTTTTATTGGAGTGTAGTCTTAGAAATCAAGATATGGGTGCCAAGTGGCTAAAGTTATTGTAATCTCAATTTATGTGTACTCAGCTGAGCAAAAGCAAAGCATCCAAATGGCAGCGGCAGCAAGAACTACCTGAGGATTTCTCTCCATTTGCCAGTTCTGTGTTTCCTTCTTGGGCTTTACCCACACAGTTTTCTAGTTGCAGACCTGTTGTGCACCTCATTCGGAGTTCTGTACCCGAAATTGTCTCTGTCACGGTGATGTCTTTATGCACAGGCACTCACTCTGAAGTCACTCACCCTCTCACCAGCTCATGGTGGAGATGCAGTAAAAAGATCTTGAATAAATGAGTTCTGCTAGTTCCTCTCTGAGTCCTGTAGTGGCTCTAGGTCAAAAGCAGTAAAACCTAACCAGAGGAAAAAACCAGAGGGGAAAATATTTTGGACACACGAGAAGCTATGTAGACAGGAAGCAAGTGGGAGCTCCTTGGAGAGGGGAGTTGCTTGAGACTGAAGTTCAGGGAAAGGACCAGGAGACTGGGTTGGTACTGGTTCCTGCGGGCTGGAGGGGGTGGAGTAGGGAGTGTTGTGAAAGTTTCAAGCACAGAGGACTGAATGGAAGCCTCACAATGCAACCTAAGGACTTTGGATTCTTGCTTTTGAGTACATGCACTGTGTGTGTGTGTGTGTGTGTGTGTGTGTGTGTGTGTGTGTGTGTGTGTAAATGGTGTAGTTTGTTGGCTGTCAGCCTTACTAGGAGGCTGGTTTGGAGCCTGTTGCCTTAGCTCTGTGGGGTGATGATGGGAATAGTGAAAAAGAGGGTGACAAAAGCAGAGAGTCTCAAAGAGGGGACAGAACTCAGTGACTGACCAGTTTGGTTGATGGTTGGAAAGAGGTGTCAGATACATCTGAGCTCCCAAGAATGGTGGTACCTGGAAGGGAGAGAAATCAGGAGGAGCCAGTTCTGAAGGGAATGTGGTCTCGGGTCTCAGTGGATACCAGGAGTTCAGGGGCGGGTGACTGGGTAACTTGGAAATACAGGACTGGGCCTTAGGAGTGTCATTAGGGCCAGGCCAAGAGGGGTTTTGGCATCATCTCCTGGATGGCCTTAGTGGATAAAACTGACAAGGCTGCAGAGTGGAGGGATATGCCAACACCCAGCCCTGGCTTGAACCTGTCCCTGTCCCTTGATGTTGGGAAGCAGAGATTCCCTGTCATGTCAGATGACTCAGAGGGGCCCTAGGATGCTGAGGCACCAAGTGAGGGCTGTCATTTACACACCGTCTGTCGATAACATTGGTACCAAGCAGTATAGGGTCTTTTATCCTGGAGATTCTGAACCTCTGTGATGGACCCCTGAGGTCCCCTCTACTATGACAGTCCCATTCTGAGGGGAATTTGGCCTTAATGCTTCCTCTTTGGCATAGCAAACTCTGCTTCCTCTTCTTCTGGAGAGGGTGCACAGAAATGTTTTCTCTAGTCTGTAACTATGGAGAGGTAATTTGTTTCTGGGAGGGAGACGAAGTAGGGCACCTTTAACTATTTGATCTGAGTTTTTGTCCTTGAATCATGTGGAATTACACATAGGGTTTATATACCCCCCCACCCCCCACCCCATGCAGCTGCAAGATTCTATCTGCCTTTTCTTCTCCTTCCATATGGGATTGACATCCCTGTAGGATCCAAGTGCTTGTGGAGTGAGGAGGACACTTTAGAAGGGCCTAGGGTGATGGAGCTAATGCAGAACTCCTTGTAACCTCTTAAGGTGTAGTGGCTGGCACTGAGGTTGGGGCTGTGACCATGGTGAGAGGTGCTCCGGGTCTGGGTGTGCCTCTCAGTCTTGTAGATGGCTTGGGCATGAGGGAGGGAGGGACTGACAGGAAGCAGGAAGACTCCATGTGTTTGGCATGGCCGCTTACTTGGAGAATGGCAGTGCCATTGCTGAGATGGAGAAGACCGGGGGCAGAGCAGGCTGGACACAGCAACAGCGAGCATCCCAGAAAATTGGGCATCACTTGAAGGGCTGGGTGTCTCATCCGGTTTCCTTTTTCTGAGCATGCTGCATATCACATGGGAATCTCTACAAGCAGAGGAGGAGAAGGTGGTTTCAGAAACAGCCCTTGGCCCTGGAGAAAGGCATCTTGTGTGAAGACGAAGGTGCCCTGTGGGAGGAGCTGTGTCCATCCCTCAGCGGTCTCCTCCATTGGGCCTCACAGAGGTACCTCAAGTCCCTGCACCTGTGGTATCATGGTTATATATGGAGATGGAACCCGGGGTTTCAGGTGAGGGAGTTTGACACTTCACTGGTTCATATGTGACATACTCCAGAGGTATTTGCGACCTGGTTTAGTCCTGACCCCTTTATTGTTCTCGTGGAGATACTTTCCTTCCTCTCTTCTTCTGTTTGAAACTAGGACTCCACATCTTGCCCTAGAATTGCCACCCACCTGTGTGACGCCTGGGCCTCCGAGTAGATGAGGCCAGAATCTCCAACAGTCACCTGCAGCTGGTGGGGATGGAGATCCTCTGCCTGCCTCCGGCCAAACAACAGCTTGAGTTTAATCAGTCCTTTGGCTGTCATAACAAGTCATGAGGGGCTTTTGTTTGTTTTCCAAAATTATTATTTTACAACATCTGGACTCTTTCTGCTTTGAAAACAAAACGAAAACCCTTTCCAAAGAAAATAAACATTTTAATGATAGCATTTTAATTTAAAAAATTACAGTAGAAAAAAATAAAATGAGGTTACTTTTTTAAATGTTGACAGAGAAAAAAATTCAAAACCCAAACTGGGTCAGACAGACAATAGTAGGAACAACAAGTTCTGCCTATGTCGGCTTGCAGCAGAGACCCAGTTAATCAAAAACAAATTGTATTTCCAAAAAGGGGGCGGAGGAGGAGCTTTGTGCACTTCCTTAGGATTTTCACATCGTGGGTAGTAACATAGTCAGATGGCAGATTTTTCTGTTTGGATTAAAGTTTCTATTTTCAGCAACCACTTCCCTGAAAGCATGCTGCTCCCTGACCCGAGGGTCTCATGAGCAGCCATCCTGGACGCAGCGCCACGTAGGGCCTGGGGAGCAGAAAGTCAGCTGAGTGCCCTGAGTCCCCATTTACACCCCCAGGCCCTCACCATTGGCTCTTCTTTTTAAAGCATTTACTCATGCTCTCGTCTGGATGATGTGGTTTCCAGGCCTCCAACCAGGAAGAAGCCGCACGTTTCCCTTGACAGGAAAATTGAAAGCTGATTACCTGGTGGCAAGTGAGGAAGGTGAGCCCATCACAGTGAATAGTTTGAAAACTGAAAAGGTGCAGCAAGCCAGGTGCGTTTAATAAGATCTGCAGTCCTGTGCATCCCAAGAGAAGGCACTTTGTACACAGTCACCTACCTGAGTCATGTTCATTTTCGTCCCCATATCAGAGATGAGCAGACAATGGAGCGCAGGGAAATGACCCTTAGGGGCACACAGTCATGGGCAGGGTTGGATCTGTACAGCATTTTAACTGTGTTGTGATTCTCTAGTTCAGAATTGTCTTTAAAATCAGGGAAGAATATACAGATGCTCCTCGACTTAACGATGGGGCTGCATCCCCACAAACTCATAAGTTCAAAATATCATATGTCACAAGTGCATTTTTTTTTTTGAGACAGAATCTTGCTCTGTCACCTGGGCTAGAGTACAGTGGCGCGATCTCAGCTCACTGCAGCCTCTGCCCCCTGGGCTCAAGTGATTCTCATGCCTCAGCCTCTTGAATAGCTGGGATTATAGGCATGAACCACCATGCCCAGCTAATTTTTGTATTTTCAGTAGTGATGGGGTTTCACCATATTGGCCAGGCTGATCTCGAACACTGACCTCACATGATCCGCGCGCCTCAGCCTCCCAAACTGCTGGGATTACCGGTGTGAGCCACCGACAACTGCATTTTTTACTTCTGATGTTTTGGTCTTATGATAGGTTTTTTGGGATGTAACACCATTGTAAGTTGAGAAGCATACTGAGTGAATTTCACACCATCCTAAAGTCGAAAAATCATTGAACTCTTGTAAGTTGGGGACTGTCTGTAGTACATGATAGAAAAATTTTCTCCTAGCATGGTTTGCTTTTTATGAAGTTTCTACCCAAGTTGTATCTCACTGGCCAGGAGCTGCTGCTAGAGATTTTCCTACTATAACATCTCTCTTGTCTGAAGGGGTTGGCTCTATTGATGTGCTACCCCTGGGAGGGCCAATGCATTAGGCCTTTACTCATTCCTGTCTTACTCATAGAATCGATCCTGCTTTCAGCTGGCTAGGAGGAGATCTCAAAGGGGTGAGAGAGCGGGGCTCTAGAGACCTGGGAGCCCTTTAGGGATGACTGGATTGGTGTGATCATGAAGGCAAGCACACTCAGGTCCCAGGGGGAGGTGAAAGCAGGAGCTGGCTCTAGAAAGGGTGCCCATGGGGCCTGTACAGGAAGCATAACTCTTGGACTGTCTTGTATCAGTTCGATATCTGAGGGACTCACTGGGAAAACAGAGCCTAGCCAGGACTCCTGTCCAGAGTGATAGCAGCTATGGTTTGCCAAGTACTGACTTTGGATCTTGCAGGCTATTGAGAATTCCCATTTAATAGATAAGGAGCCTGGGGCTGGAGGGGTCCTGGAGTCCAGTTCAGTTCTGCAGCACCTCCTACATGACAGAGCCAGCATTGGAGCCAGTGTCTCTGTTTTCTCCCCTGATATTATGGGCAATGGTTTTATCCTGGAGCTTCAGCCTGAAAGACCCTCCACCAGCTGCCCATCAGGTGGACGTGGTTGGCTGGTGGCGTCACATTTCCTCCTTAATTTGGATTCTGAGAACAGTCTTCTGTCCTTGAAGATTGGACAACACTTGGGGACTTCCAAGAACATGTTGGTGACTCCCTTTGCCCCTATGCTGGGTTCCCTGAGCCCTGTGTTTTTTGGAAAGGGTGAGCCCTTTTTTTGGATGTTGGTTGTGAGTGGGAACTGAGCCCCCTACGTGTCCAGGGAGCTACTTCGAGGGAGATGTGGCTTGTCTGCCTACCCCGACTTCCTGGTGACTGATGATCACACACCTCTCATGATACTAAGTTTTCCTCTTATTTTCAGCTTATTTACTAATCAGGATATATGTCTGGGTGACTGTTATTTTTCTATTTCTATTTTTTTTTTTTTTTTTTGAGACAGGGTTTCCCTCTGTCATCCATGCTGCAGCCTCAACCTCCCAGGCTCGAGATCCACTCACTTCAGCCTCCCAAGTAGCTGGGACTACAGGTGTGCACCTCCACGCCTGGCTAATTTTTGTATTTTTTTGTAGAGACAGGGTTTCGCTATGTTGCCCAGGCTGGTCTTAAACTTATGAGCTCAAGCAGTCTGCCTGCCTTGGCTTCCCAAAGTGCTGGGATTACAGCCTCAGCCCCAAAATAATGTCTTTTTAAAAGCACGGTTTAATTCTATCTGGGGAGGCAGAACTCTACATGGAGTGTAGAGTTCATATTCACCAGGTTAATGCCAGCTTCCCTAACATGGGATATTAAGCAGGAAGGAACTTTGAGTATAACATTTTGTTGATTAAGAATAAAGAAATTAAGATTAAATTTTATTGGGATTCACTTCTGGAATGGTGGTGTTAGGGGCTGTGTGGACTTGTTGCTCAGTGAAACAATAACTGATAAAAATTATTTTAAGAAAACAACCAAACTTGGAAATTTGCCGTATATCCTAAGGGCATACAGCACATGAAGAAACATTTATTCAAGAAAATCTGCTAGATCTCAGTAAGAATAGCAGATGTCTGTGGCACTTGAGCCAGAACCTGCTCCTTCCTTCTCTTTTCCCATCCGCTGCCCAGCTCAGCATGAGAGAAGCTATGAAGAGTGACCAAGAAGACTGGGTTCCCTTTCCCCTAAGTTCCCATCAAGGGCTATGGTATCTCCCCAGGAGGGCAGGCTGTCAGCATCCCCCTACCTCCAGCAAGGCTGCATGTTGCAGAGGCTAAATTCCAGGAGAATGTGGCTAGCCCCTACTCATAGGGCAGAGGTTCTACCTGAGGCTGAGAATAATGGGTCCCCAGTTGCCCTTTGTCAGTCCAGCTAGTTTGTAGGGCAGAGGTTCCATCCTTGGAGAATCAAGCCAAGAAGAGCAAAGGCTACTGCTCCCATCCAGCACCCTGTTCATAAAGTGGAAGTGTCACTCCGAGAGAAGTGGGACACAGTCTGTGCGCCCAGCTCTAGAACAGTGACTCCAACATTTTCCCAAGTAGGAGAGGTAGGCTATAATAACAGAAAGCTCTGAAGCTCTCTGAAAGATACTGACTTTGTTTATAAAAGTGTAGGGAAAGTTCAAGCCTAAGGGTGTTCTAAAAAAAAAAAAATGGAGAGTTTGGTGGTAATTAATAAGAGGCCGATAAGCAATAGGCAAAAGCTTGGGCCAGAGACCAGGAAAGAGACAGTAAAGAGTGTCTGGGATCAGAACAAACCTCAAACTCTGACATCAAAAACTATCCCTGTGAAAGGTCTCCATTTAATTAGATAAAATGTAGAACAATGTATGCCCTAGGCAGTTGTCAAAAACAATAGAGCAATCAGGCAGCAATTAGTGGGGTCTAACAGCTGGGTATGAAAACACCAGAGGCAGACAGCTTAACAAAGAGATTAGGGAAGATACAGACAGCCCTGATAAAATGATTGTCATCCCAGAGAGAATGTGTGTTCACTCAAGGCTGTGCCCCCATGAGGAGCAAAATCAGAGGTTGGGTGGGGAGGGGAATATACTTCACCACAGGAGTCCAGCCAAGTCATTGAAAAAATAAGCAAACAAAAACAAGCCCTGGGATAGAGGGGCTTGTAGTATCCAGAGTTGCTACAGTGTCTTAGCTAAGATGTCATTTTCAACACAAAATTATAAGATATGCAAAGAAATAATGACAGAAAAATGGGTATGACAGAAAAAAAGCAGGCAACAGAATCTTCCTGGGAGAGGACACAGATGTTGGGCTTAACAAAGACTTTAAAACTGCTATTATATTTGTTCCACTGGTCTACGTGTCTATTTTTATACCAGTACCTTACTGGTGCCCAGAAATAAATTTATACATTTGTAGCCAACTTATTTTTGACAAAGGTGCCAAGAACAGGCAATGGGGAAAGGACAGTGTTGTCAGTGAAGAGTCAAACTCTGTAAAATATTTGAAGAGATTTATTCTGAGCCAAATATGAGTGACCAGCCCCAGGAGATCCTGAGAACATGTGCCCAAGGTGGTCAGGCTACAACTTAGTTTTATATGTTTTAAGGAGACATAAGATATCAATCAGTACATGTAAGATGTATATTAGTTTGGTCCGGGACAACTTGAAATGATGGGACTTCAGCTTATAGGTGGATTCAGAGATTTTCTGATTGACGGTTGAAAGTGTTAAGTTATTACCTGAAGACCTGGAATCATAGAAGGGATTGTTTGGGTTAAGATAAGGGGTTGTGGAGACCAGGGTTTTATCATGCAGATGCAGCTTCCAGGTAGTAGGCTTTAGAGCTCTTATACGACCTAAAATCGTGCCAGACTCTTAGTTAATTCTCTCCCGGGTCAGGAAAAAGACCTGGAAAGGGAAGGGGATTCTCTACAGAATGTAGATTTTTCCCCACAAGAGACAGCTTTGCAGGGCTACTTCATAGTATGTCAAATAAATATATTTTGGAGTAAAATATTTTGATTTCTTTCAGGGCCTGCTATCTGTCATGTGATGCTATACTGGAGTCAGGCTGGAATCTGGTGTCTTATTACTGCAGAGAGTCAGTTTTAAGATCTCTGTTTTATCAGTCTTAAGGCCTCTGTTTTAATGTTAATGCTGGTCAATTGTGCCTAAATTTCAAAGGGAGGAGGGTATAAATGAGACATGTCCAACCTCCTCTTCCCATCATAGCCTTAACTAGATATTCGGGTTTACTTTGAAATGCTCCTCTCCAAGAGGAGGGGTCCAGTTCAGTTGCTTGAGGGGCTTAGAATTACATTTTTGGCTTATAGTCTCCAATAAATGCTGTTGAGAAAATGGGATATCCACGTACAGAAGAATGAAATTAGACCCTTATTTCTTACCATATACAAAAATTAACTCAAAATCAATTAAATACTTAAATATGAGAACTGACACTATGAAACTGCTGAAGAAAACATAGGTGAGGCGCTTCAGGACATTGGTACGGGCAAGGCTTTTTGAATAAGATCTCAAAAGCACAGGCAACAAAAGCAAAAATAGAAAAATGGCATTACATTAAGCTAAAAAGCTTCTGCACAGCAAAGGAAACAACAAAGTGAAAAGACAAACTGCAGGATTGAAGAAAATATTTGCAAACTATACATTAGACAAGGGGTTAACATCAGAAACATACAAGGAACTCAAACAACTCAATTGCAGGAAACAATCCAATTTAAAAATGGGCAAAAGACCTGAATAGACATTTCCCAAAAGAAGACATGCAAATGGCCAACAGGTATAGGAAGAAATGCTCAACATCACTAATCATCAGGGAAATGCAAATTAAGGAAACAGCTGTAAAGTGAGGAAGAAGCTTGGGGCCTGGAGTTTATAATCTGGGGTTGGAGTGTCCTGGTTCTACTGCTATCTGCTTTATGACCTTGAGCTGGTTGCTTTTCCCTCTCTGACACTGGGTTTCACATGTGGCTCTGAGCACTCAGTGAAATTATCACTGGGAAGTGCTTGATGGAAGCTCTTTTCCACCCTACTCTTAGCAGGTCAGATATGGGGAGGAAAGAGAGGGAGTTAGGTTTCTCTGCTTCACTGTTGATATGGACTTGGTGCCCTGTGTCCCAGCCGCTCTAGCCGTGGCTGAAAGGGGCCAAGGTAGAGCTCAGGCTGTGGCTTCAGAGGGTGCAAGCCTCAACCTTGGCAGCTTCCACATGGTTTTGAGCCTGCCAGTGTACAGAAGTCAAGAATTGGGGTTTGGGAACCACTGCCTAGATTTCAGAGGCTGTATGGAAACTCCTGGGTGTCCAGGTAGAAGTTTGCTGCACAGGTGGGGCCCTCATGAAGAATTTCTGCTAGGGCAGTGCAGAAGGGAAATGTGGGGTGGGAGCCCCCACACAGAGTTCCTATGGGGCACCGCCTAGTGGAGCTGTGAGAAGAGGACCACTGTCCTCCAGAGCCCAGAATAGTAGCTCTACTGATGGCTTTCACTGTACACACCTGGAAAAGCCACAGACACTCAACGCTAGCCCATGAAAGGAGCCAGGAGGGGGACTATACCCTGCTGGCCATTTGCACATCTTCTTTTGGGAAATGTCTATTCAGATCTTTTGCCCATTTTTAAATTGGATTATTTGTTTTCTGCAGTTGAGTTGTTTGAGTTCCTTGTATGTTTCTGACGTTAACCCCTTGTCTAATATGTAGTTTGCAAATATTTTCTTCTGATTTTGTCTTTTCACTCTGTTGATTGTCTGCTTTGCTGTGCAGAAGCTTGGGCGCAACTGCCCAAGGCTGTGGAAGCCCACCTCTTGCATCAGCATGACCTGGATATGAGACATGGAGTCAAAGGAGATCATTTTGGAGCCTTAAGGTTTGACTGCCCTGTTGGATTTCAGACTTGCCTGGGACCGGTAGCCCCTTTATTTTGGCCAATTTCTCCCATTTGGAATGGCTGTGTTTACCCAATACCTGCACCCCCATTGTATCTAGAAAGTAACTAACTTGCTTTTGATTTTACAGGCTCATAGGCAGAAGGGACGTGCCTTGTCTCAGATAAGACTTTGGACTGTGGACTTTTGAGTTAATGCTGAAATGAGTTAAGACTTTGGGGGACTGTTGGGAAGGCATGATTGGTTTTGAAAATGTGAGGACATGAGATTTGATAGGGGCCAGGGGTGGAATGATATGGTTTGGCTCTGTGTTCCTACCCAGATCTCATGTTGAATTGTACTCCCATAATTCCCATGTGTTGTTGGGGGGACCCTGTGGGAGATAACTGAATCATGGGGGGTGGATTCTCCCATACTGTTCTCATGATAGTAAGTCTCATGAGATCTGATGGTTTGATGAAGGGAAACTCATTTCACTTGGCTCTCATTCTCTCTTGCTTTCTGCGATGTAAGATGTGCCTTTTGCCTTCTGCTATGATTGTGAGGCCTCCCCAACCACATGGAACTGAGTCCATTAAATCTCTTTTTGATTGTAAATTACCCAGTCCTGGGTATGTCTTTATCAGCAGCATGAAAACGAACTATTACAACTGTGCATCCTCTGCAAGCAGAAGCAGGCTCTTCTGGCTCTTGGCCTCTCACTGGCAACACTCACCAATTCAGGTGCTGGATTTGGGTGGTGATAAGATGGAAGATGCAGATACAATCCATAAAGCACTGTGTTAAGGACTGAATTGTGTCTCTCCTTCAGATTCATATGTTGAAGTACTAACCCCCAATGTGACCGTATTTGGAGATGGCGTCTGTAAAGAGATAATTAAGGTTAAATTAGGACATAAAAGTAGAACCCTAATCTCATAGAACTGGTGTCCTTATAAGAAGAGACCTCATGAAAGAGATGACAGAGAAAAGGCCATGTGAGGACACAGCTAGAAGGTGACTGTAAGCCAAAGAGAGTGGCCTCACCAGGAACTGAATCAGCTGGCATCTTGACCTTGGACTTCCCAGCCTCCAGGACTGTAAGAAAATAAATATCTATTGTTTAAGCCCCCTAGTCTGTGGGATTTTGTTATGGCAACCTGAGCAGACTAATCCACATGTCTAATGTGGAATCTCAATGCTCTTTTTGCCAATTCTGCCCCACTGAGGAACTAGGAAAGCAGTCCCACTCAAAATTATAAAAGCACAAGCATGAATGATGATTACAAATAAAAAAGACTGTTTTGGAGATTGTCTTCTTTCTACCCTTCTTCATATATGTTTGCTGACCAGCCTGGTGACAGAAGCCATCTGTCAGCCTGCTGTGGAGTCGGGTTGTGAGCACGGTGATACAGGGGAACAGAATCGCATGTCAGCAGTTATCCCAGAAATGCCAGGTTTGCTTCAGATTTTGATTTCCTCCCTGTTTCCTCCCCTCAAACAGTGGTGGTGGATCATCAAACAGTATTTTTAGAACTGCTTTGCAGCTTCCCTGTAGAAACCTTTCCTCACTACATGGTTTAATCCTCTCATCTAGCCTTGTTTAAGATCTGCAGAATGCTATATTTGTTTAACTTTATTTGAGATTTCAAGGCTTTTCTGAATGTTGCTCCAAGTAATCTGATGAATGCAGAACTCCAAAATTTATGCCTTAAAAGGCTTAACTACTGATATGTTTGGAGGCTTACTTATTTTCTCCCTTTATTCTAAACCACACAGGGCAGGGCAGCTAAAAAATCCCCTTGGAATTAGTGTCAGAAAGTCCCTTTTTAAAAATTAATAAACTTAAATTTTTTTAGAGCAGTTTTAGTTCACAGACAAATTGAGTGGAAAGTACAGAGAGTTCCTATATGTCTCTTATCTTCACACATAAAGTCTTTTAATTGGGCTATCGTAACTTTCAAGGACAAAAGGACAGTATTCTCCTTTATGGAGAAGTAGTAAGTTTCTTGGCTAGATTGACGGCCTTCAGTGATGGTAGGGGAGGGTGCAAGTGTCAGGCTAACTGACCAGCCTGCAGCTGGAGTGAACCTGAGCCCAGGGTCCAGCAGGGTGTACTTGTGTCCGTGGGTCTGGCGGAGCCATATAAGATGTCAGTGGCAGACTCATATCTAATTCCGGGGGAAACCTTCCCAGTGGTCACAACCTCAGGCCGTGTCATTCTCCAGAGAGAATGTGTCATTTAATCCTAACTCCTACCTTTTTAAGGTAGTTTTGCCCGTGTATCTCATTTGACCCTTAGTAAGGCCTAGTGTCATTTAACTTAGTAACTTGTGGTATACAGAGTCCTCACGCATGCTTTCTTACTTGAGATTGCAGCGAACTTCTAAGGTGGGAATATTATCCCCACTTTATGACATGGGGTGTGAGCTGAGAGCCAGAGGTTCCAACAGCCAGCAGCTGGTTGGTGTCTGTTTGATGATCCGCCACCACTGTTTGAGGGGGGAAAATAGGGAGGAAATCAAAATCCAGCTGTGGATGGAGATGGCGTGCTGTCCTCCATGCATCCTGCTCCAGGTCCATTGTCTCCCAAAGGGCATGTCTGCTGTTCCAGAGAAAAGTCATTCAGTGATACTTGTGAAAACATATGAATAAAGGAAGACTTTATCCAGGACCATCACAATAGGTATGGGGACCACAGCAACGGGCTTGCAGTGGTGGGGGGAGATTGGGCTCAACTCCCAATACAGCACGGGCAAGTGGGAATTTGTAGTCTAGGAACAGGGTAGGGGGTCAGTGGATGGGAACTTACTAAGAGGAAACATTGAGAGTAAAGTGGATTCTGGCTAAACCCACCTAACAGGATTCTTGCTAAACTGGCCAGGACAATCAGACATCACCTAGGGAATGGTGGTAGAGGAACCTAATCAGATATTGAGGAGGGGAGGTTTTTGCTAAACTGGCTCAGCAGGGTTCTTTGCTAAAACTGGATTTTACAAAGAAGTGCACAGATGGGCCTAGAAGGTTCAGGAACCTGACTCTAGTTTGGCCAAGCAGAAAATCTTTGTTACTGCCACTGGTGGAATGGCTGCAAGCCTTATATTTGAAGAGTTAAATTTGTTTTATATATACTTAAATACTTAGCTAGTTTAAAATATTCCATATAGTAAATTTAAGTTAAAAAATGTGTTTAGGCCAGGTGCGGTGGGTCAGGCCTATAATCCCAGCACTGGGATATTTTTGGGAGGCCGGGGCAGGCGGATCACTTGAGGTCAGGAGTTTGAGACCAGCCTGGCCAACATGGTGAAACCTTGTCTCTACTAAAAATACAAAAATTAGCTGGGTGTGGTGGCATGTGCCTGTAGTCCCAGCTGCTCGGGAGGCTGAGGCAGGAGAATCGCTGAGGCAGGAGAATTGCTTGAACCCGGGAGGTGGAGGTTGCAGTGAGTCGGGATTGTGCCACTGCACTCCAGCCTGGGCAACAGAACAAGACTTTGTCTCAAAAAAAAAATGTATTTAAAGAAAAACCTGTGGACCACAGTACAAGGTCATGGTAGAAGCAATGATTTCCTGAGTGTCAGTAGTTCAGGAAATACTGTAGTAGTATCCATGCTAGCTTCGGGAGGTGACAGTGGAAGTCAAAGTCCTGCCCCTTTCCAGCCTTGCTGGTTGTACACAGAATGTTGAGGTCAAGAACCCCCCCAGCCCCCCATTCTCTGAACCTTGATGCCCTCACTGAGGCAGGGAGTAATGATTTCCCTATGGTGGGGCAGGCCTTGTTTTTAGGAGCAAATGACAAAACAGAATAAACACCATTGTTACCATTTGGGGCACTCCACCAGCACAGAATCATAGACTGGGGGAGGGAGGTGAGGGCTGGGGAAAGGGACCACATCTGGCAGGGGGCACTGAAGTGCCTAGTTTGTGATTTCCCTGGAATTTGATAAATTAAAACCTGGACCAGGTCAAGAGCCCAGGGGCTCCAACTCTACATCAGTTGCGTTTCCATCACATTTATCTGCGTCTCACTAGTGGTTGAAGAACATGTCTGGCCCCTGCACTGCTGAGCTGAGCAGTGCTGTGAAGCGTTCAGCAGCATTAGTGTTAGTCTTGGCCTGTGCAGGTTTCTCTGACTGATCCTGTGGGTATCTATGACCTCAGTTATCTTCGTACATCAGTGCCCACCTGCTCCCAGGTACACTGTTCTGGAATGATGTGAATTTGTTCACACCTTCCTAGTGGGTGTGCATCTGGCCATCCAAGAGTCTGGTCCTCACGGAACCCTGGTTATGGGGCCAGATGATAGTCCTGAGGGCATTAGGTGATACCTGTGTTCTCCTGGGCTGGCTGAGTTCTCCAGATGAGAGAGAGCATTCCTTCTGCCAGAGGCCTGCCCACAGTGGCTCCACTGTCAGTGTCCTGGTTTGCATGTACAGAGGCAGGGCTTGAAGTTGGGTGGTAAGTGGGGGCTTGAGGTGGCTACATGTTGGTTTACAGTTTTTAGTTTTTCTATAGGTTTCTTCCAGTGGGAGATGGGAATACTTCTAAAAAATGAATTCCAAAGTCACATTTTCCCTGATCTCTTTATTTCCCAGCTACCAAGAGTGTTTTAAAAAATGTAAAAGCACACATAGAGATTTTAATTAGCTTTCACTGTCACTGCTCTTGGTGGTGGTAATTTTACATATGATATGTGACAGGGAGACACTTTGTGAGGGCCTTTGTTCTCAATGTATTCTCTCCCTCTCATAACTCAGATGTAAAATTTGGAGAAAGAGATAATGGTGAAAGTACCTCAACATTGTCTTATTTTCACATTGATATTCCTACTCGTTAGCATTTTCCATGGAAACAGCACCACAACCAGATTAGGAATCTTTCTGGAACAAAGGGAAAATAGTTCTTGTGACTTTTGTGAGCAGTCTCACTACTGCATTGTTTATGGGTGAGGTCACCAAGGAGACCTAGCTCAAAGGCAAAAGATGGCCCTGCTCTAAGGGTTTTATTAATAGACCTGAAATTGCTTGCCCTCTTGAATTACCCAAGTGGTTTTAGTTTCTTTTGTTGTTTTTGAGTTATTGGATTTTATTTTATATTTGCAGAATCAGTGCTTCCTTCAGAGATAGGGAGTTTGGACGGACTAGGTTTAGTTGTGCTGATGACAAATGGACCTTTAGAACCCCTGGAGACCTCCTGGGACAAACGAGTTGCCCTTTATGTGTTGGTCGTGAATGTTGCCTGTTCATGTGGTGGTGGGTGCCATCTTGACCCAGCTTTGCCAGGTCTGAGCAGGGGTCTGTCTTTGCTGGTGAGAAGGGATGCTCATTGCAATTCTTGTGGGCAGGTTCCTCCCTGGTTTGCCCCAAGTGAGAAAGAGATTTGTCTTCAAAAGCCCAGTAGGAGAGTCCAAGAGAGTACCAGGACTTTTGAGATTGGTTTGAACAATTGAGATCCTAGGGAGTTCTTCACTGCCTGCAAGCTAAAACCCAGCTCTGTGGTCTGGTGTTAAAGGATCTCCAGAATTGACCTCGTCCTGGCTCTCCAGCCCCATTCTCTGTCCTTGATACACAAGACTTTCCTGTTTCCTGAGTGAGTGCTTGTTGCTGGATGCACCTGTGCCTGTTCCTTTTGAAGTCAGATCAACTCGCACCTCATCTGGATCATCTTTTGCCAGATTTCAAGCTTCTTCCTTGCCTCTGTAGCAGCATGGGGCATGCATCTCATTTTGTCTTGGAGTTGTGTTATCTGAATGTTTTACTCCATCATTAAACTGTTGGATTCTTGCAGGCAGAGATCACTTCTGATTCACTTGTGTGTTCACTGTAAGTGCCTAGCTCAGTACTTGTTGAACAGATGAATGGACAGTTCCAGATTACAGACTCCTTTGGACACTCTCATCAGAAGGCATTTCAGGTCATCAAACCAGGCTTGCGTGACAGGATGACAGAGACTCCTTCTCCTGCAGGCAGGGCTCCTGTCTTCTGCCCTGGTCCCTTCCCTATTAGCCTGATCTTTGCTGCTGGTTGAGAAGAGGTGCCACATGAGAAGAAGGCAGATGTTGCTGTTGAGCATGAAGGTGCTGCGTGTCAGTTGGCACTTGTCCCTACATGGTTGAACTTACTCAACCACAGCTCTGGTGGGTAGCTACAGAGCACTGCCCAAGGAAGGGCATGGGCCTCAGAGGCACAGCTTATTGCACTCTTTTAAAAACTGCATTTCTTTTTGAGGTTTCATTATTCCAGCCACTGTCAGCTTTGCAATAAAGAGCTGTGGTCAGTTCACTGTGGAAGAGGCCCATGGAGGACTGCCAGTGGGGGTCCTCCCTCACCAAACACGGAACGCTGAACAACCAGCAACACAGCCGAGTAGCTGAAGCCATAGAACCCTCTCTCCAGGAAGGTCCTATATAAACATCAGGACTGCTTGCTGCCCTTTTGATTTGTTTTAATGAGAATAGGGAAGACTGAAGTCCTTTTGTGTCTCTGCTAAGTGTTCACCCCAACACTGAATGTTTCAAACAGGATTCCATTTTCACAGCTAAAATAAACAGGTTATACACCACTTTGCCAGAGATCTACATGTAGTAAAGTTGCTGAATGTGTGACCACTTTGTGTTTCCATGGGACCTAGAGGACCAAGATGTCTCTCCCTGATTTCAGTTTGTTGTTGAGGAAGCTAGAAACAGCATTGTAACGTTGGTGCTGCCACTTGGAGGCCTTGGGCAGGTCATCCCCAGTCTCCTGGCTTACTGCCTGGTTTCTAAAATAGCATTGTCTTCCCGGCATTTCATTGATCTGTGATGGTTGCTTCACATTTATAGCCCTTTATGGAATTTTGTTGCTACTCAGAAAATTTTTTATTTTCTCGTGAAGCCAATTTTGACACTTGCGAATTAGAAGGCAGGCTTTCCTAGTGCTTAGAAAAATAAACAGAGCCTGCCTGACTCCACTTGTCTGAAGCACGTTATTATTAACTTTCAACTTATTATCAGTTCTGCTCTTAACGTGGCGCTGTAGAAGGAAATGATGTGTGTGGTGTTAATCTTCAGTGCCTCTTCAGGCCCACGTGCCATCCTGCTGAAGGTGCAGGACTGGCAATGGCAAGGGGGATCTACAGCTTTGGCTGGCCTTGACATTCTGCATCATGTGATTGAGCAAGCCTGAGACCATCTTACCAGATTCACTCTAGGCTCTCTGTCTTTTCTTTGTTTTCCCAAAGCTCTGTTAGCATGGACTTTTGAAAGTTGCCTGAATATTAAAGTACTATACTAATAACTTGCTTTCTAGTAAACAAAACCAAAAGTTGGCTTAATGGTTGCTCACTGACCTGGCATAAACTAGAACACAAAGCTTCCCATTTAGAAAAGGTTCAGGCAGCCTCCTGCTGGGATCTGCCCAACCCCTCTAGGAGGTGGCATGGATGCCCACCTCTTCTTCCAAGGGTGCACTTTGCCTTTAGGTTTGGGGAAAAGTACTGGGCGAGCCTTTGGGACTGTTGTGTCTCATGAGTGGGCTGACCTTGGTGGAGGCTTGCGTTTCCCATGTGGGGCCTGACTTTTTATGTGTCCAGCCAGAGTGATGAGCTCGTTCACTTTCCCTGCAGTGCTTCCTTGTTGAACCTGAAAGAGAGGACGTGGGAGCTTTTGTAGGAGAGAGAGGACACATGCTTTATTCTTGAACTGTGAGGTGTATGTCACCAGAGAGAATTGGAGACAGCGGTGACTGTTTCTCAAAACAGCTTGCACACTCTTCCCTTACCAAATTAGGATTGAGTAAAACCTGTTGGTAATAGTAAATAGAAGGAAGTTACAAATAAAACACAGTAGTCATAAAAGCAGAGCAGAGGAGCCCTGCTCACAGAGCCAGCCGTCACCACAGACGCCTGGGCTTGAGTTGTGTCTTGCTGATTCAGCAGGAGGGTGCATTTCCCCTTCCACTTTCCTGTTGAAATATATTATTTCTGTACAATATTTATAGAATCCCTGTCTCCACCATTAGAAATACAGAATATTCTTGCT
Organism: Homo sapiens; assembly: GCF_000001405.40. Classification (NCBI taxonomy): domain Eukaryota; kingdom Metazoa; phylum Chordata; class Mammalia; order Primates; family Hominidae; genus Homo; species Homo sapiens. Next base: position 98,505,850 of record NC_000002.12, read on the forward strand.
TTTTCACTTTGCTATTAGTTGATATTGTTGGCTAGGTTTTGTCTGTTTATCCTGTTCACAAATTTTTGTTTTTTAAACTTTATTTTTTAACTATTTTTGACAGAAACAATAACAATATTTCTTCGAGGGGTTTAATTTCAGCTTAATTTAAGAAAAGAAAATCAAACATGAATGATACAAAAAAGAATCTGCTCTCATCCTAAAGTTCTGCCTTTTGCTTCTCTAGGAAGCCCTGTTTCCTGACTAGAATTTAGTGTTGCTTGATGGGAAAAGCTGGAGATGGAGTCAGAGACTGAGTAACCACAGGAGATGCTTATGAAGACATGGGTGGGGACAGGGCGGGACATAATGAGGAACTCTACAACTGAAAAAGATGATGCCTTTTATTAGCATTTGGTAGTAGTCGAATTAATGTGCTCTGCACTCTCTTCTGCATATCGGAAAGAGCACTGGACTAGTAAGGCCTGCCTTTAGGTCCTACTTCTGCTGCTGCTGCTGACCTTGAGGGAGCCCCTCTACCATTGTGAGCCTGGCTCCCAGGCATCAAACTAGAATAGCTGTCTCTCCCAGCCCAGCGGTGTGGTGTGAGGACCAGGCGAGTCAAAACATGTGGGCAGCATTTGCAAGCTGTGTTGTTGTTGCTCACACTTATATTTCTTCCCCCTTGAGATTTTTTACCTACAGAGACCTCTAGACAAGGTGTTTCCTCCCATGGAGACCAGATGAGGCAGGTGAGCGGGCAGAAGGCACCTTGGCCTGAGAAGTTCTTGGTCTCCTCCTCTCTTGACCCTCTTCTGTGGATTGGAAACATTGTGAGAAACTACGTCCCTTGCTTGCATTGGCAGCAGACACTGTTGAAGTCCTGGGAGAACACGATGCTGTGAACAGACCGAGGGGAGGAATGGTGGCTGCTCCTCACAAGAGGAAGGGGTCCTGGGCACATTTGGACTTTGCCTCCTGGAGTGGCCCACAATGCGGGCACTCCCCTGTGGCAGGGAGGGGGAGTCAAGGAAAGGAACTCAGCATTTTCAGGGCTGCATTTTCACACAGCAAGCCCTAAAGCTGCGTTTGTTTCCTGAAACAATCTTGATTTCATTCAGAGGAGGAAAACGACATTTTGGAGAGTCTGCGGTCTGGGGTGCTTTGATCCTCGTTCACAGTCCAGGGAGGTGTAGCCACATCCCCCTCCTCTGCCCTGCTTGGCAACTCACTTTTTTGTGGAATGGTGGCCGCTGGCCACTGCTGTTTTGACCAAATAGCTGGGTGGACCCTGAAGGGGCCATTCTGGCCATTTCTGGCCTCAGGCTGGGTGACGGTAGAGGATGTAGTGTCAAGGTTATGCGTGACTGATCCTTTCTGTAAAACAGCCCATCCCATCCCTCACATTAAAGGAATATAAACCCGAGTTCATTTGTGTTGGGGTTTGCTTGTGTTAATTTATAGATCACTTTTTTTCTAATTGTTTAAATGTTCTAAACAAAAGAGTTTATGACTAATTATGTGTTTATGTTGTGTGTCTGATACAATGTAAAGCCATCTAGTTAACATGAGAGTTATTTGACCATTCTGTTTAAAGTTTAAGAAACACGTGCTGTAGGGAAATCTCCATTTGGTTACTGAAAGTTGTGATGGATTGAAGGGGTGGTGGTGCTCCACTGCTTTGTGGGAGCTTTCTCCCACCCAAGCTCATGGGTAGTGTTGAAGCCCCCATGCTACAACGTGACCCCCACCCCCAGCCTGGGGGGCCTGGCTCAAGCTGGAGAGAACTGGGAGAGCACCCATGCAGGCGGCCTCTGGTGGCTGGAGCTGGAGAGTTTCAAGTTGGGGGCTGTCTCAGCTCCCACCATGTGGACTGGCTCATTTGCAGAGTGGGAGGATGATGGACATGGGTAAGCAGAGGGGAAGGGCCACATTTGCTGCCAGCCTTGGAGTCAATGGGCCAGCTCAGCCATGTTCCTGCTGAGGTGTTTAGCTCAGCCCAGACTCCTGAGACAAATACGCCTTTCTGCCTAAGCTCACCCCCCTGCACAGCGTCCTGGCTGCTCTATATAGTGTCTTAGCCAGGCTAGCAGGAGTTCCCATGACTGTCCTTACCATGATGGCATCGTCACTGCATCCCCTGGGTTGAGGGGGTGGGTGGTGAGGGCATGGGGTGAATGCAAAACACTGTACGGCAAGGCAAAGGACATTGCTGTGGCTGGGATGTGGGCCGCCCACTTTGCATTCTGTCCTGAGAAGCCATGAGCAGCTGCAGCCACACCTCTCCTGAAAGGGAAGAAGGAGAGAAGCAGAGCTCGGGTTAGAGGCTGTTCTAGTGGCTGGGGCAAGTCAGGGTCCAGCTTCCAGGTGGCCAGCTCTGGGCAAGGGAAGCAGGAGCAGGCACCAGGCCAGGCCTGACAGCTTTGTGTTTGGGTGGAAGAAGAAAAGGGAAGAGAAATCACCATCTTTGGCAATGAATAAGGCACACCCAGCCTGCTTTGGGGTTTAGAGCCTCCTGCACTCCCGCCTCCACCATAGAGGAGCCAGACTGGGTTCATGCTCCACAGTCTTCCAGCTGCGTCTCCTGGAATGAACCTTTGAGTAACAACTCTGAGTGAGTGATGATACCCCCCTTATTGTGGACCCACACTCAGAGATAAGCCCAACTCACAGGTCACGGGGAAGCCCGTGTCCTTATCTCTTCAGTTCCCGGCCCTCTTGGAGCAGCATGTCTCCTTTGATGAGGGGGTTGAAATACTGGATGCTTTCCTCGGTCCTTTCATACACTTATTCAGAAATTTATGTGACACGCTGGAAGGACTTCCTGGACAACAGACGGGCAAACTTTCAGTTAATTGTGTGAGGGCTTCAAGTGGTTTCAAGTGACAATGGAGTAAGAAATGAGACTTGTCAAAGTCCTTGCCTGTTGTAGGAGAGAGAACCGCGCTGCTCCTGGTGCACGCTGACTGCAGTCCTAACCACGCAGCTCTGACAGCAGACCGCCATGTACAGTGTTCCTGTTGTCTTTGTCTGTGGTATTGTGAAATTGATGTGGTAATCAAATGACGAATGAGGCCTGGTGCGCGGGAGTGAGAGGGGTCATGTATGGGAACACTGGGTTGATTCACCTCAAGAAAAAGCCCCAGAATCCCTGGCTGCAGAACCCAGGGGTGCCGCTGCCTGGAAAGGACAGAGTAGCAAGCCAGCCCCTCACCCAAGGGAAGGCTTCAGAAGAGGCTTGGCCCCCACCATTGTGGGCCTCAGGTTGTCTACCATTCATCTTTGTTACACTTTGTGATGTAGCTCTGGACCAAGCCTCTTATCATCTTTGTATCCCTAAGGCCTGCTCCATAATAGACCCTCAACTGTTTGTTAAAGCAGGAGTCCACAGTCCCCGGGCTGCAGACCAGTACTGGCCTGTGGCCTGTTAGGAACTGGGCTGCACAGCAGGAGGCGAGTGGCAGGCATTACTGCCTGAGCTCCACTTCTTGTCAATCAGCGGTGGCATTAGATTCTCGTAGGAGCACAAACCCTGTTGTGAACTGCGTATGTGAGGGATCTGGGTTGCGTGCTCCTTATGAGAATCTAACTAATGCCTGATGATCTGAGGTGGAACAGTTTCGTCGCGAAACCACTCCCCTTGACCAGCCCCCCAAAATTGTCTTCCACAAAACCAGTCCCTGGTGTCAATAAGGTTGGGGACTGCTGTGTTAAAGAGATTGCCAGTTTACAGAGAAGAAACAGCATGAGGTGCAGAAGCAAGAAATTGGAGGTGCTGAAGAAAGAGTGGCTGAAGTGTGTGGTGTGGAAGGCAGTCGGCAGATCCCCGCCCACCCCAGGCTGCTCCTGGCACCTCCCAGACATTGCGCTTGTGATTATTGACACATCTCACTCATCTCCCAGATTGTGAGCACCTGTTTTGCTCAGCACAAACATTTTAAAGCACTTTTTTCAGGGCAACTTATTTTCAAACTGCTTCTTACAGAAAATCCCCTGAACGTTCATGGTATATGGGTGAACCACAAGGAGCTGAGCTGCAGTTGTAAACTGGGCTGTCCCAAAGAACTCCAGGAGAAGCTGGGAACCAAGAAGGACATAAAAGAAGTGAGGGAATTGCCTGCCTTGTTATCTGAGGAAGGGCAGTCCCAGAGAGGGTGGCTGATGCAAAGGCCACACCAGATAAAAGTCTAAACAGCAAAGAGGCCAGGGCAGGAGCAGGATGAAGACACTGCTAGGAGGTTCACAGGCCCCGTCATTGCAGTTGGACACAGACTGTGAGGACTGTGGGAGGGACGCTGGTCAAATTCCCAGGGTATGGGAGTTGGGGTACTAAGGGAGTTGAAGTCGTACTTGTGGGGAAGATAGAGCTAATAGAGTTGTCAATGGATTGGATGTGGGATGTGAGAGGAGGAGGAGGCCAGGATGTTATTTCTTGCCTGGAGCAAGTGGAAGGACAGAACTCCATCTACTGAGATGGGAAACCTTGAGGGGCTGGTGAGGTGAAAGAGGAAGGCTGGAACGGTCTGGGCTTGTTCTGCTCCTGGAGCATCCTCCTCTGCCCTCTTGTTTACAGGGATATCCATGTCCCTATCCAAGGTATCTCAGTCAGTTCAGGCTGCTATAACAAAATAACTGAGACTGGTAAACAGCAGAAATGTACTTCTTAGACCTGTGGATGTTGGGAAGGCGCTGGCATTTAGGGTCTGCTGAGGGCCTTCTTGCCATGTCCTCACATGACAAAAGGTGAAGGGCAAAAAGGGCCTACCTAGTTCCCTCCAGCCCTTTCATACAGCACTAATCCCACCTATGAGGCCAGAGCCCTCAGGGTCTAATCACCTCCCAAAGGCCCCGCTTCTTAATACTATCACATTGATGGCTACATTTCAACATAAGGAATTCTGGGGGACACATTCAGACTGTAGCACAGTGACTGACTCCCTCCATTGGAGTCTGGGATGTGCATTTGTATTCTGGTTCAGGCCCTGTATTATAGTAGTAAGCATATTTATTAAACTAATGAGGCATGTCAGTTAAGTAAATGAAGTTAACTCATTGCCATTGCTGCCTGTCCATCATCACTGGCAGACAGTAGGGCTTGGGAAATGGAAAGCCAGAGATAAATGAACATCTCCCAGTGAGCACAAGCTCGGGGGCCCTAAGTCAGGTCATTTGTGTCTGCAGGTGAGAAGGGATACGCATTGCCAGCATGTTACTTCTCTTCCTGTGCTTGATTCAATTTTTTTTTTTTTGAGATGGAGTCTCGCTTTGTTGCCCAGGCTGGAGTGCAGTAGTGCGATCTGGGCTCACTGCAACCTCCACCTCCCGGGTTAAAGCGATTCTTCTGCCTCAGCCTCCCAAGTAGCTGGGACTACAGGCACGTGCCACCACGCCCAGCTAATTTTTTGTATTTTTAGTAGAAAGGGGTTTCACCACGTTGGCCAAGATGGTCTCGATCTCCTGACCTTGTGATCTGCCTGCCTTGGCCTCCCAAAGTGCTGGGATTACTGGGCCCCTGTGCTTGATTTTTCTAAAGCACATTACTTTCCTGTATTTAAGCCCTAGCAGCGTTGGATGGATGTTTTGCAGCATGCTTGGGTGTTAAGTGTCCTTTGAGTCAGAGCTTTACTCACAGTGACCCTCTCCTGCCCTGTGCAGGTATAGAGAGCTGGGAGGTGGGAGGTGGGAGAGGGCTGGGCCCCAGCTCTGAGGGGAGGAGGAAGCAGACCTCTTCAGTACAAGAGGACCATGATGCTGCCCCCTCAGAACATGGATGTCTATCCTGGAGGGACAGAGCACCCACCTCACTTCCCTGGGAGTCCAGGGTCCACTCACACTCCTCTGATTGGGAGACTCTGAATTCCTTCCAACAGTAGTCGTAACTTCATTTGACAGGCGAGGAAACTGATGCACAGAGATGGGACCCTGTGGAAGGTCACATGCTTCACAGCGGTTCACCAGGTCTGATGCCATTGCCTGGGCTCCCCTCCCCCATGCCACCAAGCCATATTGCTTCAAGGAACAGGCCTGTGCTCTCATGTTCCTTTTCAATAGCAACCTTTGGGCCTAATTTTTGGTGATTATAAACTGTAGCGCAAGCAAAGTACCGTGGACCTTGGTGAAAAGTTCCGGTTGGAGGAACTGGAGAAGGTAGGAAAGTTGGGTAAAACTCACATAGACTTAGCTGTAGAGAAAGGGCTTCCAGGCTCACAGATGGCTCCAGTACAAGCGCTGTGGGGGCCAGCCTCAGGGGAGGTTAGGAAAAGCCAAGGTGAGAACCTCACATGCCAAGGTGACAACCTCACAGGGCTGACAGCCCATGTACTGAGCTCTATGCGGATGTTTTCTGTGTTTCTTCACATATGTGCTTGCTCCTCAGTGTGTCCTGGTGAGACCAGTGTTATTTCCGTTATACAGAAACTGAGGCTGAGAGAAGCTCAGCAGCTCTTTCACCTATGGGGGAGGAGGGATCTGAAGTGGGATTAGCTGAGCAAGTGGGTGGATTCCTGAGGCCCCACTCTGGGCCTCACAGGTTGATCCAAGGGTTTAGTCTGCGGAAGGGCAGGTGTTGACACCTGTCTTAATCCATTTTCTGCTACTCCAACAACATACCACAGCCTGGGTAGTTTGTAAAGAAAAGCAACTTATTTCTTACAGTCTGGAGGCTGGGAAGTCCTGGAGCATGGTGCCCGCATCTGGTGAGGGTCTTCCCATGGTGGAAGAGTGGAAGGTGGAAGCCAGCATGAGAGACAGAGAGGAAATCGGGCTAAACTCCCGATTTATCGGGAATCCACTCCCCTCACTCCTACAGAAACAGCATTAATCCATTCATGAGGACAGAGTCCTCGTGTCCTAATCACCTCTTAAGTGCCCCGCCTCCCACTACTGTTAGAATGACAATTAAGTTTTCAACACAGGAACTTTGGAGAACACGTTCAAACTGTATCAAGAGCCTTTTGTGGACCAGGGTGCTGGGGGCCTGGTGGGCTTGGAGCCAGAGCCCCGAGAGGCATGAGGAAGGCCTTCCTGAGACCCCTCCCAGGTCCCCTCCACCTTGTCCGTGTTCCTGCAGCATGTGGCCTTTCCATCCTAGTTAATACCTGGGCCTTTGAGGCAGCATTTTTTGTTTTTGTATTTTATGCTAGAGAAGCATATTTGACTTTGTTTAAAAGGTTAAGATCTTTCCTAAGCAGATGGCTTTTGTTTGAAAGAAAAAAAAATGGAAGGCCTGCTTGCTTCCACTATTCCCTTGCACCGTAGGATGGGGAAGGACACCCAGGGTTGGAGTAGTCTCCAAAGTGGGCAAATTAGAATCAAGGACCCCAACTGCTGTATCGTAGGCCCAACTCCTCCTGCATCGCCTCCCAGAATCAGTCCTTCTGCTTTTATGACCCATGCCAACCCCACAACCCCTTCCCACTTGACATCAGATGGCAGTTTTCTCCAGTGTTCAACATCCTCTTCTTCCTGGGCGGCCCCCTCAAGTTGGCCATATTTAAGGAAGAATGAGTTTTGGTGTGTTCTCATCTCATGGTCACACGCTCTTCTTCTCATACCTGTTTTATCATTTGCTTTGCATTAAAAGTTGATTCATAGCACTTAACTTTCTCATTGGTTATGTAGAGACATTCATTCACTCACTCACTCACTCACTCACTTACTCACTCATTCCAAATATAAACCAGAGGAAGTTTCTGCTGCCATTGGCTATTGCTCTGGAATACTTGGAAGCAGGCCTTCCTGGTCTTTGCTGTATGCAGCACGTACCTTGGCTGGTGACAGACCTGAGCGGATGCTTGGGAGCAGAATGTGAGCTGTTGTGGCAAGCCTGCACACAGGCCAGTGCTGCCTTGTCTTTGGAGTGGAGCCTCCAGTTTGCTGGTCACCTTGGGCTTGGCCATTCTGGAGTTACTGCTCCTGTTCTCTCTGTTGGCCTTGCCTTGTCCCTGCTGCCCCTCCCTGTCACCGCAGCCATTCTGGCTCTGGCCCATTCAGTTTATGGCATCAGTGGCTGCATTTTACTTACCCTGTGCCCATCCCCATGTTTGTGCCATGTCATAGAAAGTCCTCCTAGGTGCCCGTTGTTCTCTTATTTGCTGGGCTTCAAGAATTGGTGGCCCTGAAGCCCCCAAGGGTCCCAGGACCCCTGTTAGGTGTAGACAAGGTCTGAGTAGATCCCTGGGTAGATTCAGTTTCCATCTGGCCCTAGGGGACCCATGGAAACGGAGGCTGGTCTGGAACACTGTGGTAGAGAGTGGGTCACATTTTCTTTCTAGGTTGGATTAACAGCTCTAGTAGAGCCACTTCAGTGAACCCGTCGTCTTTACGTTAAAGTCATCTCACACCATGGAGTCTCCAGAGTGGTGAGGTCCAAGCCTAGCCTAGGGAATATTGGGAGTAGGGGAGGCTCAGGGGATGTGTTCAGGGTGTTCTGAGCCCCACCTGGAGTTAGAGAGGGGGTGTGGTATTGTGAAATATATACTTGGTCTACCTCCCTCTTTTCCTGAGGTATTCTTAGAATCTCTGGAGCGGTAAGAGTATCTTTGTATGCTAATGAGAGAATCTCTGGAGCGGTAAGAGTATATCTTTGTATGCTAATGAGATGACTGGTGGCTGGGGGCTCTTAAATTTAGGATTTGGCTGGTTGCCAGGGTAACCAATCCCATGATTAGAGGGCTGGAATTTACAGTCTTCCACCCTCCCACCTCTGGGGAGGGGAGAGAGGCTGAAGGTTGAGCTGGTAAATCAATGGCCAGTGATTTAGTTAATTATGTCTATAATGAAGCTTTCATTAAAGACCCAAAAGGAGGCCAGGTGTTATGGCTCACACCTGTAATCCCACCACTTTGGGAGGTCAAGGTGGGAGGATTGCTTGAAGTCAGGAGTTTGAGACCAGCCTGGGCAACATAGTGAGACCTCATCTCTAATTTTAAAAAATTAGTAATTATCCAGATGTGGTGGCACACACGTGTGGTCCCAGCTACTCAGGAGGCTGAGATGGGTGGATGGCTTGAGCCCAGGAGTTTGAGGCTACAATAAGCCTGATGTCATTGCACTCCAGCCTAGGAGACAGAACAAGACCCTGTCTCTAAAAGCTGGAAAAAAAAAAAAGTACAAAACCCCAAAACTCCAAAGGACTGAGTTCTGGGAGCTTTTGGATAGCTGAGCATGCAGAGGTTCCCGGAGAGTGGCACATAGGGCGGGCAGGGCAGCTCCACGCCCTTCCCACATGCCTTGCTCTGTGCACCTCTTCCAGCTGGAGGTTCATCCGCATCCTTTGCAGTATCCTTCCTGTCTGTCTGCAGGAAGGTGATATTTGTCTTTCTGAGGTTATTATTAATAGTAACTTTCAGTGCCAGTGAATGGTGTGACACCTCACTGATCTATGATTTTAGCTGTCTTGGATTTGGGGTTTCTGAGAGTAAGTCCTTTCCTCTTTCTGCCCCTCTAAAGTAGCCTCTTTCTTAGAGGCTGCTGACTCATGCTCAGCTTCATGCCAGCCTTTCATTTTACTTTCTCTCTTGTGCTGCCTGTGTTTGGAGAGCAGAGGCACAGTGAAGCTTCTCAGCCCATTTGCTGCCACAGTGACAGCAATAGGCTGTGGTGGGGTAGGACGGGGGTGGGGTAGGACGGGATCCGGTGGGTGGGGCAGGGAGAGGGGCCCCCATTGCACTTGGGCTTTTTCTTTGGGTTGATAACGATAGTTCATATTTCATCTCCATGTGACCTTGAAAAAAATCACTCTGAGCATCCGTGACCTCATCCGTGCAACTCCTTTTAAAAATTATTCTTAGAAGAACCCCAGTGAATAAGCAAAAGTGGAGCTCTGATGTGTTAATCCTCACCCCTCAACTCCAGCTCCGGGGAGCCTGAGAGGTTCCTGAGGTGGAGGGACCTGCAGTACTCCCGCTAGGCCTCTGGCAAACGTTTCCCAGGACTGCTGCTGAAGGCCTTGCCACCTCACTAGTCCTGTGTGAATCCTAACACCCCTCCCGTCCTGCCAGTGCCCTCTCCACCACCCCTTTCCCTGCCCCCCATGGCTGGAAGGGACATCATGGGAAGTGGGATAGAACCTCAGGGTTTACTGTCCACTTGATGGCCTGCCGCCTCTTGTCGGAGGGGTCACATGAGTGCGCAGAGTGAGGAATGGGAGCTGCTCACTTCATGGGTTATTGCTTCTTTTTTCTTGACCCCAAGAAAAAATTCCAGCCCCCTAGACAGCTCCCACACATTCTGTCTCCTCTTCTGCTTAAGTGCAGTTTTTCCTCCTAATGAACTCTGGTCTTCAAATGGAGCTGGGAGGAAAAACAAGGACCTTGGGAATATACGAATCCTTGGTGAATTACCTTATATTAATGAGACCAAGAAGAGAAATCGAGTTCAGCTGTGCAAATTAGCTTTGCGTTCTGGGCCTTGATGACTTAAATTGCAGATTCTAATTAAATGTCCCCAAATAACTATGAAGTGCTTCTAAGGTCTTTTTGACCTAAAAGTTTCCGTGACCTGTGAACTCTCTCAAGTGTAAAATTAGTCTGTAGATGTACCCCTTTAAGCATTTCTATCTCCAGAAACCTCATGATGCCTAGGATATAAACCACCCTCCTAAGGGCAGAGCAGGCTGGTGGAGTGGGCAGGGACCCTGCAGGGAGAGGTGGAAAGGGGTAGGCATGGGTGAGTTTCGGAGCTTCCCCAGGGCTGGCAGGATGTTGGGGTACAGATGTGTCCCTCTGTTAGGTGGCCTGTCTCCACTGTCATAAGTGAAGGGGGTGACCGACACCTTCACTAACAGGCTGAGCAGGGCAGCAAGGCAGGCAATGGAATGCTTTAGACACACTGGGAAAAGGTTCAAAAGGGAAGAGCCTCTTCTTCAAGCTGAAGTCATGCCTGGGGTGCTGCCCTGCCTCTGGCCAGCATGGGGTGCAAATCTTCAGTGACACAAGAGTATGGCTGTTAGAGAAGGAGGAAGACAGTTCCCCATGATCACACCCCCAGCATGGCTGTCATCTTGATGCAGCCGCCTGCTGGCTGTCCCCTCTGTACAGTACCTCTTTAAATGGCTGCAAACAGAGCAAAGGTGGGCTATTTCTTTAAAAACACATGATGCAGAACTCACGTAAGTTTTTTTTTTAATGCTATGTTGTCTTGTATACACTTTGTATTGGGGTATAAAAATCACCTGTGTACAGCTCAGTGAATTTCACACAGTAAAGTCTGTGTGTAACCCGCACCCAGATCATTTCCAGAGCCCCGGAAGCCCTCTCACCCTCCCCAGTCAGTACCCACCCCTTCAGGATACCACTCTCCATACTCTGGATGCCACAGATTCGTTTGGCCTGTGCTTGAACTTCGTATGAATGGATTTGCCTAGAATGGTCTTAACTTTTCCCCTTGACGTTGTTTCTGAGACTCATCCCATTGTTTCATCTGTTCTACTGTTGACGAACATTTAGGTTGTCTCAGGTATCTTGCTACTGTGAATGTTGCTGTTCTAAACCTTCTCTACAGGCTTTTGGTGAGCATAAGTGTGCGTTTCTGTTAGCAGCTCCCCCTCTGAGTTGTATGCCAGGTCACAGGGTAGGTGCATGTTCAACTTAAGTAGAGACGGCCAGTTTTCCAGCGCGGGTGACTATTTACGCTCTACCAGTAGTATCACTTCCAGTTACTCCACGTCCTCATCAACACTTGGTACTGTTGGTCTTTTGTCATTTTTGCTATTCCAGTGCTTGTGCAGAGGTATCTCATGGGTTCAGTTTGCATTTCCCTGATGACTAATGGGGTTGAAGAACTTCTCCTGTGTCTGTTGGCTTTATTATGATCATTTTGATAGCCAGATAATAGTGTGTCTTATGGATGTTCCAGAACATTCTTTTCTTACCTATAGCTGGGCATTTGGATTGCTTTATTATTATAAGTAATGCTGCAATAAGCATTTTTACCCAGTAGTCTTTTCCATGTTCTATACTATTGGCAAGAGTTTTGTTATCATTTACAAATTTTGATAATTAATGCCAGATGGCTTTCTGAATGTTTGAACTACTCTAAGATGGAGTAACAATATAGGAGAGTCCTAGACAGCTTCCCCCAGGTCCTCCAGCAATGTGTATTCTCATTGAAGAACAAACAAAACTCTTTTGGAGGACGAATTTAGGTGAAGGAAAGCATATTTAGCATTGCGTTACTTAATGAGTTTGGTCACTTTTTCAAAATGTTTACCATGTGTGTTCCTCATTTATAAATTCCTACCTTTTGCCACTTGCATTTTGGTGAGTTTTTTGTTAATGTGTACAACCATTACTGTAAAAAGCAGATATTAGTACTGTAAGCACTTTCCTGTTTTACCAGTCACATTGCACATTGCTTCACTTGTGTGCCTTTTGACGTTAACCAGCAAATCTTCCCCTTGGTGATTTTTATTGTGGCTCCCCCACCAGGCCACTGCCGTGTCTGCAGAGATGCCCAGACTGAAGGTCCCTGGGCACCCCTAGTGGGAGGGATAGGAGCATAGCCTGTGAGAGAAACTGAGTCAGCCCTGGGCTAAGCACTCTGCTCTTGCGGTCATCTGATTCCCCGACCCTGGTGCTTTGAGAGGGATGGCTCATGAGCTGAGCCCTGCCCTGTGGCCTGCCAAACAGCCCCTGTGGTGCTGGGACTGAGTGGGGCCTGGGGGCCCAGCAGCAGCAGCATTGTGGGAACTCAGTGGAGTTTGCAGAGCCCTCTCCTGTTCACGCACATTTGGTTTTCATTGCAGCCCCATGAGATGGGTGCAGCCCATCCATCCTGAAGGGCAGGGCCTTAAGAGGGCCCTGCAGCTTCTCCCAGGGCCTACAGTTTGTGAGTGGGGAAACTGGTCTCACATTCTCATCCCCCTAAACCACACCCAGCTGCTCACCTGGCTCTTTAGGACAGGCCCAGACTCCCCCAGCAGATCAGCCCTGCAGGGGAGAGGAATATGTGCTTTCTCTTTCTCATTTATTTTGGGTTTGAGCAAAACTTGTATTTTTGAGCCAGAAGGTTGGATTGGGGTGTGGAGCTCAAACAAACATGGAGTAGCTCTTGGCCTCCACGTTTCTAGGCATTGCAGTCTCTCAGAAACTTCATGTTTGACCAGCTTGTTAAGTTTTCGCTTTCTTATTTTTAGATGATGGATTTGGACATGCTTCTATGAAGAAATGCCACATGGTCCGAGAGCAAACATGTCCAGTAAGTTGTTTGGTGAATTAACCCAAGGACAGGAGCCCAGGTCCTTCAGGCACAGGGTGTGGACACCCTTTGAGAAGATCAGGGCTGTCTCTGGAAATATGAAGACCTCTGAGAGAGTGTTTTAAACTAGGCTTATTGCTCAGTCTAATTATCTTAACTTGTAAAGGTTGGTTCTTTCTAGAGACAGCAGGAGTTGTAGCATATAGGGTTGGAAAAACCTGAAACACCTTCTCGCTGCTTAATCTAGTTCTGAGAGCAGAGTGTGAGCTCTGGAGCTCTGAGCCATGTGAAGCGTGTGACTCAGCCTGTGGCAGTGTTTTACCCAGAGCCCTCCCTTTCCATAGCACAGCACCCTCCACTTCGCTTAGGCCCAGATTACATGCTTTGCGGGAAGGAAAGCCTGAGACCCAGACACACGTGAAGTTTATGCAGCTCTGGGAAGAAAGCCAGCAGGTTAGAGTTGTGAGCTTTGTCTCACTAGTGTTTTGCCACCTGTATGTAGCCCGTGGACAGCAGACTCTTCTGCAGCTCTTACCCTTCTCACAGAGGTTGTGGTGAATTGATTTAAATATTTAAAGGTTCTAAGAGACTTGCCAACAGAAGAGCATAATAAAGAGAACAAGAAAATCTCGAAAGCCATATTTTATAATTATATGAAAACCATCATTCACTGTGGCATATCTCTGCTGAAGAGGACAGGACATCCTCAAGGGATCCCATGGACACCCTGTGTTGGGGAGTGGGGAGGAAGAAGTGACCAGAAGGGGCAGGGAGCAGTGGACAGTCCACCCCGGTTCCTCACATGCTGGGGAACCCTGTCACTGTACCTCGCCCCCGGTAGGTCACGTTCTTTCTAAATGAGAGCATGATTTCTCTCCATCACCGTCCCCATGGTTTCTTACAAGTGCTCCTTTTCTCAGGGCTACTGCCACTTTAGTGGACTAGGGCTCGGTGCCAGCACTTCCCGGGTAATCAGGCGTGGTCTGACCGAGGATCAAGAAGCACATCATCACCAATGACATCATGACAGCAAGAGAGCACAGCCCTCGCCATGGTGCCAGGGCCCGTGCAATGCAGCGGGCTTCCACCATCGACGTGGCGGCCGACATGCTGGGCCTCTCTCTGGCAGGTGAGCCTCACAGGGCCTGCACCGGGCTCCAGGTATGAGCTCACAGCACCTGGGCTCCACACTGCAGCAGTGCTGGCAGGTACCCAATGATTCCCCATGACTACCCTAGACTACAGGGTACCCTGGTTTGGCATCCTTCTGGTTGAACCAGGAAATAGGGAAGGGGGATGTCAGCCCTCTTCCTGTGAACCGCTTCTGCTGGAGCCTGACTACATTAGTTTTCCAGTTTGGTGGCAGGGGCACCACCAGGGTAGTGTGGGAATGTCCAAGTGTTTTGCTGGCCCATGCCCAGGCCATGGTAAAAGCCCTCCCTGTTGTGGATGTGTAGATCTGAGGAGGAGCAGGGGTTTGGTTGTGGGGTCAGGGACTTCTTAGCAATCTCAAAAACAAAATATTTTTAAAATAAAGAAATTGTCTTGCATGGCAGTTTTTGTTGTTGTTGGGGGGAAGTAGAGGGTCATTTGTGCATTTAATCTGAAAACAGAGAAAAGTTTATTAAGGATGATTTTTCTGTCATTTCTTTTCTATTCAGGAAATATACAAGACCCAGATGAGCCCATTTTAGAATTTAGCTTAGGTAGGTATCTTTCATTATTTTTTTGTTTTAAAAAATATTTTACTTAAAAATGAAAACAAAAACACTACCACCAGTGCATGGGCTTGTCTCAGAGAGCTTGCTGCTGCTGCCACCACTGCTGCAGCGTTTCTGAGAAGACGGAGCCCTCACAGTTGTGAACTTCTGTGGATGGGAAGGCACCTTGGAGCCTCCGTGCCCACAGGCTCCTGTCTCCTCAGCATGGGGCCCGCCCCCTTGGGGGTATGCTCTCCACAGGTGGCTGGGGACAGGGAGGTGAGCCCACCTAGAGCTGCCAACAGAGACCCTCCCCACCCCCACCCCAATGGGGGAAAGGGAAGGAGGGGTTGGGGAAACCGGGCATAGAGTTCAGCTTTGTTGCCCCTGGCTGCAAGGCCTTGTGTTGGCTGAGTTTCGCTCTCTAGCCCTCAGTTCCCTATTGTATAAAAGGCAACATTGGCACCTGCATGCTCTCTTTCTCAGGATCAGATAAGAATATACTAAAAAGTGGATCAGAATGTGCTGAGTCTGGGGTCAGCGATACGTGGCATCACTGTGCTTACCCAGGAGGCCTGAGACGCCTCTCCATCAGAGCCCAATGCTACCCAGCGCTCCTCTCCCCTTTTCCCATTCCTTGGTCAACATTAGTTGGTGGCCTGGCACCAATGTCCAAGAGGTGGTGTGACATAAAAGAGGCACCTCCTGGGGAGTCAGATGACCTGGATTCCAGCCCTGACCATGCCAGGCTAACCACATGGCCTTGAGCCTGCCACTCGACCTTGCTGGAACAGTTTCCTCCTGTGCTACGTGAGGATGCTACTGCTTGTTTGAGAGACAAAGAAGATCAAGGTGGTTAAGCACCCCCCAGCCCCAAAAGACTTGGACAAATTGCAAAACCCATAAAAGTGTAAGTACACTACTGGCCGGGTACAGTAGCTCACACCTGTAATCCTAGCACTTTGAGAGGCTAAGCCAGGAGGATTGCTTGAGGCCAGGAGTTTGAGATCAGCCTGGGCAACATAGCAAGACCCTGTTTCTAAAAAAGAAAAAAAAAAAACTTACCTGGCTGTAGTGGCACACGCATGTATTGCCAGCTACTAAGGAGGCTGAGGTGGAAGGAGCCCTTGAGCCTAGGAGTTTGAGACTGCAGTGAGTTATGATTGGGCCACAGAGGGATACCCTGTCTCTAAAAAATAATAATAAAAAAGAAACAAAAAATAGAATTTGGAAGAAACAGAGACATTGCAGAAAGTTTTAAAGAAATAATAATTTATATTGGCCAGGCATGGTGGCTCAATCCTGTAATCCCAGCAGTTTGGGAGGCCAAGGTGGGCGGATCACATGAGGTCAGGAGTTCAAGACCAGCCTGGCCAACATGGTGAAACCCTGTGTCTACAAAAATACAAAAATTAGCCAGGCATGATGGTGCGTGCCTGTAATCCCAGCTACTCGGGAGGCTGAAGCAGGGGAATCGCTTGAAGCCAGGAGGCGGAGGTTGCAGTGAGCCGAGATTGCACCATTACACTCTAGCCTGGGCAACAGAGCGAGACTCTGTCTCAAAAAAAAAAAAAAAAAGAAAGAAAGAAATTATAATTTGTATACTCAAGAAAAGATAGTATATCTATAAAACAAAACCAGGACACTATAAAGATAAAAAGAACAATTGAAGAACAAGAACAATCTTAGAAGTTTAAAATATGATAGACAAAATTTAAAAAATTCTATGAAGTTTGGAAGTTAGTCAAGGAATTCTTCCAGAAAGTAAGATTTTAAAAACAAAGTAGAAAGTGGGTAAGAAATAGAAATGGAAATTTTGAGAGTAAATCCAGAAGGTCCGATATTTAGAAGAAAAAACAGAAGAGAATGTTAAGGGAGGAAATGCAAAGAAAGAGGAAATCTCCGAGAACTGAAGAATGTGTCTGTAGGTTAAAAATGTCTACCAAGGCCCAGCACAATGCTGAAAGAGACCCATAACAAGGTGTATTGTGGTGAAATTTCGGATCACAGGGAATAAAATGAAGATCCTGAAAACTTCCAGAAAGAAAAAAAAAAACAGGTCATACCCAAGGATCAGGAATAAAACTGGCATGGAATGTCTCAGTGACATTGGAAACTTGAAGACAGTGAGACAACACCTTTAATTATATTTTCAACCCAGAATTCTCTGCCCAACCAGACTATCAGTCAAATGTGAGTGTAGGAAGAAACTTGTTTCAGCTGCACAGAGTTGTACAGCAAAAATTTACTTCCCCTGCATTCTTTCTCCGGAAGCTAGTGGAGGATGTGTTCTCATCCTAAAGAGGGACCACACTGAGCAGAGAAGTCATGGGATCCAGGAAACAGGGTCATCACAAGAGAGAAGTGGAAGGAATCCCACATGGTTCTTAATGAGTAATATGTGCTTAACTTTCATCATGACAATGTGGATTTAACACAAATTGAGCTAAAATGATTGCATATGGAGAGAGAATGACAGTTGGTATAATTGAGTTAAAAATCCTCATCCGCCTATAAATCAGGACATTTCTGAATCTGGTGAACGAAAAACAGTAATATAGTCATGTTAATTGGGCACATGGAGGAAGAAACTGCTTTAAAAAGTAAGGATTAATTTTATATAAAGTGAATTTTACCCCAGTTTTTTTTGTTTTGTTTTTGTTTTTGTTTTTTTGTTTTTTTTTTTTGAGACGGAGTCTCTCTCTGTCTCCCGGGGTGGAGTGCAGTGGCACAATCTCGGCTCACTGCAAGCTCCGCCTCCTGGGTTCATGTCATTCTCCTGCCTCAGCCTCCCGAGTAGTTGGGACTACAGGCACCCACCACCACACCCAGCTAATTTTTTGTATTTTTAGTAGAGACGGGGTTTCACTGTGTTAGCCAGGATGGTCTCGATCTCCTGACCTCGTGATCTGCCCGCCTCGGCCTCCCAAAGTGCTGGGATTACAGGCGTGAGCCACCGCGCCTGGCCACCCCAGTTTTTTAAAAAGCGAGGAGTGGGAGCTGGATTATTGAATGGACAAATGTGTTGACTTTTAAAATAAAACTTTAAATTTTTAAAAAAGTATGTTCATTGTAAAACCTTCAATACAGAAAATGTTGCAGAGAGGTAGTCAGTTATCACTTTGGTATATATCCTTCCAAATATATATGTTTGACCCTCACAGAGTACTATATGGAGATTTTGAATGATTTTTGGTTGTGGAAGTATGGAATTATTTCCAAACATGTCATCCTAGTGCTCTTGACATTCTTTTTTCATGTGGCAAAATACCTTTTTTAATATATATGGGATCTGCTTGATCATTTTAAATGCCTTCATAGAGTCTCTAATAGAGCTGTGCCATACTTATTTTAGCCAGCCTCCTACTGCTGGACATTCAGGTTCTTCCCAATCTGCCATTATAAACACTATCACAGTGAACGTATTCATACATAGATCTTTCATACATGTTGCTGATTATTTCCTTAGGATACACTCTTGAATATAGCATTGTTGAATCAAATATATGCAGTTTACCTCAACAGCATTTATTTAGTGTTTATTCAGCTGGGATTACAGACGATCAGGTTGGAGAGACAAGGCTTATATATCAGAGGTGTGTGGTTTCTATGGAAATATGCCAAATGAATGACGTAAGTGAGCCTGCAGGCTGCTCAGAGAAAACTTAATGGAAGCTATGGAACTTGAGCCAGGAATCAAACCCTGGTTGAAATTTAGATAGGCTGGGTTGGGGGAGGAGGCCAGGAGAGATTGTCCCTTGTACGAAGGCATGTTCTGAAGGTGGCCATGGGACCATCAACCCTTAAAGTAATCTCAGTCTTCCCAGCCTTTGGCCACCTGCTGTACCTTACGTCTGTCTGCCATCATTACTGCCTGAAAGACCTGAATATTCCTACCTTGCATAGGTGTCAAGAAAACTCACACCTGATAAAAGGGCAGGTAGAGAGAGGCCACAGGTCATTTTAGGGTACTTTGTAACTTAAAGAAGAGACAAGTAGATCAATCAAATTAGGGAATTCCTGTCCAGGCAGACATAATAGAAGAAACAAAAGAGAACTTAAAATAGTAATAAAACCTTGAAGCCTCTAGAAGAAAAATAGGAGAACTTTCAAACTCAGGGTAGGCAAAGATTTGGACAGAGCACAAAAAGCACTGTTTGTTTTAGTTTGCTACTGCTGCCATAACAAATTACCAGAAATTTAGCATGTTAAAGCAATATAAATGTATTATCTTACAGTTCCCTTAGATTAGAAATCCAGTGTGCTCACTGGGTCTTTGCTTAGAGTCTCACAACACCAAAATCAGTGTTAGCAGGGCTGGATTTATTTAGAAGGCCTCTGGGGCCTATTTCCTATCTATTTCCTTGCTCATTCGCGTTGTTGGCAGAATTCAGTTGCTAGTGGTTTTAAATTTTAGGACTCCATTTTTTTGCTAGCTATCAGTTAAGGCCTGTTCCCAGCTCATAGAGGCCACTCACATTCCTCTTGTGGACTTACAGTCCTCTTCCTCCATCTTCAAAGCTGGCAGTGGCAGGTCTAGTGCCTTCCATGCTTGGAATCTCTCCTGCCTCTTCTTCCATTGTTATATCTTTATGATTCACCCTAAGGCCTTCCTCTTCTATTTTTAAGGGCTCCTGTGATAGATTGAGCCCATCTGCATAATCCATCTGAAGATCACTTAATCACATCTGTAAAGTCCCTTTTGCCATGTAATGTAATCTATTCATAGTTTCTGAGGATTAGGACATAGGTACTTTTTGTCAGAGAGGGGCTTCTCTGCCTACCACTTCCTAAAATTTAAAAAAGATACATTGAATTTCATCAAAATAAGAAATTGCTGTCCATAAGAGACATCACTGAGAAAATGAATAGATGAACCACAAACTGGAAAAAAATATTCACAACACGTATACTTCACAAAGGACAAATAAATAGTAAACAACCAAATTTTTAAAATGAGCAAAAGACTTGAGCAGACACTAGACAAAATAAGTTATACAAATGAACAATAAGCACATGTTAAAATGATGCTTAACAGCATAAGTCATCATGTAACCGCAAATTAAAACACATCTATTAGAATGGGTAAAATTAACAACAACAACAACAACAAAACAAAACACTCTACCCAACTGGAACTTTTGTATATTGCTGGTGGGAGTGGAAAATGATACAAACACATTGGAAAACTGTTGGCTTCTCATAAAGTTAAATATATTTTAGTTGTATGTAATTATGCAGAAGAAATGAAAAAGTGTTCACAAAAAGACATGAACAACAACATTTATGTCACCTTTATTTAATAGTTCAAAACGGAAAACAACCCAAATGTCTATTAACAGTAGAATAAATAAATTGTACAATGGAATATGACTCATTTTTTAAAAAAGAATGAATTATCAATACATGTAACAACACAGATGAGTCTCGAAAACATTCCATTTGTATGAAATTCAAGAACAGACAAAAGAATAGTGATGGAAATCAGAAAATGCTTGCAAAACTAGGAGATTTGTACAAGAGGGAACTTTCTAGTCTGATGAAAAAGTTGTGCTATCTTGTTTTGATGGTGCTTACATGGGTGTTTATGATTGTTAAAGCTCATTGAACAGAAAAACCTAAGCTTTTTGTATTTTATTGTATCCAATAAATAATGAAGGTTCATGAAGATACATGAGAAGATATTACAGAGAACCAAAATTAATTTTTGGAAATAAAAATCAGTTTATTAATTTTAAACCACTAGTTGTCATTTAAAAATAAGAATGATGAGGGCATATATGGCAGAGTGAAGACTTCCAAAAATCTTCTTTTCTATAAAGGCAATGAGTATACTGGCAAAAATGGTCAAAATCAATTGGTTCAGAACTCTGAAAATTAACAGAGGCTTACAGCACTCTGGGTAGCATTTATTTAAGAAAAATGGTGTATTAGTCTGTTCTTGCAGTTCTATAAAGAAATACCTGAGGCTGAGTAATTTATAAAGAAAAGAAGTTTAATTGGCTCATGGTTCTGCAGGCTATACAAGCATGGCACCAGCATCTTCTCAGCTTCTGGTGAGCCCTCAGGGAGGTTTTATTTATGGCAGAAGGAAAAGCGGGAGCGAGCATCTTACATGATGAGAGAAGGATTAAACGAGAGAGGGAGGAGGTGCCACACACTTAAACAAACAGGTCTTGCGTAAACTCAGAGCTAGAACTCACTCATCACCAAGGGGATGGCACTAAGTCATTCATGAGGGATTTGTCCCCCATTATCCAAATACCTTCCACCAGGCCCTACCTCCAATACTGGGGATTACCTTTCAGCATGAGATTTGGAGGGGACAAAACATCCAAATCATATCAAATGGGTTCTTAGAGAGCTTTATGATGTTTTAACTTGCCCTGTTGCTATCGTCCTCTCTCTAGCTCCAAGTAGACTTTAAAGGCAACATCTTTGATGTTATAGTGAAAATCAATAGCCTAAAAGTCCCTGAAGGGGACAGAATGGGGTTGGAGATCCTACAAAAAAGCCCCTTTCTTAGAGAGTTATCATTATTTGGCCTGTCTGGCAGTTCCCTGGAAAACCCTACATCCTGTACCTGCCTTTATTTGGCTTAACTCAGAATCAGTGACAACAGCTTTTTCCCTGAGAATGTTTGTCAAAAACAATCACTGTCCATTTTTTAACATTGCAGCTGCCAGAGGTAGTAGTAACAGTTGGAGCAAACAAAAAGCTAACCAAAAAAACCTTAAAAGGGAAAGCTGGGGAATGAGATATTCACAGGGAGATTTGAAAAGCTCTTTCATATTCCTGGGAACTTCAAAGGCCAGTGAAGGGCTGTGCACATGTCCAGAGCTGTGTGCATACTCAGGAGACGTGAAAAGGCCCTAAACAATTACCTGAGATTGACCCTGAGGTTCTATGCAAGTGGCAAATGAAGGCTAAGACAGAGTTATAAACTGCCTTCCTGAACATTGAAAATGCACCCCAGTATACACACAGGGACTCTTAGCTACAGCAAAGGTCTGTGATTCTGGTATTTAAGGAAATATCTGTCCAACCATTATCTGACTACTAACCTAATGAAGCAGTCACTTCAGTGGCCACACATGACAAAGAGTATTACTTTACAGAATTAGATCAGAAAAGGCACTGAAGAAACAGCCACACAAAAGAGCAGCAACAACAAAGCTTGGGGAAGGGAGAGAATCTAATTCCAGAGATCTCACATTATATTATTTAAAATGTGTAGTTTTCAACAAGAAGTTATGAGATGTTGCAAAAAAGAAAGTATGGCTCATACACAGATGGAAAAAACCCATACAGTCAGTAGAAACCATCCCTAGGAGGCACAAATGTTTAACTTAGTAGACAAAGATTTTTAAATCAGCTATTTTAAGTATGTTCAAATAACTGAAGGAGAGTATGTCTAAAGAACTGAGGAAAGTATGAGAACAGTGTCTCACCAAATAGAGACTTGAAGAGATAGAAACTATAAAGATATCTAAATACAAATTCTGGAGTTCAAAATTATAATAACTGAAATGAAAAATTCATTAAGAGAGGCTCAACTGTAGGTTTGAGAAGGCAGAAGAAAGAATCAGCAAACTTGAAGACAGGTCAATTGAGATTATCCAGTCTGAGGAACAGAAAGGAAAAAAGAATGAAGAAAAATGAACAGAGCCTCAGAGACCTGTGGGACACAATCAAGTGCACCAATATACATATAATAGGAGTTCCAGAAGAAGAGTAAATTGAGAAGGGGGGAGATAAAAATGTTTGAATAAATCATGACCAAAAACATCCCATGTTTGATGGAAAACATGAATCTACATATCCAGGAAGCCCAATGAACTCCACATAGGATAAACTCAAAGAGATCCACACTTGATACATCATACTCAAATCATTGAAAGCCAAAGACAGAATCTTTAAAATAGCAAGAAAGGAGTGACTTATCATGTATAAGGGATCATCAATAAGAGTAACAGCTAATTTCTCATCAGAAACCATGGAGGTCAGGAAGGTGGTAGGGTGATGTATTCAAACTGCTGAAAGAAAAAGACAACCAAGAATTTTCTATTCGGCCAGGCGCAGTGGCTCACGCTTGTAATCCCAGCACTTTGGGAGGCCGAGGCAGGCAGATCACAAGGTCAGGAGATCGAGACCATCCTGGCTAACACAGTGAAACCCATCTCTACTAAAAATACAAAAAAAATTAGCTGGGCGTGGTGGCAGGCGCCTGTAGTCCCAGCTACTCGGGAGGCTGAGGCAGGAGAATTGGCGTGAACCCGGGAGGCGGAGCTTGCTGTGAGCCGAGATCGCACCACTGCACTCCAGCCTGGGCAACAGAGCGAGACTGTCTCAAAAAAAAAAAAAAAAAAATTTCTATTCATCAAAAATATCTTTCAAAAATGAATAAGCAGTATGTGGTGTGTTTATACAATTGAATGTTATCAATAAAAAGGAACGAAGTACAGATATTTGCTAGAGTATGGATAAACCTTTATAATGTGCTAATTGAAGAAGCCAGATACAAAAAGCCACCTATTGTATGATTCCACTTATATGAAATATATGGACTAGACAAATCTATATAGATAGAAAGTAGATCAGTGGTTTCTTGGGGGACCAGTGAATGGGGGTAATGGGTTTGGTTTGTTGTTTTTGGATTGATGAGAATGTTCAGGAATTTGTGGTGATGGTTGCACAACTCTGAATGTCTTTAAAAAACCACAGAATTGGGCTGGGCGCAATAGCTCATGCCTGTAATCCCAGCACTTTGGAGGCCGAGGCAGGTGGATCACGAGGTCAGGAGATCCAGACCATCCTGGCTAAACGGTGAAACCCCGTCTCTACTAAAAAAATACAAAAAATTAGCTGGGCGTGGTGGTGGGCGCCTGTAGTCCCAGCTACTCGGGAGGCTGAGGCAGGAGAATGGCGTGAACCCGGGAGGCAGAGCTTGCAGTGAGCTGAGATCGCGCCACTGCACTCCAGCCTGGGCAACAGAGTGAGACTCCATCTCAAAATAAAAAACAAAAAAAGACAAAAAATACAGAATTGTGTACTTTAAGAGGGTGAACTTTATGATATGTGAATCATATCTTAAAAGAAACGTAGTAAAAATTAAAGCAATGCTGCTGAAAACTCTTATTAAATCTGTGAAGGTAAATGAAGGAACCATCTCACAGTTCAAGTACAAAATAACAAGAAAGAGAGATTGTTAATGAAGAGATATGACAGATTTGGTAGTTCTAGTATTTGATTGATAGGAGACCTAGAAGCAGAGAGAGAGCTGGAAAGAGGAGTAGCAGCAAGCCAGAAGCAACAGAAGAATTCTTTCCAGAGGGAAGAATGGACTTAAGACTCAAGAATATTCCAGCTGCCAGGCATCTCCTTATGAGACTAACAAATTCTAAGGAGAAAGAAAATCTTTTTCTAGATAAATAACAAACATCAAATCTACCATAAGGACAACTAGAAAAAGTGAAAAAAAAAAAAAAATCTGAACTACCTGGTCCATGCTACCAGAGAACTGATAGGACAATAAAGAATCTGAGAGCAGAGGCTCACTTATTCCCTTGAGGGCTTACAGTGGTTCCCAAGAGAAAGGCCAAGAGAAAGGATTAGATGGATTAGACACTAAGTGTCTAAAGACACTTAGTGCTTTAGACAGTGTCTCAGTGAGAAGTGGCAGGGATTGCTTTCTAGGGTCCGTTAGGGGAAGGATACTTGTTGAAACCCCTCTCACTTTGATCTAGAATCCAAAAGGCTAAATCTAAACCTCTAGAGTAAAGGAACCAGAAGCAGGTGTTCATAGGGACTACAGGTTCATTAAGTTTCTGAAAGTAAATGAAAATATTTTAGAGTGCTAGTGCTCCTTGGAACCTTGCAGAAGTAGTTACAAATCTTGTCTGGAGAAAGCACCATCCTAGACCTCAAATAATTTCTACAAGCAATTCTTAAAATATAGTGTTCAGCATAAAATCATGAATTCTCAGAAACATGAGGAGATAAGAAATATGAACAGAAACAATAAACATAGAAATAGATCCAAAGGGGCTGTATATATTAGAGTTAAGAGACAGACACTAAAATAACTGTTATTGACTATATGTCTTAGTTAATAGGGGCTGCTATAGCAGAATATTGTAGACTGGGTGACTTAAAAAATAGAAATTTATTGCTCACAGTTCTGGAACCTGAGAAGTGCAAGATAAAGATGCTAGGATATCTGTTGTCTGATGGGGGCCAGCTTCCTGGTTTGCAGATGGACGTCGTCTTGTTGTGTTCTCACATGGCAGAGAGCAGAGCAGAGGAAGCAAGCTCTTGTGTCTCTTCTTTTAAAGGCACTAATCCCATTCATGAAGACTCTACCCTCATGACTTAATCACCTCTGAAAGGCCCCACCCCTAATACCATCACATTGGGATATAAGATTTCAACACATAAATTTTGGGGTTTGTGTCAGAGGACAGACCTACTTAAAGAAACTTTAGGGGGACACAAACATTCAGTCATAACACTAGGTAAAGAAGAATAAGGACATTATTGAACATTTTCAGAGAACTAGAAACCATGAAAAGAACCAAATAGATATTCTAGAATTAAAAGAAAAATTTCAAGAAGCAAATTTACAAAATGAAGCCAGAGCAATAAAAATAATGGAAAAAAAAATCAGAGGAGAGTAAAAACAGCATAGTGAGAGGTCTAATGTTACATTTATTTTGTATCTTTAAGAAGGAACACAGAAAAGGGTCAGAAGCAATATTTATAGTTGAGCATTTCTCCCAAAGTAATACAACAATTCGCAGAACAAATAAAAACAAATGTACCTAGGCACATCATAATAAAACTACTGAAAGCCATACTCAGTGGGAAAATTATAAAAGCTACCAGAAAACACAACACTTAAAGTAGCAACAACTAGACCGACCGCTGACTTCATAACAGAAAAAACAGAGGCCTAGGCACAATATATTTAAAGGGCTTAGAGAAAATGACTACTTAGAGAACATTTCCTTCAAGAAGTAAGGTGGAATAAAGACATTTTCAAACCTTAAAAGCTGAAAGAATGTCAGCACCACACTTACAGTATAAACAGTGCTAAGAGATGTTCCTAAGTAGAAGGCTGATGATTCCAGATGGACGTTCACCAATAGAGAAAGCATTGAAAATTCAAAGACATAAGATTTGGGGTAAACATCTGGGTTATAGCTGCATGAATAGCAACTATAGAAAAACACACACACAAATGTGTATGCTAACAAAGGAGAGACCTGATATGGCAATCTTAATGTCAGAAAAAGTGTAATTAGAACCCAAAAGAGCAGATCGAGCTGTGAACAGTGGTTAGTTAGATCACCACAGGTCCTTTCAAAGGATGGAGATAGCCAGTAACTTACTCTGAATGAACATGACAAAGATATCTTCCCAGGTAAACTCTCCTCAAAACATGCCAAGGTATTGCTCTCCCCCACCCTTCCAAATTCATATCTCCTCCTTCCCTCTTTGTATTTTTCAGTCTTTTAATCTCTCCTTTTTTCTCCCTGTTCTTTCTTTCATTTTTGTTAGTGTCTTCCTTCATCCCATCACTCCTCCTCTCTCTGAATTTCCTGTGCATTTGTCTCACCTGTTGTGGACACAATAACATATTTTTAAATTGGAGTTAATACTTTTTTCTATTTTATTTTAAAATTGCGATAAAATGTACATAAAATTTATTATTTTAACCATTTTTAAGTATACAGTTTGGTGGCATTAAGTATAGTCGTGTGTCATTTAATGGTGGGGCTACGTTCTGTCAAATGTGTCATTAGGTGATTTCATCCTTGTGTGAACATGATAGAGTGTACTAACAGGATCCCAGATGGCACAGCTTCCTAGGCACCTAGGCTACATGTATAGCCTGTTATTCCTAGGCTACCAACCTGGACAGCTACTGTACTAAATATTATAGGCAATTGTAACACAATGGTAAGTATTTGTGTGTCTAAACATAGAAAAGGTAATGTGTTTGTTCTGGGACGTTAGGATGGCTATGACATCCCTAGGCAATAGGAATTTTTCAGCTCCATTATAATCTGTGAGACCATTGTCATATATGTGGTTTATCATTGACTGTAAATGAACAATGGCTCACTTAAGAAAAAAAAAAGAGCTTTGTTTACTTTGCCATAGAATTCTAATTTTCTTCCAGCATCCATCCATCCACCTGCCAAGACACGTGGAGCACCATATGCTCAGAGTCAGCCACAGCAGTCACAGGATGCAAGCATGGGTAGCTCTGTCTTAGATTTCGTAGACTCTGTGGCTCCTTCACTCAATTGGTTAGAGTTGGAATAGTTACCGAGGTCGGACTTGAAGGGTTGGACCTATATGAGATTTCTGGCTTTGTGTTCCACTCCATGGACATGGGAAGCCCCCGTCAGCGCAGCCTTTCACTGAAGTTATGACATTGCTGTCTTGGAGGGTGGCGGGGAGGGGGCGTGAAAAGAGATTGTTTCAAATTTAAAAAATCACTTCCCTGTGACAACTGACGATGTGATCGTCTCATCTCTTTGAATGTCATTTACTCTTTGTGCTTTCTTTGAATGTGTTTGGAACAGAAAACTAATCAGAGTCTGGTTTTAAAGGATTCATTTCTTTCCCGTGTTGATTCTGTAGCTTGCAGTGAGCTGCATACTCCATCGCTAGATCGAAAGCCAAATAGTTTTGTTGCGGTGAGTGTCACCACCCCTCCTCAGGCATTCTGGACGAAGCATGCACAGACGGAGATCATTGAGGTGGGTGCTGGTGGTCTCTCTCTGAGGGGCTGTGGGACATGCTCTAGTGGTGTCTCTTGTCCTGATGTTCAGTTACTTGTGCATCTGTAGCTGAAGCTGTATTTACGTGAGTTGTTGCTATTTTCCCATGGGTTTTCAGTACATTGATATTTTTCATCACATTTACTCATCTGGGTGGCATTTATATTGCCATATCCTTTACAGTTATTGATTAACTGTTGGCAGCTTGTTTTTGAACAATGATCCTGTAAGCTTCATTGCCTTGTAAGAGGTAAGACCTAATTCCTTCTTGTCACCTCCAATTGGCTGCTACTTTGCAAGAGTGGTGCTCATTAATCAAAGCTTAGAAGAGTATTAACTATTTACCACCCTCTTGTCCAGACATACCCCTATTTTTGTTGGTTTTTGTTTTTACAGCCTTTTGAGTTTTGTGTCACATGTTAACTTTTCCCACTAAGTTACATGATAAACATTTGTGGATAAACATTTATGGATGATCCTTTTAGATCATCAAGCACATTACATAACACTAAGTGTAGGAGTTGGTGGCATGAGATTCTGCAGAGTTTTATTTGTAAAGTGAAGAATTATCAAACTTAAACTGCATTTCTTCTTCTTCACCAGTTGTGCATTTTGGAAGCTAGCCCACCCTTTCAGTCTCTTAGAAACTTATTTCCAAGTTCACGTCAACAATTCTGCTTTCTAAGCAGTTGTCGAGTGCTACCTACACATCTAGCATAGTGCCAGGCACTGTGGATGATACAGAGCCCACCAGGGCACAGTCCCTGCCCTGAGGAATTGACCAGCTGGTGGGTGGGGAGGCAGAAATGAATATGGCTACCCGTGTGCACAGCAGAGTATGGGAAGTATTGGAGTAGGAAGGTAAGGAGAGCACCAGGAGGCTGGGATCCTATCTGGCTGTGAGAGTCAGAGCAGGCTTCCTAGGGTGGGGCTTCATGAAATTCTACTTCAGTATGTCTGGGGTAGGGCCCAAGACTGCATTTCTTACAAGCTCCCAAGTGATGCCCAGGTAGCCAGTCGGGGGACTCCACATGAAGAGCACGCCAAAGTTCTGTTGTGGCTATGCAAATGTGTGACCACAGGGAAGGATCATGCAGGTTTGGGGTCTAACTGTATCCTGGTCAGTGTGTGAAAGGCACAAGTAGGAGAGCAAGGAAAGAAAGCCTTGAAGGCCGTGGAGTTTATCAGCAGATGGTAGTGAGCCAGTGTAGGCTTCTGTGCAGGGGAGTCACCTGACCAGATGTCCTAACTTGTATAGGACAGGCATTTGGGGGAGTGAGAGTTGGAGGGAGTGGAAAGAAAGGAGCGTATGACAGAGACTTTGAAGGTGGACCTTGCAAGGGGAGTTCATGATCACTGGATGGTTGAGAACAACAGAGAAGAAGGCACCAAAGTGAATGCCCGGGCTTTTAGCCTGCTTGGAAAGGGAGTCAGAGGTGGCCTTAGCCAAGGGCAGGTGGAGGGAGAGATGAGTTGGTTGAGGCCCCAGCAGCCCACCCAGGTGGAGCTGTCCAGTCAGCTTGACCACCTGGATCTGGATCTCCAGAGAGAAAAAGGAGCCAGAGGCCCAGGGAATGGTGGCTGTGATAATTACCTGGTGCCTGAGAGAGTATGGTATTACGGGGCTTTGGAGGACATGGCCAGGCTGCCAGGAAATAGTCACCTATGATCAAAAAACTAGTAGCTGATCCTAAAAAAAGGATAGCTTTTGAAAAGTCAGGCTTTAATTATTCCAAACACAGGCTTCTAGAAATACATAATAAACCACTTAAGCCATTCATTTTCTCTCTTTCATCTGCTTATTTGTACCTCTTAAAGGAATAACTCAAAGTAGTAGGTTTACATACACATTACACTTTAAGTTATAAAACTAAGAATGCATGTGGACATCCAACTTGTTTCAGTTTTTAAAAATTCCTCCTGTTGAGTGTGAAACCCATGAAATGAGTCCTCAGGCACAGCTTGTGTAATGGGCTGATTTATTGTATGTGGATCTGTAATGGTCTATGTCAGACTTCTTTTTTCTCTTTTAAAAAGCAGAGTTTTTTTGTTTGTTTGTTTTATGTATTTATTTAAGCCGCCTTTAGCATTTGTGTTGATTCAAGGCAGTGAGAATGTTAGTTTCTCATTCTGAAAATGTTGGTGTATTTCAAAAGCAATTACATTTTAAAAATCCAACCCTGTGTTCTGATTATTTCCTTTTCTGTTCTAGGGAACCAACAATCCTATATTTCTAAGCAGTATTGCCTTCTTTCAAGACTCTCTTATCAATCAGATGACACAAGTCAAACTCTCCGTGTATGATGTCAAAGATAGATCTCAGGGAACAGTTAAGTAATGTGTTGTAGTTCGTGGGATTTTCTTCCCTTTGAAAAAATTATATAATCGTTTGAATGAGAGATGAACACAGATTGACTTCACTACTGGCTCACAAGTTAACTCATGTCTAAATGCATTTGTCTTTGCGAATTGTTAAGCTTTCCCATTGGGCTTCTGACATAAGGGTAAGAGGTGTTGTGGGAAGCAGTCAGCTGGACTCTCTGGGGCCATGGTAATTGCATCAGAAGCAAAGCAAGCGCACCAATGCTGCCTCTCTTCCTTCTCTTCCTCAGATGTATTTACTGGGCTCTGGAACGTTCATTGTCAAAGATCTGCTCCAGGACAGGCATCATAGGTTGCATTTAACACTAAGGTTGGTATTCAGTTTTATTCCCTTGAAAGGATCTGGAATCATGAGGTCCAGGGACAGATGGGGAAAGGACCCACTTCTTATACTGAGAGAGCACCCTTCCCTTCCCAGAAGCCAGTCAGCGTGGGGACACTGTGTTGTCTATTGAGGCGAAACAAATTACTTAGCCTATCAGAGAATGGAAACTTTTAGCATCCATAGGAGATATGAGCACAGCTGTACCAAGCCCTAAAGGAAGGCCTAGATACATATCTAGTAATACTAAGTGTGTTTCTCCATTATTTAGCCCCTCCCCAGTGGAATATAATCTCCCATAGAGCAGGGAGTTTTGTCTGCTTTGCTTCACTGCTATTTCCCAGACACCTAGAATGTGTCTGGTGCTCAATAAATATTTATGGAAGGAATGAGTGAATGAAAGGGAAACGCCCACTGTCTCCCAGGATGGAAAGATGAAAGACATCAGGATGTCAGTCCTTCCAAATCATTTTAGGGGCACTTCCCACCAAAACCCTGACATGGTGGTCTTTTTTCAGAAAAAGGTAAAAATTGGAGAACTGTGATCTGGGAAAGTAATCTAGAGTAGCAAGGAAAATTTGACAAACAATTAAGTCCCTGCAGTATTGAGACATTCTGAAGCTACTATAAGTAAAGACAGTATTGCAGGCATTGGCTGTCTAATCAGTGGACAGGATCAGAGCCCTGCAGCAGCCCTTAGTTTGTTTAGAGAACTTGATTCAGGAAAAAGGAACCATCTTTGGTAAAATGAGAGGGATCATGTAAGGGAAAGGGCTTTGAGAAAAATATTTAGTTACGTCATGTGTCAGAGTTAACTCTAGTTGGGTTAGAGTTAAATGTACAAAATAGACATCATTCTTTTTAAAGGAGCTAAAGGCGGCTGATGATTGAACAGATAGAGCAGGAAAGGACTTCACAGGCACGAGGACAGGGCAAGGAAATCACAAAGGAAATGGTCAGTAGATGGGACCAGACAAAAATTTAGAACCTGATTAAGTGAGACCTTGTAAATAGAAAGCCTGAAGTTCCAGGGTGTCCCCAGGTTCCCTGGATGAATCAGATGAGCCCAGGCCACCATCAGCCACCCTTCGGGATGTCAGGGTAAAGCTGACTGAGGCTGGGGTAGCATCAGCTGTGTCATATCAGGATTCAAGGGCTTCAGGAAGCCCTGGCTGGATTCCATTACTTGGAGTCCAGGCTTAGGCCTTGGGCTAATATAAGCCTCAAGGTGGGGTGGGAAGGAACAGAAAAGGGCCCAGGGCCAGAACAAGGTGTTCTGTAGTCCTCACTCTGACACGTGTCCCCCTCACCCTCTGGGCAGGGGTGAGCACAGGCACTGGCAGCAGCTCAGGAACAGCATTGGCTCCTCCTCAGGGAGGCCCCCTCTG
Source organism: Homo sapiens (assembly GCF_000001405.40). Classification (NCBI taxonomy): domain Eukaryota; kingdom Metazoa; phylum Chordata; class Mammalia; order Primates; family Hominidae; genus Homo; species Homo sapiens. The sequence goes on from NC_000002.12 coordinate 98,537,609, forward strand.
ACTTCACCAGCACGTCCACACTTCCCTGTGGTGCGTGTCCGTTCAGACACAGCCCTCCACTGTGCCCCATGGTTTCCTTGTCTGTCTCGCCTGAGAGGAGCCCTGTGTGCACAGTGAATGCTGACTGACTGGTCAGTCAGCTCGGCCCTGCTGCCCCCAGGACCCTGATGACCCAGTACGGCTAGGGCTTTGTATTTCAGCAGAAAAGAAGCACAGTTGCAGCACCACTCATTAAAGCATGTTGTGCATCACAGGTCTGCAGAGAGTGACCGTGTAGGTAACATCACCGTGATTGGCTGGCAGATGGAGGAGAAGTCAGACCAACGGCCCCCTGTGACCCGGTCTGTGGACACTGTCAATGGGAGGGTGAGTTACACCACTTTCCTCCTCTCCCTTAGAAAGAGCAAGGGAATTAATCAGTAAAAATGCAGCCCTCGTGGACTTAGCCTCTGTGCTCAGCAAAGGGCAGGGCCTGCTGCTTGATGCTGCTCCCCACGGACACTCCGGTCCTCCTTAGGCACACCTTGAAGCAGGAAAAAGGGCTCCTGCCTGTAAAGCCCTGCTGCCCTGGAGCCGGCTTCTGTTCTGGGTGCCACACTGGCCAATTCTAGAGGGCAGGAGTGAGTGGGAAAGAGCCCTACTGGAAGAACTGCAGTCAGGGGGCAACTTGGGTGTGGAGGGTGAGCAAAGAGGCATTTAGGACCCAGGTCATCTGTCCTGTTTTAATACCTTCCTCTCCCAGACACATGCATGCCCTGCAGTCTCCTGGTGCACACCTTCACCTTTTCACATCCTCCCCTCTTCCCTGGTCCTCCTCCCCCTCTCTAGCTACACCCTCCTGCACCCACTGTCATGCATAGTCTCTCACACAGACACTCAAAGAAAAATTCTAATTTCAGAGCCCTAGCGCTGGTAAGTAGTCATTGTTGTACAATACAGAGATGTCTCATTTCACCCAAAATAAGCCCAGAATGTTAGTTCTGGAAATATCCCTTGGCATCATCTATTCTCTTCCTTTTCGTTTTTACATCAGAACACTGACACACAAGGTGAAGTGACTGAGAAACCATGCATGCCTAGAGAATTGTGTGCGCATGAAGTGATTCAACACACTGGGAGGTGAATGACTTTGTGGCTTGGGCAGCATATTTATTGTAGAGTTCATGGTGGATATTCATCTTAAGACTTCTGTTATGATGTATTTAGGCCACTGTTTCTGCTGAATGTTCTGGAGTCATCTGAATCTCACAGTTTTCTTGTGCATTTCCTTATACATTATCAGATGGTTCTTCCTGTCGATGAGAGCTTGACGGAGGCGTTAGGAATCCGATCCAAATACGCTTCATTGCGAAAGGACACTTTGCTGAAATCGGGTAAACAGCTTCCTCCTTTGGTATTCTTGCCTCTCTAGTGAGTATCCACTTGGGCCCGCAGTCCCCTTTGCTCCCCACCTGCTGCGATTGTCCCAGCCATGCACCCTAATTGTCACCTCTCTGCTGCTTATCATTGTGTTCTTTTTGCAGCATATAAAGAGTTATCACAAAAAACAATTATAATTTTCCTTGAAAGAGGATTAAAAAATAAAAAAGAATTAGTAATACTCCAAGGAAGTAATACTTCATCTCACTCTTTTCTGTTTCACATTGGGGTTGGTGACTGACGACAGCCTCCCTGCCCCCAGCTGCTTGCACTTTAGAGTTAGTTACATGTTCTGGGACAGGAAGATTGCATGTTGCTGGGAAGAAATGTTCAGACCTAGCCACTTGGTGGGTTTTCGGTGTAAGCGTTTTAATTCCCATGAGATGAACAGTGAGAGGACTTGAGGTGTCACCATCCCTGAGGGCCGGGGGAGGAGAACCCATGAGGCAGGTCTGCAGCCAGTTCATTTGCAGCCTGTCTCCCTTGTCATCCCACCTCAGTGTTCGGTGGTGCCATCTGCCGCATGTACCGGTTTCCAACCACTGATGGTAACCATTTGCGGATCCTGGAGCAGATGGCAGAGAGCGTGCTCTCCCTGCACGTGCCCCGGCAGTTCGTGAAGCTCCTACTAGAGGAAGATGCAGCCAGGTGAGGCCACATGGAAGGACTGACTGTCCATCATACCCATGTCATGTGCCCCTTCCTTTCTGAGATATAGCGGGCAGAGCACTGGCATCAGATAGACTGGACTGCAAACACAGCCTCTCCCCCTGCAGCTCTGTGGCCTTGGCTTGCCTAAGCCTCAGTTTGCTCATTGGGATCATGGATTCCTGTGCAAGGATTTCATAAGACAGTGTATTTGAACCCAGATGTGTGCCCCACACTCAGAACCTCCTCTTTTCTCTTCTTTACTCTTTTTTTTTGAGACAGAGTCTTGCTCTGTCGCTCAGGCTGGAGTGCAGTGGTGCGATCTCAGCTCAATGCAGCCTCTTCTCCCAGGTTCAAGTAATTCTCCTGCCTCAGCCTCTGAAGTAGCTGAGATTACAGGTGTGCGCCACCAGGCCTGGCTAATTTTTGTATTTTTAGTAGATATGGTGTTTCACCATGTTGGTCAGGCTGGTCTCGAACTACTGACCTCAGATGATCCACCCACCTCGGCCTCCCAAAGTGCTGGGATTACAGGTGTGAGCCACCATGCCCGGCCTTCCTTCTCTTCTTTTCTTTCCCCTCTCACTGGTCCTTCAGAAAGTTAGAAATAACTGGTAATTGTTTGATCCTAGCTGCCCAGCAGTAGTTTTCTAGGTTAGGGTCATAGATAAGGGCTCCAGAAGACTGAGTATAACCTGTCAGCTCACTGTGGTCCCATAAGGGTCTTAACCCTTCTGCATCTCTCAACCCAGGGCATATTTTGTCAGTTCTAAGGTGAGGAGAAGCCCAACAGGTGGCCCAGGCCGTGCATATTATGTCCCCTGTCTCTCTCTGTTTTAATTTTGTGCTGCTGTAACAGAATGCCAGAGAATGAGTAACTTCTAATGATCAGAAAAGTATTTGACTCAAGGTTCTGGAAACTGGGAAGTCCAAAAGCATGGTACTGGCATCTGGGGAGGGCCTTCATGCTGCACCATCCTGTGGTGGAAGGCGTCACACAGCAAGAGCGCTCTTGAGAGAAGGCCAAACTTGCTTTTATAACAAACCCACTGTTGTAATAACCAACCCATTCCCATGATAATGACATCAATCCATTCATGAGGGCAGAGCCCTCATGACCTCGTCATCTCTTAAAGGTCCCACTTCTCAAAACTGTGGCATTCAGGATGAAGTTTCTAACATATGAACTTTGGGGGATAGTCTCAGATTGTTATTTCTCCTCCTTGTCCTCAAATGGTGTTAATTATAAACACAATATAACAGAAGCGTGAAAGAAAGCAAGGCAGCCAGAATCCTGCTGTTTTCAAAGAGCTATTTTGTTTAATTTTTTTACTTGGAAAAAACATCAAACTTAAAAATAAAGGGCAAGAGGCCAGGCGCAGTGGCTCACGCCTGTAATCCCAGCACTTTGGGAGGCTGAGGCAGGTGGATCACGAGGTCAGGAGATTGAGACCATCCTGACTAACACGGTGAAACCTCGTTTCTACTAAAAATACAAAAAATTAGCCGGGCGCGGTGGTGGGCGCCTGTAGTCCCAGCTACTCGGGAGGCAGAGGCAGGAGAATGGCGTGAACCCAGGAGGCGGAGCTTGCAGTGAGCCGAGATCACGCCACTGCACTCCAGCCTTGGTGACAGAGCGAGACTCCGTCTCAAAAAAAAAAAAAAAATGCAAGAAGAATGCAATGAGCACCTAGATATCTTTCACCTAAAATCACCAATTGTTAATATTTTGCCAATTGCTTTCTCTATATATGCACATATTTTAATATTTTAATTATAAAAATTTTCATTCAGCTTTGCCCATATTTGTGTATATTTACACAGTGGCAATCTACTTTTCCATGTATCTTCAGTTTTTATGTTTTAATTTCCCATTACATGGTGTATTATAACTTTAAAGAGTTTATTCATTTTTTGTTAGCTTGAGACAGGGTATTGCTCTGTCACCCAGGCTGGAGTGCAGTGGCACCATCATAGCTCACTACAGCCTGAAACTCCTGGGCTCAAGCCATCATCCTCTTACCTCAGCTTCCTGAACAGATAGAACTACAAGCACACACCACTATGCCCAGCTAATTTTTTCATTTGTTGTAGAGACAGGGTCTTGCTGTGTTGCCTAGGCTGGTCCCTAGCTCCTGGCCTCAAGTGATCCTCCCACCTTGGCCTCTCAAAAAGCTGGGATTCCAGGCATGACCCACCATTCCTGGCCAAGAGTTCATTCATTTAACAAGTGCTTTAGTTCAAGGGTTTTGTTGTTGTTTTTAGCAACAACCACATGTCAGGCACTGTTCTCAGTGTGGGAGGCTTCTTGGTGAGCTCAACGTGGATGTTGGTTGGAAACAGAACTGGGAACCTCACGCAGGAACTCCAGATGTTTCAGCGTGTGCTGGAAATGAAAAGGGAACTGTGAGAAGAAAGAGGGTGATCGGGGCAGGCCTCTGTGAGATGATGACATTAAACTAACACCTGAAGCATAGGAAGCCACCACATGAACACGGGCAGACACATTCCAGAGAAACTAGCAGCGGCCTGGCAGACAGCTGCTGTGCTCAGAGCGGCCTGAGGCCATGGGGCCGGCTGGCCACGTAGCCCTACCTGCTCTGGGTGTCCTTTTATATTAATTTTGCTATTTTAATAATAATAAAATGGCACAGCTTTTAAAAACAATTTAGACAAGTCAGATTTCCTAAGAACTTATGTAAAATTTAGCTTTTTTTCTTTCTCAAAGGAAAACATGAGTGCAGTATAAAAAAAAAATTGCAGAAAGGTTTTTAACTAAAAACAACTCGGGGCTCTACTTTCTGATCTACTTCCCGGAAGCAACCAATTTTTGAGAGTTTTAGTGTTTACTGATGTATTTCCACATATATGTGTAAAGTGTTCTCTTCATTAATCAATTTCAGGGATTAGCTACCGATTTTCTATGCTGAGGGTTTGGCCTTTTATACCTTCCCAGTCCCCATTTTCCTAATTTGGTTATGCTTTTTGTTTTTAAATCCATCTTGTGATTTTGCTGTTATGATTGTGTAGCTGTTCTTCATTGCTGAGCTAAGGAATTTATATTTCAGTTCTTATACAGGTTTTTTTTTTTGGAGATAACAATTCCTCTTTTTCTTCTCTTCTCTTCCTCCTCTTCCCCCTTCCCCCTTCTGTTACCCTGTGCCTCTGTCAAGCACACACATAAAGACAAGGTCAGGCCTGATTTCATCCACAGTGACACAGCGGGCCACTTTTAGGTTCAGACAGCTCCTCTCTTTTTTTTTTTTGAGATGGAGTCTCTATTGCCTAGGCTGGAGTGCAGTGGTGCGATCCTGGCTCACTGCAAGCCCCGCCTCCCAGGTTCACGCCATTCTCCTGCCTCAGCCTTCCAAGTAGCTGGGACTACAGGCGCCCACCACCACGCCCGGCTAATTTTTTGTATTTTTTAGTAGAGACGGGGTTTCACCATGTTAGCCAGGATGGTCTCAATCTAGCTCCTCTCTTACATAGACACGGAAGGAAGAAGAATCAGAGGTGCCAGCTCCCATGGTCTTTGTCCCGTACCCAAAAAGGATGGCAATGAGACAGAAGGGCTTGTGACTGCAGCAGGATCTGTGGTATTCCGCTGCTGAGGAGCCAACTCTAGGCTGCAGCTGAGCGGTTTTAGATTCTGCGGCTCCCCTATCCGGGAGGGCAGAAGGCCCATACCTCAGGAGAACCTGGGAGGCAATGAGAAGCGCTGTCCTGATAGCCTCCTAGGGGAGATGACGAGGCAAGCAGGAGGTGGCTCATTGCGATTACTCACAGCCTGCAGTCCTCTCTGTTCCGGGAGGATCACACGTTGTTTTGCCCAGACTCAGGTGGGCTGTGGTTTGAGCCTGTGCTTGAGGGCACCTGCAGGTCGTCAGGGTAAAGCTTCTCCCTAGCAGCCTGTCTTCTTCTCCCCACCTCCACTTAGTTTCCCTTGAACATTAGACTAAATTCCCGTGAAAAGCTACTCTGGACACACTGCCACGTGGTCAGTGGTCTGCTTTTCATGTAGCTGTCTGTCCTCTCCTCCAACCCAGTTGCCCTTTAGACAGGCAGTGTAACCATTGTCCTGGCCTGCCCTGGGCATCCATGATACTTCCCCTGCAAATGCTGTTGTCCTGGGTAGACCTCCTGGGCCTCTCTGGGGAAACCAGTTAGCCCACAGCCTGATGCATCTGTGTCTTGCTTTCAGAGTGTGTGAGCTGGAGGAGCTGGGAGAGCTGTCCCCTTGCTGGGAGAGCCTCCGGCGCCAAATTGTCACCCAGTACCAGACCATCATCCTCACATACCAGGAGAACCTGACCGACCTCCATCAGTACAGAGGTGGGTGCACCCCCATGCTGTCACCACACACGCGTGCGCACACACACACACACACACTCTCACTCTCACTCAGTCACTCCCTCTGCTTTCCCAGCCAGGGATCTGGAACACAGGGTCACTTACACATTCCCACTGACAGACACTTTAATGGATTTTTAAAAATAACTTCTTATGTAGGTGTGAATTCTTTCAAATATGGGTTTTTCTGATCTTAATTAAAAAGACAAATCTGTGAATTGCAGTGAAGAGTCCTCCTATGGTGTCATCTACCAAAACAGCCACTGTGGAATGAAATTTAGGGGAGGCGAAATCCCGGGCTATTACTGCTTCATGTTGTTTCTTCATCTTGGACTAATGTCAGTATAGGATGTACTAACAGAAAGGATGTAGGCCACTCGCCTTGAAACAAAGCAGTTTTTCTTGATTTCCCAGTTTAAAGAGTCAGTGGTAACTTCTATTAAACATATGAATTGTTAAGGGGTAACTCTGTATTTTAAGGCTCAGAAAACAAAATGGAGTGTGAATGAACACCTCACTGTTTCTCCTTGAAAGATGCCATTTGATTTTCAAAACACTCTCAGGGCAGATTTGGAAATCTGTTCTTGTTCCTTTTTTATTCCAAGTGGAATGAATTTTTTGGTTTTTCATTACTCTATATATTGCTTTAGCATTTTGAATTATTCTCTATTTTTGGATTCTTCCCTTTGATTCTTTTACATAATGGAATTTCAGGGTTTAAGGAAAACCATAAGCCCTTGATGTGGTTTTGACACAGAACATGTGAACCCATCCATAAACTTGAATGAGAAGAAGCCAAATGCAGGACTAACAAGGAGGTGTTGCTTAGGCTTGATGTGAGTCTGAAGAGAGGGTCTGAGTATGTCACTAGGAGAAACGGCAACATTTGCCCAGGAAGGAACCAAGGGACTCACCCATGCCTGATGCCTCTTACCTGGGAAAGTGTGGAACCCACACAACCTTGAGTTTTCTAGAGCAGAGCTTCTCAAATGTCACTGTGCACCCGGATCCCTTGAGAATTGTGTTGAAGTGGCAGTCTGGGATTGTGCCTTTCTCACAGGCTCTCGGATGCTCATGGTGCGGTCTGTGGACTGCACCCTACGTATCAGGCCATAGAGAGCAGTCTCCTATGGCAAATTGGAGAACACAGTAGCTGGTCTGTGATTCATATGCTGGCAGTATCAGTGATATTTTTCACTAGATGAAACGTTTATTTCTTCTACTCTCTGGTTGTCAGTTTAATTTGTAATCCCTTTATTTTGTAGGCATGTGATTCTCCATTTAATTAGTTATGGATTCTGATTATAGAAACAAGATTGTGCATATTTGTTATAAAATAGCGTCCAGGCTCCTTAACCAACCAGGCGTAAACAGGGAAACATTGTATTTTGTGTGTCAGAAGGCCGGAATCAATGCTATATTGCATTTGTTATCTTGATGGGCCTGCAGGGATGAGAAGGCCTCTTCATCACTTTCGAGAGTTGAGATGTATTGCTCTAGCCAAACCAGATTCTTAGCTCTTTGATGATGGCGGTCTCTGGAGTCAGAACAGGCAGTCTCTGGCGTGGACCCCTTTGCTTATTATAGTAGTGCTGACATTGTGCTGCACAGAATCACATTTTTTGTATCAGATCTCTCAGTAGAGAGCTGAGTCACGGAAGGCGCAGCATCGTTACCATAGCTTTTTGAAGCCGGTTCTCCCTGGCACCATTCACCACCTGAGCACCCAGAACCAGCTCTCCTGACCAGCAGGCTGCCCTTGGCATCTCACCCACCTGCCACCTGGAAATGAAATGTGCTCATGGCAACTCAGAATCTTCTAGGCCACTGCCGACATACCTGCTTATATGCCACAGCATCCTCTGAATTCCATTTTCTACTTGCAACTCGTGAATGCAGCATGTATGCTGATGGCCTTTATCTTCTCCTATTCCATTTCTTAGGGCCCTCGTTTAAAGCAAGCAGTTTGAAAGCAGATAAAAAGTTAGAATTTGTTCCCACAAACTTGCACATACAAAGGATGAGAGTTCAAGACGATGGAGGATCAGGTACCTATTTTTCTGCTCCCTCTTGTTGAATCACATTTCGCTGCTTTTCTCTGTGGGTACTTGGTCCCTGAGTACCCCACATCTGCCCATTTCCCTGTGTGCTCTGGGCGGCTCGGAGGAGAGATTTGTCACAAGGACCTTCAAAAGGTTTCTGATAACAGCCCACACCCCTTCCTTTTGTCTCTCCTCACTCTAGCTTCCCTTTGTATTTCTGCAGTAGAAAGTTGCCTGTCGGCCCTTCTTCCCAAGGAGGGATGCAAACGGGAGTTACAGGGTGGCTTCCTGCAGCCCTTGTGGCTCCACTTGAAATGTTTTAAACCCCTTGTTGCTGAGGTGATGGCACTGGGCTCCAGCAGACCCTTGGGCAGCCAGGGCTGTGGGATCAGGGGAACCAAAGGCTGTACAGCAGTGGGCTGGAGGGTCAGGACCCCAGACTTGTGTGCATATCCCTATAGCTGGCTTGTCCACAGGCCTGAGCCCAGAGTAATGGAGGAGAGCTTTCTGTCATTCAGATCAGAACTACGACATCGTCACCATTGGGGCGCCAGCAGCACACTGCCAAGGTTTTAAGTCAGGAGGTCTCCGCAAAAAGCTGCACAAATTTGAAGAGACCAAGAAACAGTAAGTAGCCAGAGAGGGTTTGTGGTCCTTGTACAGCTTTCTGATGCTTCTTTTCTCAGTTTAAAATAAAATCAAAATATGACCGCAAAAACACCCAGCCATCTGATCTGCTTTTGCGTGGCAGGAGGATCTGCCTTATGGAGCCTGTGCTGCTCTGTTTATGTGTGACTGAGCTGGGTGGGTGATGAGGGCACTGGATCAATGGTCCTGTCCTGCAAAATGAGGAGCAGATTGTGATCCACCTCAGAAGTGGTGCTCCAGGCAACCGCCCTATGTAGACTCTGCTGGCTTGGCATCCTTTAGAGTCCCTGGCCAGTCAGTTGAGCACCATAGGCATCGAGCCTGGAGCATGTTGTTTCCTAGAGGACAGCAGTGGTAAACATTCCCAGTTTTTGAAACATTCAGGGGGCTGTACAGAGCTACTGTCCTGAGCAGGAAATTTCCAGGTAGGGAGGGTGGTGAAGGGCATTTCAGACAAAGACATGGCAGAAGCATTGCACATGGTGAAATGTGGCCAGGTGCACAGTGCTGGGGGCGGAGAGCTAAGAGGACTGGCCTTGCTGCCAGCCTGCTCTGTGACCAGAGTTACAGCCCCCAGCAGATCTAGGCCTGGTTCCAGGAGCTCAGGGCCTTGCCTGGGAGTAGACAAGTCAGCAAGCACCATTTGGCATGAACAGGGCCTGAAACAAGCATGCTGAGGATGCTGGGGTGCATGGAGCAGGGCATCCACCCAGCCCCCAGGGGTGGGAGGGAGAGAGCCAGAAATAAACCCAAGCTGTTGTGTTAGATGTGCAGGAGGCATTGATGATCTTCCAGAACATCACCTGTGAAGATTTCAGTGGCTCAGGAAGTGGGGGTGATGAGTGTAGATGACCAGTAAGATCCTTGGACTGTGACCACAAAGTAGAGGAAGTAGCATGAGGTGTTTGGTTTAGGGAGAATAATTATGACTTAGCATGTGTTTGGGCTGATAGGAAAGACAGAAGTGGATGAGGTAAGGTGAATGAGAGGAAAACAGTGTTAGAGCCGGGTTCTCACAGGATGGAAAGAGGCAAGAGCAGGTGTTCATCAGAAGGGCCAGGAGAAGAGGTGGGGCTGCAGAGAGATGTTTGAGGTGGGAAGGAACAAGCAGAAGCATCCGTCGACAGCCTCTGCAGCATGTGGGCTGGGGAGGGTCAGACTCAGCAAGCAAGCATGGAACAGCGTGAGGGAAGGTGAGCAAAGGCCCAGGGAGCGTCACAAGAATCCCATGGATGGTCAGGTGAAGAGCTCTGGCATGTGCCATGGAGCTGGTGGTTGGCACCTGACTGTGCTGCCATGGCTGGGAGTCAGGACGTGATCTGAGAAAACTGAAAGAGGTGAAAGGTCAGATCAGTGGCTGAGGGGGTCAGGGAGGCAGCTAGGGGCGTCACTGATCATGGGCAAGGCTGAGCAGGGAACGGAAGAGCGTACCCTGTGAGAAGTCACCATTCAGATACGTGCACAGGCTGCCTGGGTGGGCCCAGAGCCCGGTGAGTCCCGGAGGGAGGAGAAACAGGGAAGGGGAATTCAGGCCCCCAGACAACCTACTTGACTTTGATTCATTCCCAGGGGTGCTTCCCTAAGACAAACCAGGTAACCAGACCTGTCTTAGGATTTGCTGACTCCAGGTCCCTTTGGGAAATAGGAAGAAGACGCAGCTTCCTGTGCCACCGCAGCTCTGCACAGCCAGCCAGAAAGCGTGTCTGTCGCTCCATTGCATGTTGCCCTGTGGAGAGTGTGAGCGTGCAGCTTGAGATGGGGTGGGGCCCTGAAGGAGAACCCATAGTAACTCTGGCCAGTCAAGAAGGGGGCCTTCTGGGGGTCTTTGTCCCAGGAGGCTTGGGGTGTTGATTCCTGATAACTCTGCATGTTAACTTTAGAATTTATTTCTCAAAATACCTCTTAGTATTTTTCAAATATATAAGTTTCTATTTAATTTCTCACTAATGCCATCAAGCCACTTATAGATATGGTATTCATGATTTGAACTTTCCTTTAAATGCGGAGGTAACTTGGCCTGAGGTGGGATGTCTCCCTGGGGCTTGAGCACAGGGAGTGACGCTGCTCTAAGGAATAAGCACATTGGGCTCATGATTGTAGTCATCCCTGTAGTTGGGACCTCAACAAATAATTTTAAGTATTTTGACAAAAAATAAGTTGGCTTTTTAATTTTTTGTTTTTGCATTTGGTATTTGCTAACAAACTGCTAATATTTCATTTTGGTTCTTTTCTTTAGCAGTTTTGAGGAGTGTTGGTGAGTTTTCTGTCTGTGGAGAGAGTGTCTGTTTGGGTCTCGTCCTCATGCAGAGAAAGCTTGTGCCATCCCCACACCTCCTCCTGTGGGCTTCCCCTGCGGTGCTGCCATGGTTCCTAGTTATACACCTCATAAACAGTCCTCCCTTCCAACTGCAATGTTCTTTAATAATGAATAGCCAATCTTCAGTCTGCTGTTTTACCTTTAAAACCTGGCAGCTGGGTGTTGTCGTACTCACTCTGAGAAAGGACCTAGTTCTGTTTCTCCCAGGAAGAGGAAGGGCCCGACCCAGGAAGCCCCTGGGTGCTGGGTTCTCATGTCAGCCCCTGGGTGCAGCTGGGAACTCCTGTCTTCTTATACAGGAGTCTTGTGGCTTTTCAGTTTTCACTTCACTATTACCTCTTATACAAATGAAGCCAGCCTACATCTTCATGATGCTTATTAATTTATGCTGATTTTAATAACACTGTTACCAAGGTCAGTTTTACCCCTGGGGGTGGGTACAAACCAAGATTTAATACAACTGAGTGACTTTTTCCACCAGATAATTAGATGACAGTTAGAAACCACGGTGTCTGCTGCCTGGGCTTCTCTACTGCTTCCCCAGGCTCATAACAGAGGCTCTGCAGTGGTGCTTCATTCAGAGGCACCTGCAGCCCCTCAAGAAATGCTGCTGCCTCAGAGCCTGTGACCCATGGGGCTCAGGGGCTATGGCTGGGCCCTGCTGGAGGTGTCAGGCTCTGCTGGTGGCATCTGACAGGAGGAAGCACTGAGGACATTCCCCGATGTCCAGGCTGAGGCCTCTCAACTTCCCCCTGGGGGTCCTTTTCCCTGGGGGTACTTTAGGTACAAGGGAGGGAGGAGGGCATCTAGGGACGGTTGCTGCTGCTCCTGCCTCCTTAATGGAGCAGACCCATGCTACTTCTGTGGAAGTGGCCTCTCAGCCTCCCCTCCCTGCCTTTTCTCTACTGGGGACTCTTTCAAGGCCTGATCTTTCCCATAACGGGACAAGTAAAGTACTTAGGGGTTGAGTCTAGCGGGGCAGAGGAAGAGGAATGGGAGGGGAGAGGCCTTTGGCTTTACCAAGGAGCTGCCCCCAAGGCCTGCTCCTTGGTAAATCCCAACCCAGGTGTTTTGGGTTGAACCTTGTTCCTGGGGAACTTTCTGCGTTCCTGGGTTCCCTCTGAGGACCCTCCATAGCCCAATCTGGGCCTGGTCACCCCTTGCCGTCTCCCCCCTGCTCCCCATATACAAGACTGTCCCTGAAGCAGGGAGGGGATGGAGCGGGGAGGGTTACAGGCAGAAGGAGTGTCCCTGCCTGGAGACTGTGAGGGGCTAAATCCCAGGCAGAGAGGACCCAGCCTCCCAATCCTCCTACCCTTGCAGAACCCAGCTCCATGGGGGCTCAGCCTCTGCAGAGGTGATCCTGCTCTTCTAATGTCCAGAGTGACTGTTGCTCAGCAGTTACCAGCAGTTCCTGGCCAGGGCCACAAGACTCCACCCTTACGCTCTCATGGCATCTTCAGTTTAGCCCATGACCCCAGCTCTGGGTAGGTCCGGGTCTGGGGTGGGGGCCTAATGCAAAGTCCAAGGGCTATACCTAGGATACTGCCTCCTGGGGCTGCCCCTAGGCTTCATGTCTACACCTCCATCCTGCCGCCCTCATGTGGCTGCCTGGTTTTTAAAACTAGGTAGTTGAGCACACATGCTTGTATTTTCCTCATCATCCTAAACAGCACCTCTTTGAAATTTGCCTTTTCTTGCCCCTGCCATGTATATCCCATGCATAAGTCCCAGGTATCATCATTAAAACATGACTTGTGAGAATACAGGGCAAGTATAGGGTAGTGCTTTTCTCTTGGCCTGGGCAGAGGGTATGTATTTGTTGAAGGGTACACAGCCACCTCCTTACACAGAAGTAGATCTACATACAGCACATTTTATATATGTACTCTAAATATTGGGGGCCTGGGAAGAATCCTTTTTTTTTTTCCACTGTTTTTGGAGTCAGGGTCTTGCTCTGTCACCCAGGCTGGAGTGCACTGGCACCGTCATAACTCACTACAGCCTCAAACTCCTGGGCTCAGTTGACCCTCCTGCCTCAGCCTCCTAAGTAGCCAGAACCACAAGCACAAGCCACCATGCCTAGCTAATTTTTAAATTTTTTTAAAAGGTGGGGTCTCACGATGTTGCCCAGGCTGATCTTGAACTCCCAGGCTCAAGCAATCCACCCACCTTGGCCTACCAAAGTGCTAGGATTATAGGCCACCATGCTTGGCTGAATTGATTTTTTAAAATCCTATTTTGAGATTGTCTTTTTAAGATGAAATGGTCTTAGAAGGCAGCTATTCATTTGGAAGAGTGATTGCAGATTGGAAAGTAGTGTGCACATCATGCTGTGGAATGACTCCTGTTGTGCCCCACGAGCTTGAGTGCGGTCTGCTGCATGGGCTTCTGGCACATCCATTGTTTTTTACTGTGGCGTGTGGGCTTGTGGTGGTGGTGTTTCTTTCCGGGGTGCTTTGGTTTTCGGTTTTTGCATGTTTGCCACATAATCCAGCAAGGGAAGGGGTAGTGGTGGTTTCTTGATGAACCACTTTGGGACTTCCCTGGGAAGGGGCCAATGGGGAAGATTCTCAGCCCTGACCAAGGTGACTGTCATCTCCAGGGGAAGTGATGGAGGATGTGGTGAGAGGTGCCCTCGCTCCTCCTCTCTCTCTCTTCCCCAGAATTCAAAGGGTAGCCCTTTAGGGACCAGTCAGGACCCCTCATCCCATGAGCGAAGGGACACCCATTCTACCCAGAGCTCACAATTTCAAATTTTAGGAGGAGACCTCTGCATTGGTGGCTTGTACTTCTTCCTGCTTTCTTCAGCTTCCTCAGATGGTCTGAAAAATAAATTTATAATATTGGATTGATTGGGATCAGGCTAAGAGACATGCAATTTATCATCACCGTTTAGTTGGACCCAACACACTGGCCAGGCCCCCACAGCGGGAGGATGTGAAGTTGGTCTTTCAGAGCCTCCTGATTGTGCTGGGAGGGGCTGGGCTGTAGGCTTGGCATCAGATCCCTAGACACACACGCTGCTTGGTGGCGAAGAGGTGGGAAGGAGGGAGAGCCAGGGTTACAAAGCCACTGAGGAGTCCGGCTTTGCCTGTGGCTTGGCATGTTCTCCACTTTTTCTTCATTTGATGAAACGTTATTTTTCAAAGTAGGGAAGTCCTGGAGCGAAGGAAAGGGAAAGGAAACCCCATTTTCTAGGGACTTGCTGGGGTCAGACATGAGAGGAAGGACGACTGTGGGTATGTTCACAGGGAGCTTGAATGCCTGATTGGCCAAAAGAAAAAATAGGTTTTGGTTGTTTGGGGACAAAGTCTAACACCCACTGCAGTCTCTGCTACACTGTGATAACCTGACCCCTTCTTCTGTAAATGGCCTCTATGTCTCCACTTAAGTACTGCTTATAAGTTAATAGATGAGGTTGTGAGGTGGAAGATTACGATCATTTGGGTGATTATGGGATATGATTGTTCAATACCTGTTCATACATTTACATACACAAGTAAAAATACAGATACATGCAAATACAGATAAAAGACTGAGTCATAGTTTAATATTTCAAGCTCCTGCCATATAGACAGGAAGAATCTCCTAAGATATACTTTGCTCATCAACAACTAGAGTAGCTTGAGAGAACATCCCTGAGTCACAGAACACTTCATCTTAGGGTCAATTGTGGCTGGGGTTGGAATGATGCTGTCATCCTTTTCAGATTCTGGAGAATCCCTTAGAATCCATTCTTATCCTTTCCAGTACATCATCTGGCTGCCAGTCCATAATCTACATACCCCAGGATGTTGTCAGAGCCAAGGAGATCATCGCCCAGATCAACACCCTGAAAACCCAAGTGAGTTACTACGCAGAGCGGCTGTCAAGGGCAGCCAAGGACAGGTCTGCCACTGGCCTTGAGAGGACACTCGCCATCTTGGCAGACAAGGTAGGAGGGGTGCCCTGCTACATATGGGCTGGGGAGTTTCCTTGGGTTTCTGGAAGCCACCAGGCAGCCCAGGTGTACCTAAGATGGTCCACAAAGAGCGTGACATTGGGATGACTTTGAAGGTCTACCTTAGGTCCATTTCGCACAAAGGCCCAGGGAGGTTTTGTGATTTGTCCGCAGAGCTGGACAGACCAAGGGCAGAGCCCAGGGCTCATGACTCTTAGGTGCAGCTTCAGGCACATGTGCCCTTCAGCAAGTCCATGGGGCTCATTTTGTTGAGGGTGATACAGTTCCACTTCTTTCTCAGTAACAGCCTAACTAGCACTTTTTTTTTTTGGCCACATTTCTATTTTAGTTGAATTTGAAAACAGAAACTGAGCTATTATACAGACATAAGAAGAATATAATTTTATTGGCTTACATATAGTCAGTAAACCAGCTTCTACTTAGCCATAACTTGATCCTGGTTTTAAAATATGTAAGTATTAATCCCTACTGAGGAAGTGGCTATTATCAGACCCTTTTGATGGATGATACTTTTCCCCATTACTTGGTCTCTCTCTCAGCGCACACAAACACGCTCTCATACACACACACACGCTCTCATACACACACACACACCCCAGATTCTGACTATACCTCCACACTCACACTCACTGTGCTGTTGAGCTGCTGTTCCTGATCAGAATGTGTTATATCCTTCACAGGTGTTCACACAGCATAGAGTGTGAGGTGGGGATTAGATCCCCTGGAAAAGAAAGATGTAGTTGTCAGCAGTAACATTATGAACCACAGAACCCGTGTTGCATGCAGAATTCTCCAAAACCAGACATGTTGTGCCAGGAGGCCAGCTACCCAGAACCCAGAACTTGAGGTATTAGATGCTGAGGAACAAAAGATAAGACTTACACAATTGAACCAAAGTAAGGCCTGACCCCTGGACACTTGTTCCCTGGAAGGTGGAAGTCTGTCAAGGCTGGGGCAGTGGGCTCTCTCTGCAGGCCCCTCCCCTAGCAATCACAGGTCAGAGGTAGGCAGGGATCAGAGAATGTCAGAGATTTCTCAACCTCTTCTCTTCCTTGGTGGGAAATTCTTGTTAAGATTCAGCCCAAGTGGGCCACATGGCAGTCTTTGTACTCAGACATCTTGAGGGATGTAGCCCTTCAGTTGCTTTGCACTGTGGAGAAAGGCAGAGGGGTGCAGTGCTGGGCTTTAAGCCCATTCTCCATTTCTGAGATAAGGCAGGGGCCTCCCCAGCCCCTGGCCTGGGCTCAGCAGCCTTGGTTTGTGTGCACCTGCAGACACGGCAGCTGGTCACGGTCTG
Source organism: Homo sapiens (assembly GCF_000001405.40). Taxonomy (NCBI): domain Eukaryota; kingdom Metazoa; phylum Chordata; class Mammalia; order Primates; family Hominidae; genus Homo; species Homo sapiens. The sequence goes on from NC_000002.12 coordinate 98,554,294, forward strand.
CGACTGCAAGCTCCTGGCCAACTCCATCCATGGGCTGAACGCTGCACGGCCTGACTACATTGCCTCCAAGGCCTCTCCCACTTCGACTGAGGAGGAGCAGGTGATGCTTAGAAATGACCAGGACACCCTCATGGCCCGGTGGACAGGGAGAAACAGCCGATCTTCCCTGCAGGTGGACTGGCACGAGGAGGAGTGGGTGAGTCTGCTGCTGTGGCTGTCATCCCACTGCTGAACTTGGGCTGAAAACCACAAAACCTGTTGCCAGTCTCTGCCCCTCTGAAGTGCCTCAAGGTTCAACTGCTGTGAACAAGCTCCAGGTTTCCTTCCTGGATGGCTCCTTGGCTCCTGATGCAGGGAGGGAGGAGACTGTTTTCAAACCCTTGTGTCCAGATAGGGGTAGGGCTGTGCTGGGGGCTGGGCCAGCCTCAGACCTGGATGAAGAGGAAGACAAGTGGGTTTTCCTCCCGTGTTGGAGGTCTCTCCTTCCCCTGCCTCCTGTGCCTTCTATGGCCTTGGGATGCTTGAGACCAGTCAGTGCTCTGTTTGCTGTTAGATTTTCCAGGGCTATGTGTATTTGGGGACGTGGGAGCTCTGGTGCTGGGGCAAGTAGATATGGATTTTGGAGCTGCCGCCCTGACATTACATCACATTATTGTTCCTCAGAGAATTGGCCCTGGGAGCAGGATCTGTGTTTCTTGAGGGAGTGACACATTGTACAACTTGTTTTTACCATTTATTGAGACTACTGCTTAGAGGCATTGTTCTACAAGCACTGAACTATTAATCAGCAGCAAAGTCCCATCCTATACACTGTGCGTGTTTCTGCAAATCACTCCCAGACCTTCCTCTCCTCCTCCCCACCTCCCCTATCGAAATTTCTGTTCCCTTCTATCAAAAGGAGGCCTCCATTTTGTCTGTGTGTGATGATTGTAGGAAGTCTGCAGTGGCAAGAGGAGGAGATGAGACAGTGCCCTGTGGCCTTTCAGGCAGCACTGGAGGGCCACCTGGCCTCCAGAAGAGTTACTAGCAAACATCTCCCAAACTCTAAAAACAATGGCCGCAGGACATCGATTCATCGTTGAAAAGCAAATGCAACTTTAGTGGGGAATTAGGAATCATCTTTATATTTCTAAACTTTGAGGTATTTTAACAAGTGTGGAAGCCTAGGGCAGGGGATCAGTGGAGGGCGATTTGGTTTGTGTTATGTTTGTGTTTCTGTTCGGGAGAGCTGACCCACATGGGCCCCTTTGATTTGGAAGGAGAAAGTGTGGCTGAACGTGGACAAGAGCCTAGAGTGCATCATTCAGCGTGTGGACAAGCTGCTGCAGAAGGAGCGGCTGCATGGCGAGGGCTGTGAGGATGTCTTCCCCTGTGCAGGCAGCTGCACCAGCAAGAAAGGTAACCCGGACAGCCACGCCTACTGGATCAGACCAGAAGACCCCTTCTGTGATGTCCCCTCCTCACCATGCCCCTCCACCATGCCCTCCACTGCATGCCATCCTCATCTGACCACACGTGCGTATGCATCCATGCTTCCCATATGCTGCCTCCATTTCACCTTGTGCTGCTTCCATTTGTCTGTGTCTCTGACTCCATGCCCTCCTCCCCCATGCAGACTGCAGGGAGGGCTGCCAGGTGGAGCGGGGGCGTCCCAGTGCATGGAGCAGCAGGCAGTGAGAGCGGAGTCTCCGGTTGCCTTTCCATGTAACTGGAGCCCATGTGTGATTCTGCATCTCTGCCAGTCAGAATCTCAGGGTCCTCTTGAGATACACCACCATGGCTATAAGGGTTGGGCTCCTGGGCTTTTCAGGTTTGTAAAGCAATCTGAGAACCTGAAGGAGGCCAGGATGCAGATGCCTTTCTGATGTGATTGTCTATGGCATTAGGAATTGGTAGAATGAAAGGGGAAAGGGGAATTGTTCAGGGACACAGCTGGATGAGAGATATTGGCAGGTCCAGTGGACATGTCTAAAAGCTGGTTGGCATTGGCTGGGCACTCTCTTATGCAGCAGAGGCATGTTGCCTTGGGACTTGGTAACACAGAGAATGGGACCCTGTTCCTGGGCTTCTGGTGGTCTGAGTCAGGTGGTTTGGCAGGACCCTTCAGGGTAGGACACTGGCATGAAGCAGCATGCTTCAGAACAGTCTCCTGTCTGCAGAGACACAGCATACCAGGACACTGTCCTGCAGATGGCCTTAAAGCTGGGAAACAGTCCCTGCAACTGAGATGTCTCCGCCTTTTCCTGTAAGAGCCATAGAGTTACAAGCTAGGCAGCTGAGACTTGCCCACAGACCTAGCTTCTGCCTCCTTTTTGTTCTCCTGTGGGAGTTTTAAGTCATAGTAGGTAAGGCCCAGATGTGCTGGGATTAAGCTTCATGTGATGAGGGCTTTTAAATTCTGAATTGGAGAACTTCCATTCAAGGTATAAGCGTGCCTCTTGGTCAGAGCCTCTTGGCAAATCCCCCTTCAGGTTGTAAGATGCCCTTTGCCTCTTTACTCTGCCTGCAGTCTGTTTCCAGGGCACTGTCTCACTTGAGCCTCTGTCTCGACAGTTATCACGTCACCCATCTCTCCATCTATGGGGGATTATGGTTTCACTTCCCCACACCTGTGATTGGCTCATGGAACTATTTTGTCTCTATTCATGTTCTCTTTTTTATGTGAATCGTGTTCCTTTTTAAAATTTTCTGAAAATTCATTGTTTATTTCTTTTTACTTTATTATCTTGTTTGTGATTTTAAATTTTTCTACAGATAATGAAAAGGGTAATTTATTGGCTGTTTTAAATGTGGGAGCTAGTTTATTTCATCAGATGGGATTATATCCCTAACTTAAGTGTCATTTTTTTTCTAGGCACATCCTGTATTGTTTAAATATAGATACATTTTTATTCAGTTTTAAAGTTAGTTAAGTGAGCATTTATATATGCTATTTAGGGTTTGACTTGCGTGTGCCATAAAAATCAGCTGTTGTAATAATGGGAATGTGAAGCTTACATTTGAGAGAGTCTAACTCTGCTGATCAGTACTCAAATGTATGAAACCATATGCCACCAAATTATCTGTGGATGGTCCTTAATTTAAACATCTTTAGCACAGCCAGGAAGCTGTTCAGTCCTCAGTGTAAGTAGGAGGATCAGAAAGAACCAGTCTGTGAGCTATTTATTTTGGTGAGTCTTGTCCACAGTGCCACAGCATGGCTCTGTCATGACTTTTTATACCATTCCAAGTTACTGGAGCCATTGTTTTGGCTTAATGAGCAGGTATGTTCACACCAACATATTTATTATGTGAGAATAACTCTGTACTGCTCTGAAAGGCATCATCACTTTTCATTCCAGTTCTCTACCCTGTCCTAGGTCCTTGGTTTTTATTTTTCACCAGGGAGCTGCCCTGCCTCAGAGCTGCCCTGCCCTGATCAGAGAGCACTGTCTGGCAGGTGAGGGTCACCCAGGGCCAAGGCCTTGTGGGGGACCCACTGACAAGTCCCTGCCAGCCAAAACCACAGAGGCTCCTCAAACTTCCCTTCTTCTCATCTCTCCAAAAGTCTCCCATCCCCCTCCACCCCCGCCTGCCAAGGTGCACCACTATCGCCCCACCAGGATTTGGTGGCTTCCACCGCCTTCCTCCTGTACACTCTGTTGCTCTCCTCATACCCAAAGAGATGGTTAGACCAAGTTTTTCTTAGTCTGGGGTCTATGGGTACACCCAGGTTCTTGTACCCCTGAGATTATGTGCTGGAATTTGCATGTGTGTACAGAGGAAGTCCAGAGTGGTCACCTATTCTCAACTCCATGACCTAAGACAAGTTACAAGCCATTATTCCAGGAGTACCAGAGAAGACCCCCTTTTTCTCCCCTTTGATTGAAAGATGAATTTAGCAAATTGGGTTTAATCCCTGATGCCTTCACAGGAATGGTCCCAACCTAGCTGTTTGGGATCACCACAGAAGCTCATAAAACAGGCTCCTAGACCTTCCTCCTCATTCATAAGCTCAGAATCCTAGAAGAGGGGTTATGGGGAGGCAAAAATCTGTATTTTTTCAAGGCCTCACATAACCTGATTAGCAGATCAATATGTAAGAGCCACAGTTCTATATCACTGTGGGTTTCTATCTTTGTTAGCAACATGGTCTCAGGGCATCTGGGTTAACGAAGAGGTCGAACTCTTGAACTTGCAGATGCCTTTGTATTCTCTTTCCCCTTTGCCAGTTTGAAAAGTCACTTCCAAAGACGATTAGAGAGGAAGGATCCTTTGCCCCTTCTTTACAACCTAGGTTGTAAAATCCCCATAAAGCTGGTTCTGGCTGTTCTTGGGGATCCGAGACCACCTCATTTCCACATCCTGAAGACATTGTTTGAACTGAAAAGCTCAGACATAAATTAACATAAATGTTTTCTTCCATGATTCCTTTTCAAACTTGTTTTCTCTTAGATGGTGCACCCAGTTAATGAGAAATTTTGGTTTTTAAGGGAAATACGAAATTGAAGTAAGTACATCCCAGTGTGACTTAGTATAGGTGAAATGGAATCAAAAGTGGTATTCTTTGAGGACCTGAAGGGACATTCTAATTGGAGACTACCCCTAAATCACAAAACTTAACATTTGTTTTAAATTTGGGAGATTGGCATAGAGTTTTTTTTGGTATACTGGTTTCATTCCTGGATCTTAACACTTTGGATCTCAGCAGTCGATCCTGAGCCCAGGCTTCCCCGGTGAATCAGAGCAGTGGGACTGACCGTGGAACACGCCGTGTACTGGTCAGTCTCTCTCCTTACAAGTTTGCTTCCAGATGCCGCAAGCCAACGCGGGGCTCTGCCACTACAATGTGATTTATGTGGGTGCTTTTTTCTGTGGCATTTATCACATTGTAATAAGCTAGATCGCACATCCCGAAGAGCATTTTATGTTGAACTATTGGCAACATGAATGTTTAAGCTGGGGAATCTGTCATTGTTTACCACTGAGAGGGCTTGGCTGCCTTGGAGCAGCCAGAGTACTTTCGTGAGCCTTCTTGGGGAAGAGGCAGCCAGGCACCCAGACCTCTTTTCTGTTTGTTAGCCGCCTTACTGCAAGCTGCTGACGCAGCTGCTGCTCTGAGATTGAGTTGCTTGGTTTGAACTGTGTGCTGCTCCTTAATCATCCATGTCGCCCTCCATTTCTGTGCAGATTGCAGTCCCCCTCCTGAAGAGTCCAGCCCAGGTACGTGGTTTCCGTTCAAGGCTCCTGCTGATGCCCTTTTAATTGATACTCAGGTAGTGTTTTGTAGCTAAATTACAAAAGATTGCCTTATGATCCCAGAGTTGGGAAAGTATTCCAGGACCTCCTTCGTTGTGAGGCATAAAACACTTTTCGCAGGTTTGATGAGGGACCAGTTGGGCTGAGGAAATTGTGGCCTGAGGCAGACTACCACATGTATTTGTTTTACTCTTACATTCTAAAGTCTTTACAGATGAGCGTGTTGGGCTTCCTGAAGTGGTTGACCTGAGGTAGGGAGGTACACATCTGGACTTCCTGGGTGCAGTTTTAGAATTCTTACCAGACATTGCTATGGGCCTCAGTTGCAGTTAGTACCAGAAATGTAATCTCTTTGCTTCCTTTGCATGTAGAAACCAATGTTTATGGTTCTAGTTCAGGGGTTGGCAAGCTACAGCTCTGAGCTAAATCTTGTCCACAGTCTGCTCTTATAAATAATGTTTTGTTAGAAACCAACCTTGCCCACTTGTTCATGTATTGTCTGCAGCTGCTTTTGTGCAGCAGTGCCAGAGTTCGTTGCAGCAGAGAACCCGTGGCCTTCAAAGCCTAAAATATTTACTGTCTAGCTCTTTACAGAAAATGTGTGCTGACCCCTGATCTAGTTCATATTGAGTTTCCTGGGTATGGCTTGTGGTTTTGAGCATGAGTCCCCCAAATAATATGATTTGATGTTCTTTTTCTTACATTCCAAAAATCAGCTGCATGGTCAGTCTATTGCTTGCATATTTCTGACTGGTTATAAATGTAAGACAGCAGGATACTTTGTTGATGTCTAGAATGTAGCGAGTCCATGACTGTGGGATTTACCAGGCTAACAAGCTATTCCTGTGCATTGCTAGTGAAGCCTGTCCACCCATACAGCCCCATGAGTCAGCATAGTGTGGCAGCTCCTGGCAGCAACCCCAGGACGCTCTTAGAAGTTAGCTCATTGGCGGGCTAATCTGATTGGACACCTCATACTCTCCCAGTTTGCTTTCAGCCCCTTCACAGTTTCTCTTTCCCCAAAAGTCAGTGTCGCTTTGAGCAGGCTTTGGGCCCCACCCCCTTGGACCCTCAAGGTTACTGAGGCCTTGGTAGATGTACAAACAGTTGATCTTGGTCTCCTCCTCCGTTGCCTCCCCGGGCCCATGCCTCAGCTGACCTCCACGGCAGGCCAGTGCCTTCGGACTGAGCTGGCTGTCGCCTGAGCCTCAGTGGTGCCCAAGCCTGGGGCCATACCCAGCAGTTAGGGCCAAGAGAGGGCTGGTGGCATGTGCATCTGCCCCCACAGAAGCTCAGGGGGTCTTCTCAGTTCTGGGCTCCTGAGGGTTGCAGAACTAATGGGAAGTCTCATGGGTCCCCGGGCAGCACACAGACAATGCCTGGCCTGTAGAGCCCTCCTTGTTGTGTGTCAGCTGGGACATTTCCAGAAGCACTGATGGCTTTTTCACAGTTGATGCTGATGGACTAAAATGGTCCTTGCAAGGAGTTCTTTTGGCTTTTCCTGGAGAACTGCATTTAATCTGGGCTAAAATATACACACTTACAAAGGCACACACACTCTCCCTTTCTCCCTCCCCTACTGATGAGGGGAAAATGCAGAAGCAAAGTACGGATTTGAAAGTGCTCTTCAAAGTTATCTAAATTAGTATGGCCCATGAATTCACTACCGGTCTGCGAACATTACGGGTTAGGAACTAGATAAGGAGTTTTCTACAAAAACGTGGGTCAGCGACGTCACTCAGGACATTGTTTCACTGAGCTGATTTTTTCTCATAACAAGGCTTTGTCAGTGAAGGAGGCAGAGTATAAACCCTTCACCGATTCCAGTGACCCAGGTGCCTTTACTTCACTAGATCCTGCGTGGAAATCATGTTACTGCCCAAGAAACTCACTTTGGTTGAACTTTTAAAAAATTGTTCCAGGCATGTCTGAGTCCTTCTCTGGGCAGATAACGACACTCACCTTCTACCAAGTTCCATATCTCCTCTTTTCCAGGACAAACATCTTAGTGCTTTTTAGCCATTCTTCCTATACTACAATTTTTTTTCATTTTTTTCCTAATGTAGCGAAGCAATCGTTCTCATAGGAATTTAGTTTAAAGAGATATAGGCAAAGTGAAAAAGTTGTATGGAGAGAGCTTGTTTAGTCAAGTAAGACCAGTTGTATATTTTGATCATTTTCAGATTAAAATAATCATGATTTTCATGATATGCATGACAGCTAGAAGAGCAAAGTAAAATTGGCAACATTTGCTTTAAGAGCATGTACTTCTTAGAGAAGGATAGTCTTAAAGACTGCCTGCCTTTCCCCAAACCGTTTGGCGAGAAAAACTTGTTTGCCTTTGGCATTTTTAATAGGCACTTCATATAATTGGCATACATTCAACAGAATTCTTCAAAGAAACAAAAACATGGTCTCTGAGAACTTTAGTGGAGGAAAGAGACTCGGACATTATCTAGTGCCTCTCTCTCATTTTATAAAAAAGGACCCACATGGCTGAGGGGTCGAGGGCCTTGCCTGTGGTCACCTCTGCTCAGCAGTGGCCGGGGCCGGGCCTCCACATTTTCCACCTCTCAGTTCAGTGTCCTTCGTCACCATGATTCATTTGCTAAGACCTGTCTGCTGTGGACTTGCTAAATTTAAGCCTGCTTTTTCCATTACAGATACAAATCCTGTCCACAAACAGTTAGCGTGCCTGCATGTACAATTAGGCCACCTCCAACTTTTGAGCTGCTACATATACTTAAACATTTGCATTAACCAAACACTGAGTGTAGGGAATTCTTTTATATGTTTCAGTATTTCTTTAGGTTGGTTTCTCAGTGAAGTGCTAACCATCCAGCTTGAGAGAACAGGGCCAAGCCGCCCTTCTCTCGGTCTCTGAGATTCTGTTTATCTAAGACAGAGTTTATCCTCTGGCAGCCGCACAGCTCCCACAGCCCATGGCCTTCCCTGAGTGCCGTGCCGGGACATGGCCTGGCGCATTCTGTGGCTCGAACCCTCACCCTAAGGGGCATGTACTGCCTGGGCTTCACTCCATGACTTCTCACCATGTTTGGTGTGGTGGATTCACCAAGTGGTGATGGTCACATGCCTATTTCTGGTCTTAATCACCTGTTACAAATATAACCTTAATGAGAGCCTGTCTTCTCTTTTAAATGTCTTCTAAATAGGAAGGAAAAAAAGAGTCAAAACCCAAAATATCTTTCACCCTGTTTTTCTCCCTTGAGGTTCTATTTTTAAAAAGTTGTTTTGGTATAGGGTCAAAGTTTCCCTATATTCCTAAAAGAAAACTAAGCTAGAAATAGTACTGGGGAAGGAAGGTGGGGGTGGGGAAGGAAGTGAGTGCAAGGTGGGGCCGTTCTGAGGGCTGAAAACTTGGGAGCTGTGGGGAATAGTCCTCCTCCAGGTGTGCAGGGGTAAGAATTGAACACAGTTGCACACAAGGCTTGGCAAGGGCAGAGGAGTCTCTGACTTGACTTTATACCCAGGTCAAGAGAAGGGAGATCACAGAGAACCTTTCTGGGTGTCCTTCCTCTCCGGGTGGAGGTGCTACAGGGCTGTGGAAGGAGATGGGCCTCTGGGGACAGAGCATTTTCTGGCCTCGTCATGACTTGCAGAAGCTTCTTTGTTGTTTTCCTCCGAAGGCATTGTCTTGAGTATTTCTGTTTAGGGTCCCCAACAGGTTCAGGAGACCAGGCATGTCTTGGAGGTACCGGAGTAGAACTGGTGTTTGAGGTTGCTGGAAAGAGCTGGGGCTAGAGGGCTAGAGGGCTAGAGACTGGGTTGGTTCCAGACAGAGCTGGAAGATGAGGTGGAGATGGGGGAGTGGGAGGACTGCAGTGGTTAGGGGCCAGGTGACTTGTTAAATTGCCAGAACCTAATTCTTAAAATCTCTCTCTCATTGTGATGACCCCTTCGCTTGTGCCCCAGGTGAATGGAGTGAGGCCCTTTACCCGCTGCTGACCACTCTCACCGACTGCGTGGCCATGATGAGTGACAAGGCCAAGAAGGCCATGGTATTCCTGCTCATGCAGGACAGCGCGCCCACCATAGCCACCTACCTGAGCCTGCAGTACCGCCGTGACGTGGTCTTCTGCCAGACGGTAGGCCCCGGGAGCACCCCGAGGGAGACCACGGGCACCTCTCAGCTCAGAAAAGACAGGCTTAGGAAGCCCTTCCCTCTCACTTCACTTGTAAAAGACCCCAGATGGCCATATTTCCTCCTGGTGGTGCTTTAAAGGTTATTTAATAGAGAGGTCTACATTTCAACACAGTCAGGAGAACTACCTTGGCAGCCCATGCTTGCTTCTCCCAAGGAACTGGCACCTGCAGAGTCTGCCGATTCTGCACCCAGGAGATAGTGAGGGCATGCATGGGTGGCACAGGCTTCTTTGCTGCGTTTTTTTTTTTTTTTTTTTTTACTGCACAGAGGTTGAGTGAGGGCAACACAGGTATTTGCTGTCAGTGCAAACATTGCTCGTATAACAGTAGGTGCCTTAGCTCTGCAGCTTGTTGCAGGACTCTCTTATTGTTGAGAGAAGTGAAGCCTTGAAATGAATGTAACAAGTTTAATAGTTGCCAGTAATCAAATTAGTAAAGTGAACAGTGATTTGGGGTTGGGCTGGTTCTCTACAGGTTCCCTCACCCATCCTGGAGAGTCCTGTTTCATCCCATAGAAAATCTCCCACTGGGGAAACTTTGAGTGACCATGTTGTCTCTCACTTCTGTTTTTTGCTGGGGCTAACTCAGTTTCCAGCCAGGGGTGGCATGGCTCTATGAGTAGATAGACCCTTTCACTGTGAGTAATTAATAATGGGCTTCCAGAAGTTCCAGCCTAGGAATAAAGCCAGGTATAGGTCAGGTCAGAAGCTGGGCCAAAAACCAAACCCACTTGGTGAGCGACAGGAATAGCAAGCCCACTGTTGGGCGTCTTCCCATGGCCAGGGCATGCCCCACCTGGGCTTCTCAAGGGATGGGAGGTGCCACTGAAGCCCCTTTGAGCAGTGGCAGCAGAGGAAGGGGGCGGTGGGGGGCTGGGCATGATCTGACTGCCATTTGGTGAGCAGGCACCTGACCCTGAACCTCTTCACCCCACGCTCCCACAGCTGACCGCCCTCATCTGCGGCTTCATCATTAAGCTGAGGAACTGCCTGCATGACGACGGCTTCCTGCGCCAGCTCTACACCATCGGGCTGCTGGCCCAGTTCGAGAGCCTGCTGAGCACCTACGGTGAGGCGCCCGGGCCAGGATCGGGAGCCCCACTTGCGTGTGTGGTTTCCATCCTTTCTTGCTAGGCACTTTTCTCACTATACCAGTAATGCGTGCTTATTGAAATAAATCCAAAATATATAACAGCAGACCAGATGGCAGACCTGGCAGTTACACACGCACACGCCTTGGTTTGTTGTTGTTGCTGGTTGAGGATGGATGCTAATTACTTAACCAGTAACTTCCTGTTGGACTTTGGGTTGTTCCTGAAACACCAGTGCAGCAGTGACATCTGTGCATGAGGCACTTGTGGGCCTGTTTCTGCAGCTACTGAATGACTGGAAGGAGAGTTGCTGGGTCAGAGGGTAGGAATATTTTTAAATTTAATAGATATTTCCAAATTGCCCTCTAAAAAGGCTCTCTTCTTCCTACCCTTGTTTATTATTTATTTATTCTGAGAAGGTGATAGAAAGCATTTGTTAATCATTGGAAATTGAGGACATCGAATAGATATCAAGCCCTGTGTAATGGGAGGGTCTGGCCACAGCAAAGCTGCTTTAGCATCTCTCATTTCGTGTTTCAAGAGCTGGCTTTGCTTTCTGAGTTTATGTATTTGTTTCCCTCCCTACTATCTGGTGCTTGCCCAAGAAATAGTGGGAAGGGATGGCGCGTGTTTCCACCAGATGCATGTTTTGATGTGGCTGTGGGATTTCAGAGGCATTGTTGACTCACAGAGGAGTGAGTTGCAGGGGAAGAGGCTCAGAGACTCCCCCTCCACCAGAGCCACACCTGCACCCCTCCTGTCACAGCCAGGCCTGGGCTTGGCTGCCTTCTGCTGAGACTGGGGAGAGTAGCAGGGCCCTCTGCCTGACAGCCCTGCCCCTCTCTCATGTCCAGGGGAGGAGCTGGCAATGCTGGAGGACATGAGCCTTGGGATCATGGACTTGAGGAACGTGACCTTCAAAGTCACTCAGGCCACTTCCAGCGCCTCCGCAGACATGCTGCCCGTCATCACAGGAAATCGGTAGAGTGTTGGTTTAAAATTCTCTGAGCCAGAGAGCGGTTTTCATTTTTGTTTATCTCAGGGAAGGTACTCTTCTGAATTTTTTATCCTATTTCATTTTGTTAAATGCTCTGATTACAGCCCCCTAGGTTAGTGCCACTCCCTTAAAGGTCTGTGGTTGGCAGTTTGGCCATCACTAAGCCAGAGGGCCAGCCTGGGCACTGCAGCCTGCTCGGTGGCCCTCTGGCCTCACACTGCTCTCCCTCTCTCCACCTTTCTCCAGCGACGGGTTTAACGTGCGGGTCCCTCTGCCGGGCCCGCTGTTTGACGCCTTGCCCCGGGAGATCCAGAGTGGCATGCTGCTGCGAGTGCAGCCCGTCCTCTTCAACGTGGGCATCAATGAGCAGCAGACACTGGCCGAGAGGTGCGTGCCGGCTCCTCGGGGCTGCGGGGGTGTGGTGGCCCTGGAGATGATGCAGAAAACGTACTTACCCCTCTTCAGGCTCTAAGTGCTGGACAGACTTTGTCATCCTTCCTTCCTTTGGCCAACATTTTCATCATGGCCGTGCACCTCACTGTCTTTGGTGCTAGGGACACAGAGTGACCCAGAGGTGGTCTCTGTCCTCAGGGACTCAGCTGGTGGGAGAGAGAGAGACATGGATGCAATGATGAAGACAGATACAGGGCATTGTGGGATCCGGAGTAGGGCACCCAGCAAGGTCTAGGGGGTCTGTAAAGGCTTCTTGGAGTTGCAGGGGATGGGGCTTTGAATTGTGAATAGGAGTTGGATGATGAGGTGGAGGGGAGACATGTCAGATTAAGAAGACTGAAGAAAGGCCTGGCGAGGAGAAACAGCATGGAGTTCAGGGGCACCAGGTTCCAGGCAGGGATTGGCAGGTAAGGGTAGACAGGCTCTGTGTGCCAGGCTGAGACTCATGCCTGAACCTAAAGGCAACTGCCCTCCAGGGTCACTTGCCACACTGCAGAGGGGAGTTGTGTGTGCCTGTGTGTGCACGTGTGCCTGTGTGCGCACATGTGTGTGAGGAGATAGGGTAGATTGGGTATATGTACCCTTTACTGGCCTTCCACTAGTACATGAGAATGATTCCTGTGTTGTCATTTATCTTCATGTGATATGTGTAGAATAGTCTAAACAGAGATCTTCAAGTACTTGCTGTGAAGGAAATTTGGTTTCCAGAACAATATGCCGTGTTCCTGCTGGGCCTTCTGATGTCCAACCCCAGTGGTTGATGTCCATTGACGCCTAGGTGTAGGGTCACACCAACTTAGGAAATATGGTATCATTGCTGGGAGACACTGAAGAACTCTCAGTGGGGCAGGACACAATCAGATTTACATTTAAAGTAGGTCGTTTCGCTGGCACGTGCCGGGAGGAGATGAAGGGGACAAGTGTGAGGAGGAGGCTGCTGGGAGGAGTCCAGGCCAGAGGTGGGAACCTGGATCAGGGCCAGGGGAGTGTTGGTGTTCTGCAGAGGGGTAGGCTGGGGAACTGTTAAAGTGGTCAGTGGAAGGGTTTGGTCTTCAGTGGGGTTGGGGCTGGGGCTGAGTGGGAGGAGAGTACACCAGACAGACCCACCCACTGAGCTCATAAACTGGCAGGAGAGTCGTGTCCAGAGGCAGGTGGTGAGCTGGGTTTGGACTGAGGGCACCAGCCCAGGAAGCAAAGCCCCAAAGGTGTGAGCAGAGCTGGAGGCGCCTATGTCAGGGAGAGGCGCAGCCTCACTGGAGCCCCAGCAGGGAGGTGGCCCAGGGGAGGGAAAATGATGGTGCCTGCATCCAGTAGCTGCGGATCCCACAGACTTGCAGGAGCAGTTTCTAGAGAGGGCTGAGCCAGAGCCAGGTGCATTGAATAGAGGGGAGGGTGGAGGATGCAACACTGAGGACAGAGAGGACTTGCAAAGGGCAGGTTCTTGACTTTGTTTCTTTATTGGCCCTGAGGTCACTGGTGAGCTGGGCTTGTTTATAAGCTGAGGGAAGAGCCCTCAGAGGGGAGGCCACAGGCCCAGAGTCAGGGATGGCCCCCAAGGGAGCAGGCGTCTAGAGAAAAGGCCATTGTGGACACCAGGGGTGGATGGGCTGGGACCCGTAGGAGGGAATCCTGCCCTCTGAGGGATGCTCTCGGGCCACAGAGAAGCTGATGCTCGGAAGGCCCCTCAGCAGGGATGTGTGAGACTGCACTGGGGCCCAGGACCTGGACTTCAGAGCCTGCATTTCCTAATGATCACCTTGTGCCTTCCTTGCAGGTGGCATTTTATGGCTTTGTTTCTTAGGCATTTGGCACATGCTCCTTGTAGCACACTGAGTGTGATCAGGGTGAACCTGCACGATGACGAAAGGGCAAGGGCTTCATGTCAGTCCCGGAGGGGCTGGCAGTCAGGTGTGTTCATTCTGCACACAGAGAGTGACTTCAGATTGGAGTACAGGGCTGCATCCTCACCTCTCAGCCATACCTCACTGCCGTCCCCCCTCCTAAGTGCCTCAGATGGGAGGAGACCAGGGACTCTGAGCCAAATGGCTGTGAGGGGGGATCCTGTGCTGCACAGGATCTGTACCACATCATGTTCTGGTCATCTCTCAGGCACGCCTGTAACAGTGATACATGATTCCTGCCAATGGAATGCATTTAAACTGATCAGCAACACTGTAGAAATGCCTTTATGCTCGGAAGAGGGAGAGTGGCTTAGAATTTAGATATGCATAGTAAATGTTTGAGAGAATCAGCATAGTTAGCTTCCATGCAGTTGTGTTCATGTTAGAAGAAAGTGACATTAGCCAACTAATGGCATCCCCTATAACCTCCCAAGGTTTGGCGATACGTCTTTACAAGAAGTCATCAACGTGGAGAGTTTGGTGCGGTTAAATTCCTACTTTGAGCAGTTTAAGGAAGTTTTGCCTGAGGATTGTAAGTATTTCTTCAGTCATGGTAGGTTTCACTTACTCGTCTTTTTATCAGTTTAGATGTCTGAGCTCTGGCTTGCCCTGCCTCTGTGAGTGCATGCCTGTGCATGTGTGTGCACTGTTCCCTTTCTCCCTAAACACACACACGCAGAGAGAGAGAGAGAAGCTTCCCTTGGCTGTGGCCCTCATTCATCTCTTTGCTGTCGATTCTCTACTAGCCTATGTGACATGGCTCCTTCCCATGCTGTCGTAGTCACTGACACAAGATGTGTTTGGTGGCATGCATTGTGCACCTCCTGGTAGGACTTGGGGGAATCACAGAGGCAGGACCCACCCTCGGCCAGGTGAGCGGCCCACTCACTTCCCTTTGTGGTGCTTAGAGAGGAAGATGCGGGGCCAACATTGCTGGGTGTTTGGGAGCAAGGTGGCCCCATCTCGGCATCTCCTGGAGGCAGTGGAGATGGTGACAGTAATCTCTCTGCGTGTCCTGCAGTGAAGATGCTGCAGCTAGGGCTCTGCAGCCACAGAACTAAGGGAGGAACCGAGAGCTGCACAGCACTGTCTACGAGAATTCCCTCTTGAGTTCAACCCAGTGAATATTCCCTGAGGACCTGCTGTGTGTAAAGTGCTAGAGGATCCGATGGCGAATGAGGGGTGGACCCTACCTTGGAGGGAAAGCTGGTCCCAGAGTGCCGGCCTCTCTGTGCAGGCGCTGCCACAGCCACTAGGGGGCGCCACGCGTCAGAAGGTATCATCCCCTCTGTGTTACACTAGTGTCCTCTGATGGGGGTTTCCAAAGAGGGAACCCACATCGGCTGGGCTTTGCATTGGGCAGGCTTCATCTGCATCCTGTTGGACGGTACGGTAGACCTTAGAGTTTAGAGATAGTCAAACAGTACTGCTGGTGAACCTTCACAGGTCACGGATGTGCCAGACACTGGGCTGGGCTCTACATACGTTTCCACGCTGAATCCACAACAGCCCTATGGGTCGGTGATAGGATCCATGTCCAGATGAAGAAAGGGGTGCCTGGCTCTGAAGCCCATGTGCTTGGATTGTGGCTGAAGCCGTCCTGCTAGGAGAGAGTGATGCAGAACACTCCGGGGCTGGGCCAAGAAGTCGTGGCTTCAGCAGGGAAGCAGTGGGAAAAAAGACGCCTCTTCACAGGTTCATCTAGCAAGAGTGTGCGGTTGGATTGGAAGAGGGGAGGCAAGCCGCTGATGGCCAGAGTGAGGCTGTGACACTTCAGATGAGATGTTGTTTCACTCTGACTCCAGCCTGGTAGTGACAGTGAGCGTGGAGAGAGGGATGAGGCGTTAGGGGGGTTTGGGCTGAGGATGCACTCCTCAGCGGCCACGTGCAGCTGGCGCTGGGGAGGTGAGGGCTGTGTCTGCTGGGAGAGCTGACAGACCTGGCTCTGGGCAAGGACGCTGGAGTTGCCGGCAACAGCTGGGGCCGTCCCGCTGATGAGAGAGGCGCAGGGCTACAGGGGACCGACAGCGAGTGCAGCACTGGCCCCAGCTGAGCTGATGACATGGGCAAATGACTTGTGGGGAGTGCAGATGTGGAGCCACAGAGCAGAGCCCTTTGGTGGTTGAGGCCACTGAGTGACAAGACGAGAAGGGGCTGGAACAGCATCTGGAGGGGCCCCTGCTCTGGGGGACAGCGAGGAAGAAGGGACTCAACAGAAGGCGAGAGAGAGCATCACAGGCTAGCAGGAAGAAGGCAGGAGCCAGGAGGGTGTGGGGCGCTGCCGGACACTGGATGTGTGGACAAGGAGCTGCTGGTGATCTCTCCCATACAGTCTCACTGTGGTGAGGGCTGGGCCAGGGATCAAGGGGTGATGAAATGGTGCTGCCCTGGAATGGACCACTTTGTCCCAAAGACTGTCAGCAACTTGAGGGATGGGGCTGTGGGCAGGTGGGACACACCCTGGAGCTGCAGGGGCCATGGGAGTGCTCAAAGGTCCGAGGGAAGGAGAACACACAGGGCTGGAAGATGCAAGAGGACACCAGAGTCACAGACCAGGCCCTGGAGTGGGCAGGCGGAGGGTGCCCTTGCAGGGAGGGAAGGAGGGAGGAGAGAAGGTAGGGACATGAATGGAGGAAATATGCTCAGGTTGGGCAGCCTCAGTCTCCCCAGTAAAACAGGTGTTCTTGTCCTGCTCAACATGAGAGAGGTGAGCACAGAACCGGGGCCTTGAGGGGAGTGGAGGTGACTGGCAGAGATGCAGTTGGAGCCAGAGAGCCTGGAAAAATACAGATGCCTGGGCCCCACCCCAGAGTGTGGTGGGCAGGACCTGGGCATTAGGGTTTCAGAAACTCCCCAGGTGGTCCCTGTGTGCCACAGCCAGGGTGGTAAACATAGCATGAAGTCAAGGTCCTGCGAGGACTTGGCAGCTGAAGGCCATCAGTGCCATGGACGTCAGAACTGTTAAGAAGGTGTCCTCATGCTCTTTAGCAGGGACCGGAGTTCAAACAGCAGATTTGTCACATGCTCGCCACAAGCTGGGCCCCCTACTATCCACTTTATGTGGATTCTCTAATCTGATCCCCACAGCAGCCCTGGGAAATGGGCACCGGTTTCACACCCACTTGGCAGGTGAGGAAACTGAGGCATGGAGGGCAAGTCTCCCCAGGAGCTGGGCCAAGCCCAGGCAGCATCTTCTGACTGCTGTAGGGGAGAGGATGGGCCCACCGGCAGGGCCAGCCAAGGAGCCACGAAGGTGAGCAGGGAGGGAGTAGGGGGCGCGTGCTGAGGCCTGGAGGAGTGGGAGTGGTGAGCGGCTGCAGTAAGTAGGAAGGGGGAATTTGTGCCTAGCACCTTAGAGGGCAGGCAGTCTCCAGGGCTCGGGGAGCTGTTACAATGGGCAGTGAAGGCCCAGGATGGGCGAGGCCTCCGGAAGCAGAGCAGCCAGGCTGGACCACGCAGGCAGGAACTAGTCGACTGGACCATGACCCAGGAAGCTGGGGCAGATGTGAGCCAGGTACCCCTCCCCTCAGCAGGATGGCTGGTCTCTGAGGCTGAGGAGATGGAGCCCACCAGCTGAATACCCCCAAACTTTGTGTGGTTCCTCAGTGGACAGGTATTCATTAAAGCAGGGGCTGCAGGGGCAACCAGCGAGAAGCCAAAGTGCATCTTGGGAGGTGAGATGGTGCTGTCTATGCCAGAGGGCAAATATCCTGACCTGGCTAAGCTCCCCTCCTCTGGGCTCCCACAGCTTCCGTCTCAGCTGATGCCACCTTTCCATCTTTCTGTCTCTGCCCTGTCCCCTGACCGGCGTGGTGTGGAGCACTCAGCAGCAACGTGAAGTAATTAGCACAGGACCTGTGTACGCCAGGGCGAGGCTGTGTGGTGGAAACCAGGTGTGCAGTTAGATCCCAAGTGCTGCCATGTACTTGGTTTGGCTTCGGGGATTCCGGCGCTGTGGCTGTTTTCCTTAGCCATGACCTTGAGGCTCTTCTCTTTGTCTCTGATAATCCCAGTGTTTGAAAATCCCAGAGTACCTTTCCAGGAGTGGTTGATTTTTCCTCAGTTTTGTCTGGGGTTTCTTGGTAAGGTGACCTGATGGATCTTCAGGCCCAAGGGGTCCTGGAAGGGCCTAGAGACTGCCAGAGTGGAGGAGGAGCTGTTAGGATGTGGGAGCAGGGGCTTCTCTGGGTCCCGCAGAGATGTGTTCTCCTGGCATGGGCCAAGGGCCCCCTGGAGGAGGCTGCACTTTCCTGATCCCTCCCAAGGTTTCCAGGCCTGCTCAATGGCTCAGACCCACTGCCCCAGTTTCTTCTACCCTCGGGAAGTTTTGACGACCAGCTGGATCCCTCTCACTCCCTCCTAACTCCCTCATCTGGGAGGGGTGCGGGAGGCATGGGTATTTACAAGGAGTCCTGTAGGTGATTCGGTGGCCATTCCCAGCCCCTCAGAAGAACTGAAGGGAGATGAAGGAAATGTCCTTTGAAGGTGGCAGTAAAAGAAATTAAGTGCTCACCACACCAGCAGCCATGTCCTATCCCCAAACACCTCCATCCCTTCTTCAACCGGGAACTCATTGTTTTACCACTGTGTGCCCCAGCAGCTCACTTGGGTGGGCTCCCTCTGCCGGGGGAGTTCCTGGGTGCGTCACCCACTCCCACGAACTCCTTTTCTCTTCCAGGCCTGCCTCGGTCTCGCAGTCAGACGTGCCTGCCAGAGCTGCTGCGGTTTCTGGGTCAGAACGTGCATGCCCGGAAGAATAAGAACGTCGACATTCTCTGGCAAGCTGCTGAGGTACTGGTTACAGAGAGGAAAAGGAGGCTATTGCGGTGCCCACAGCTGAACGTCATGACAGAAACATTACAAAGTAGAATCTCAGCAGGAGAGCAGAGCTCTCCATACTGGGAGAGGAGGGAGTCACTGAGTACGTTCTGAAGCTCTGAAAGAGACTGAACAGTTCACAGAGTCCATTCCTTTGGGGCTGCCTGAATTCTGATAAGCTTAACACAGTCCATCTCTTGGGGCATTTACTAGCCAGGCTGATGACAGTTGTCACCCTCAGAAGCCTGGCGATCGATACCAGCTGAAAACCACTGTCTACTGCATCATTTAATAGGGTCAGAAGGAGGCCATGTGACCTTTCAGGTCTCTTTAAACCATCTTTATCGTCCATTGTGCCTCTGATCTCCTCATTTTCCCAAGCACTTACCCTGCTCATATTTTCTCCAAAGTTTACTTGTGGAATTCCAAGCCACTGCTCTGAGCCTGGGTAACAGACCAATTTCATAGCTGGTCATTCATTCACCCTTGATGAGGGGCGAGGTTAATTCTTCTCCACAGCAGCATAACCTGCCCAGCGCTGGGACTCGGGCACACATGGCCCCAGTGGCATTCCCGCTCCCTGCCTGGGCCTGAGGAGAGGGATGGTGAGCCCAGGAGGGAGGTGGCACTGCACTGCCCACCACACCTCAGCCACCACGCCTCGTCACAGAGCTCGAGCAGCAGAGGGTCCAGCCCTCCACAGCTTCCCTGAGCAGCTCACTCTGAAGTGTGCCTCTCCGTCTTGTCAGGAAGGTGCTTCTCTCAGCCCCGAGTCTCTTCTACAGCAGCAGACCGTCTCAGCTGCTCATGGTGCATGGCCGCCACTTCGGGTTGGTTATTAGTCCTGTGTTCAAGCCGGGCTTCATGAAGCCGCACTTTTTGAATGTGCTCCACTTCTGGGTTTGTTAACAGTTGTGGCTGCTGATACCATTTTGTTGAATTCAGCTTTAAAGAGTGAACATTCCCCTCCATCTTTTGAGTTCCTCAGCTGGTCAGACTTTATCTTTGTGGGAAGCGTGGGGTGGATCAATCTGCAGGTCTCCCCTCTCTGGGCCTGGCTGCCCTCTAAATCTTTTCATTATAACAGAACACATTTTGAAGCACAAAGTGACAGGAAGTTCGGCAGGTTTCTCAGGCCTCATTTTTGAGGTATCCTCTTGGTTTTGGGGCCTCATCTGGCATTGCTTGCTCAGGCCAGGCCCAGCAAGCGGGGTGTAGGGCAGGGCACACACTGGCTACGGGGGTCTCTGCAGCAGGACAGAGGGGGCTCCCTACTTTTATTTTTCCTGGGGGGTTGCTAAACCCCCCTGGCCAGGCTGTGACAGCCTCTTACCTAAGTACCTTAAGAGATTTTGTGTGAAAAGCAAGCCTTTCCCACAGGACACGAAGAATACAGAGGGTGGCCGGGCTCGGTGGCTCACGCCTGTAATCCCAGCACTTTGGGAGGCCGAGGTAGGTGAGTCAGCTGAGGTCAGGAGTTCGAGACCAGCCTGGCCAACATGGTGAAACCCCATCTCTACTAAAAATACAAAAATTAGCCAGGCGTGGTGACGCATGCCTGTAATCCCAGCTACTCGGGCGGCTGAGGTAGGAGAATTGCTTGAACCTGGGAGGCGGAGGTTGCAGTAAGCCGAAATCACACTACTGCACTCCAGCCTGGGTGATAGAGTGAGACTCCATCTCAAAAAAAAAAAAAAAAGAATGCAGAGGGTGACACAGCTAGGTGTCTGAACAGTGGTGGGGGATGTGCGTTCACTGATGCGTTCTCCTTGGAATACACACACAGGCAGTTTACAGACGAGTAGTGCAGAGACCTTGTGCATATCTTGTTTGGGAACTGTGGTTCTACCTGTCTATTGCCATATAATAGAAAAATCATTAAGTATAGGGACAACTGACCATCCCCTGTCACCAGAACAGAAAAGCAGTCCATCAAGTCCTGTATTTCTTGTTCCCAGTAGAGATCTCAGGGTAACAAGCATGAGTGTAGAGGTGCAAGGCTCTCAGAGACCCTTGGCTGCATGGGTTCTCACGTTGTCCACCGAATCCCAGGCATCCCCTGGGGATAAGGGGTTGTGGGGCAGCAGTGCCAGCCACTCAGGTACTGAGTCCTTCCATCCCCAGTTTGAGCAGAGCTGCTCTCCTTTTCAGGCTCTTATTTCTTTTTGTTTGTGTGTATGAATAAAGGGTCCCTGGCTGAATAGCTGGAATATCTTTAGTCAGGTCTAAGCCTATATCTCATGGATGGGGAGACCCAGCAGTGCACCACAAGTGGCTGGTGTCCCTCTGGGATGGAAGCCTGGCACTGCAGTGCCCTCTTGGGCAAGGATGCATCACTGGCCATCCCTGCCTGCCTTCCAGAACCTCACGTTAGCTCTGGATGCAGCATCTATGAATTTAAAGCTTTTTGAAACCTATAGTTCCAGCTTCCGTCATGTGTTTGGGTCATGAACTCTACAGCCCACAGAATTTAGTGCACATACCAAGTTCACTCTTGCTTTGTCAGTTACAACTTTACAAATTTGATTAATTTACTCTCCATTAGCTTAGGGTCTGCTTATCTGCTTAGGGCCTGTTATTTTTTTTTCTTTCTTTTTGTTGGTCTGTTCTCAGAAGAAGCCTATTCTCCTTCTGATTGTCTTGCCTGAACATTGGGTCTTTTGTTTTGCCTTTCCCTAGACGAGGTTCTTAGCACTGTACCATGTTCGTGTCTAGTGATGATCCTGGTAGTGACTGGCATGCTCTTTGGCTTTGCTGGCCTGACAAGCAGGTGTTGTGCCATCTTCAGGAGTTGATGAGACACTGATATTTTTCTGGCATACAACAGATACCCGGAGCCCACCATCATATCACTTGGATGATGTTTCATTAAATACCAGCCTTGGTGTCATAGTGCAGTATCTGATACGGTGCATAGTCCTTTATCTGAAGCCCCTGTGGCCAGATGCTTTGGAATGCACAGGTTTTCAGATTTTAGAAAGTACTGTGGTACACAGTTGGTGTTTACTTATGTAAGTAATATGGTGCCCATCGCATATGTGTACCATGGTATACATACAGGATTTAACATCCCCGGGGGAGCCTGAGACAGCACTCTGCAACCAAGCTCATATTATTGCCACACTGAAAAGTATGAATATTTACATAAAATGGGATAAGTAAAGATTGCAAGTAGTCTTATATCAGCTCAGGTCTGGTTGTGCTGCCAAATGAGATTGCCACAGATTTACATGAAAAAATTACCTTGTTTCAGAGCTTGATGGATTTGGTGACTGTGTGCCTAGGATTGTATCTAGAGGTGCAGGGAAAATGCCCTGAAATCTCCCCATGGGGAGAGGAGGTGCACTCAGGTGGCCTTTTCCCAGTCCAGAGGCTGCCCTGCCCCCTACTCTGTGAGCCATTCAGTTGTGAGGAGGGAAGTGTGCTGGCAGTAACTCTGCTACCGGGAAAGTATGGCGGGAGGAGGCCTGTGGGGCTGGTGGTCAGGAGGTGGCCAAAGGGCAGTGCAACTTCTGAGCTGCTCCCGTCTGTTCAGGTGAAAGAGGAGAGTAGAGATAGTAGGTCTGTTCCCTACCTTCCAGGGAGACCTAGAGACCTGGCCCAGGACTGTGGGCATCCTGAGAGTGGCTCTGGCTTCCCCAGTGGGTCATATTTGCCGCCCTCTTTCCCTGAGGGATCAGCAGTGAAGGGCTGAACGTGATAAGAGGGCCCAGGCATGGCTTGGAAGGGGACAGCGGACTGCAAAAGAGTGTCCTGTGGGAGAAGGCAGGCCACACAGGGGATGGCAGGGATGATGGCAGGCCTACAGGCGGCAGGCCCCCAAAAGGGCTGGTGTCTGTAAGTGACTTGGTTTCTATTGCCAGCTCTGGCAGGGCATGGAGTTGGGGAACAAAATTGGAGCGTCTGGCCAGGCCTGGGTGTTGAGTTTCTGTTCCTGCCCTTGCTGGGCTGGTTGGGAGCCTTTCCTGTGTGTGAAGGGTGCTGCCTTTCTGTGGAGCCTCGCCTCTAAGCACGGCCCATGTTTCTGTTGGCAGATCTGCCGCCGCCTTAATGGGGTCCGGTTCACCAGCTGCAAGAGCGCTAAGGACCGTACAGCCATGTCGGTGACACTGGAGCAGTGCCTGATCCTGCAACACGAGCATGGCATGGCCCCGCAGGTCTTCACCCAGGCCCTGGAGTGCATGCGCAGGTGAGTGCCGCAGCCAGGCCGCGCGCCCCGCCTGCCCCGGCCCGTGTAAACTGCAGATGAGCTGGTACCCTGCTCCTGCCTGCAGGGCCTACCCTGCATGAGCCCCTTGACTCCAGCCTTCACACTTGAGTTTGACAAACCCGTCAAACTATTGGCACTATCAAATTCAGACAGGGTTCTCTTGTAAGGTAAGGTGGGGGGTAACAGCTAGCAGGACTTTCTGAGCAGGACTGCCCAGAAAACTGGTAGACTGGTGGGCAAGCCACGGGTCAGGCAGCTAAACGGGAAGCTGGGAAGCAGCCATGACATGCAGTGCCCTGTTGGCCACCTGCTGGCCGTGGGTGTGACTTAGGGCCAGTGCTTTCTCAGCAGGCATCTGCTGTTGTCGTCGTGTATATATTGATATCTGTACATTTCCAAACTTGAGTGAAGCAACGCGTCTGCAGGTTGCATCGGTCTGCTCTGCTGCTTCTCTAGCAGTCGACACCATTTGCTCTTATGAGCAAAGTGTCAAATGAGTGTTTTATCATGAGAGCTGTCAGTGTGCTCTGGCGACCTCACCCTAATGATGTTCTGATTCTGAGGCAGCAGGCGTGTTTGCAGAATGAAACCCGGAACTAAAAGTGTCTACTGTTGATCGATGCCTTGTTTCAAGCACTGCTGGGCAGCCCCCTACCTCACATACCAAAAGAAAGGATAAGAAACCTGGTTTCCCGTCTCCTTCGATGTAGTCACCAATGCTGTTAAAGTCTCGTTTCCAACAGTCACTTCTACTAAATGTTCTGTATCATTTGTCCTCTCACCAAATTATTTAAAGTGTTCAATTCTCTTATCCTTTCTGTATGTTTCTGCCGTTTGACCTTCTCACAATACTGCACAAAAGCGACGCGTGAGCTCCTGCCTCTTGATAAGTGCATTTTGTAAAAATGGAATCGTTTTGTCCCGTTTTGTCTTTCCAAGTTCATCTCAACCTCTCTGTTAAAGCTCGCCATCCCTCTGCCCAGGCTCAGGGAAGCAATGGAGACTCAAAGACCGGTGCTCTGGGGCGCCTTTTTAAAATTTTAATTCCCTGGTCTGCTCCCCAGGAGCCTTGGTGCCATTCAGGCCTGATGTCCAGTGTGACCCTGGTGCTGAGGGACGGCAGCCACGCCTGTGCCCATTAGCTGCACGGTGGTGGGAGGGGACATTCTGGTGAGCTGCAGACCTCAGCCAGTGAAGAAAGGAGAACAAAGTGGACAGGGATCCCTGTGGTAGTGGCAGCAAGGAGCAGGATCAGGGCCAGTCAGGAGCTGGCACCCCAAGTTAGGCACACAGTCCATGCGGAAACCTCTACTCAGTTCTCGGGCTCTCGAACAAGTTCAACGGAAACAATTCATTCTGACCACCTCTGAACACAAAGACCTCAGGAGACCAGTGACAAAGTGGCCCCCTGGAGAGCCACAGTGCGATGGCAGGCCTGTCACTGAGCCCAGACCCGCAAGGGCCCCATCCGCCTGCCCCTAGCACACTTGGGTTGTGTGCTCAGGACAGCCGTTACAGTTACAGCTGTTAGGATGTATAGTGCACAAAGCACTTTTTATAACTTTTACTCACATAAGGAATTGAAAATCCTTGTAGGAAAATTAGGAAATACAGATAAGCCCCTACACTAGTTCCTCAGAACCCTCCCACAAAGAATCCCCCAGTTTCCTAATGTGAACAGGTAGCGCTGCGGACATTTGGATACATACTGTCTAGATAAGAGACATGCGTACATGCCTATGGGCGTGAGTATGTACACATGGGCCAACCAGTCCCTGAATTACACAGAACAAAAACACCCACATGCACAAACAAGTGTAATTATATTTGCAAATAACAGTCTTGTGAGCATTTTTTAGGTTAATAAATGTAGACCTTATCACTTTTTTTTTCTTTTTTTTTTTTTGAGATGGAATCTTGCTCTGTCACCCAGGCTGGAGTGCAATGGTGCAGTCTTGGCTCACTGCATCCTCCACCTCCAGAGTTTAAGCAATTCTGCCCTTGCCTCCTGAGTAGCTGGGATTACAGATGCCCACCACCACACCTGGCTAATTTTTTGTATTTTTAGTAGAAACGGGGTTTGGCCATGTTGGCCGGGATGTTCTCAAACTCCTGACCTCAGGTGATCCGCCCACCTTGGCCTCCCATAGTGCTGGGATTACAGACGTGAGCCACCATGCCCAGCCGCATTTTACACACTATAATTTATCCAATTTGCTGTCATTGAATATTTAAGCTGTATATGGTTTTCCAGCATTTTAATCAAAGGTGCAGTGAATATCCTTATACATTCCCCTAGCCACATTGCCTTAGGTTAAAAAGTATACACCTTTGTAAGGCTTTTGAATAATTTTAGTACAGATCACCAAATGGTCCCCACAGTAGCCACTCTCCTGCCCAGTGTCCCAGAGTGCACGAGGCACTGCCCATGCCGGGCGCTGTCTTTCCTGTCACTCTTGTGAGGCTTCTGAAGCTGTAAGGGCTGTTGTTTCTCTGCATTAGCAGTAAGGGCCCTGGGGCCTGGCAAAGGGAAGGCCCTTCCTCCTGTGGGAACAGGCAGCATTCCCTCCACCCTGCCCTCTTCCTTTCTAAACCCCACCCCTGCCTCCAATCATGGATGCCTTTTTTACTTGCTTATTTCTTTGTTTTCTGAAATCTCTACAGTGAACATGTATCACTTTAATAGTTTTTAAAGAAGTTATAAAAACAAAACAAAGCTCAATCCTACTTTACCTGTGCCTGCCCCAGAATTCTCGCACCAGCTCTGGGGACATGGCTCACTGCCACCTTGAGCCAACCCTTGCAGGTCTGAGGCTCTTGTCACAGGCATTTGTTTTAAGGTGACTTCTGTTTTCGATACGATCCCATGAGGGGAAGACATGTACCTGTTCAGGCGGCTGCAAGCCGAGGTGGCTGGGTCACAAGCTAGCAGCTCTGGCTGCTGGGGTGCCGAGTACCTGCAGTTTAGCTGAGGGCCCCAGAAGGCAGCATAAACTTCCACCCTGCCCGTGGGTGCAGGAGGACATTTTGGTTCCTGGCTTTCTGGCTTGCATCTTATCAGACGGAAGAGTAGAGCATGCAGGTGGGGGTGGAGGGGGTGGGGGCCAAGCTGGCACCCAGGCTTTTCTCCTGGAGGCCCAGGGTGAACCATGGCCAGTGCTGTGCTGTAAATGTTCAGCCACCAGCTCTCTCCCCAAAAGCCCTGATCTGTAATGTTTGCCATTTCTGTGGCATAAACGCTTCTACCAGGGCCCATTTCAAGCTCCCATGTGGCACCATTGAACATGGAGTTGGGAAGAGATTCACACATTTGGCCACTGGGGTGTTCCTGTCCCCAGTCCTGGGGCTGAACCCCTCGAAGTAGGCCTTCCTGAGTAGCCACAGGGCCCTGCCAGCCTCTCCTGGCAGGGAATGTGGCAGTGGGTCGGTGCTCCGCAGCTTGGGAATTGTGCCCTCTCAGAATGGCACATTCCAGCAGGGCCATGGGGGCTTCGGGGCTCCTCTGGGAGAGCTGGGGAGGGCTCTGTGTGAAGAGGAACCCTGGGCCTCCTGCCTCCCCATCTCCAAGTGGAGCCTTCACAGGCTGCCTGCTGTGTCCTCAGGCCTCTGATTCTGTGTCACTGCTGCCACTTGGCAGACATAAATGTGCTTCCAGAGTCATGTGGTTCTAGGTACCATCTCACCTCAGTGCAGTTCTTCTGTAGCACCAAAAGGGGGAAGAAGCCCCAAATTTCTAGTGTGGTATTGTTTGGATTCCACCCTTGGGGATGCTTTCAGAACCCTAACTTGCAAAGATGGAAACAGCAGTCGCTCATGCCTGCCACTGCTGAGCCTGGAACCCGAGGCGGGGCTGGTGGGGGCTCTGCGCTTGGTTGGTTGGTACCTGAGGTAAATGGTTTTTGTTTGCGTGGTTGATCAAGAGGCAGCTTTGGCCAAATCCTTTGTACCACCCCCTGCTCAGGCATCTGTGAGAAGGTCAAATCCCCAATGGTTCTTCATGTTCCGCTTGCTTCTCAGAAATCCCTGTCTGTGCAGCATGTGGGGGCATGGCCGGGCAGCATGGAGTTGTGCTTGGCCAGCCGAGAGAGTGAACATGGAAAACCATTCGTTCAACCTACATGTGTTTATTTTCAGTAGATTGCAGTATTTTTTCTTATTTTCACTTCTCTTTCTCTCCTTTTTTCCTGTAACTGTGCTGGTTTTGTTTTGGTCTTCCTCTCATACCCGTTTCTGCATTTCATCTTTTCTTTCTATTGTGACTTCATTTCATTTTTTTTTAACCTTATCTTTTGTTTCTCTTGTTTATCCCATCCTTTTTGATAAAATCCATCGCATGTGTCTTCTTTTTTTCTTTATTTTCTTTCCTTTCCTTTTTCCTTTTTCTTTCTCCCAAACTTTTTCCTTTTCACAGCATTGGAACACGGGAGGTAGTCACCCAGAAGAACTTGAGCGGCCTGGTGCCCATCCGAGACTTAAGGCTAGACCCCAGCCTCCTCTGTTCCATCCCTTTATTAGCTCTGAGCCCCAATTTACTGATTGTGTGGCTCTTTCTGAGCATAGCATACCTGGTGACCAAATTGCGTTGCAAATGAATATCATTATGAAAAATTAATAAGTCACAAGAAAAACAAAAGTGCCAGAACATGTCCAGCCACCGTGTACCTAACTGGACAGAAGGAATGTGTCAAACCGTGGTCTGCCAAGAAATATTTCATGCCTTACATTTTGACGTTTTGTTCTTCTGAACTGTAAATATCTGCCAAATTATTTCACCAAGAAGACTTGTTTGTTTAGCTCCTGTAGCATCTTCAGTGCTTGTAACATGTTCTTACGGTGCCCTGTCACTGCATCGTTTAGCTGGCCTGGAATTCCTTGTACCACGTCTCTACCTTCTGATGTACAACTATTTATCACCTGTACCTCTCATGTGCCCTGTTTCCAAGAGAAACGAGTTCTGTTTAAAGAGAATTTGTATATTTGATACTATTCTTTAAGTGTACTGCTAACCCTTCCTTTCCTTTTGATGACAAACGAAAAGAAAAAAACATGCTTTATAACTGGCTTATCTAGAAAAACCTATCTAATAGGACATGTACTTTCTGCTTTCATTTCAAAGCGTAGTCCCTGAATTACAGTAGCAAACAGTTTGCAGAATCCTACCATTTCCTTGCTTATGTTTATTATTTCCAATTAAGGATGACACAAAGCTGTGAATACAGTAGTACACTGTAGCAAGAGCCAGACACAGTCAGACACAGAAAGATCACCTACTGCATACGCCAGACACAGAAAGATCACCTACTGCATACGCCAGACACAGAAAGATCACCTACTGCATATGCCAGCCACAGAAAGATCACCTACTGCATACGCCAGACACAGAAAGATCACCTACTCCATACGCCAGACACAGAAAGATCACCTACTGCATACGCCAAAGAAAGATCACCTACTGCATACGCCAGACACAGAAAGATCACCTGCTGCATACGCCAGACACAGAAAGATCACCTGCTGCATACGCCAGACACAGAAAGATCACCTACTGCATACACCAGACAGAAAGATAACCTACTGCATACGCCAGACACAGATCATCTACTGCATACACCAGACAGAAAGATAACCTACCGCATAAGTCAGACAGAAAGATCACCTAGTGCATAAGTCAGACACAGAAAGATCACCTACTGCATAAGTCAAACAGAAAGATCGCCTACTGCATACACCAGACACAGAAAGATCACCTACTGCATAAGTCAAACAGAAAGATAACCTCCTGCATACGCCAGACACAGAAAGATCACCTGCTGCACACACCAGACACAGATCACCTACTGCATACGCCAGACACAGAAAGATCACCTACTGCATATGCCAGACACAGAAAGATCACCTACTGCATACGCCAGACACAGAAAGATCACCTACTGCATGTGACTTTAGATTTACTCTTCACTATGTAAGGATCATTCAGCTGGTTCAAGGAATTAATGCATATAGTCACCAAAGGCTGTTAAAGTTATATACTTTTATTTATTTTAAAACAGTATTTTTCATTTAAAAAATGGTATCTTTAATTGCAGATTAAAGTTCCAACATCTTTTCTCTCTTACTAATCAAATATGATTGATAATGAAAAAAAATCAAAGAAAAAATGCCAAAAAAAAAAGTGATCCCTGACTTGTGGGCAGTTGCGGTGGATGGAGCTGAGAGAGCAGCAGGGCGCTCTGGTTTCTGCTGGTGCCCCCTCAGTCCTCACGTGGCATTCCCTGCAGCGCGATGAAGTGTAACCTTAACACCCATGTAGGGCAGAGGGTAATTGTCCACCTGTAAAAGTAACCAAATAGATCAGGAAAAACTCCCCACACCCTGTGCAGGACGGTCAGCAGCTTCTCTGTTTTCCAGTTCATATTATGTTGTGCCTCCACTTTCTATCTCCAGCTGGTTCCCCATACACTGTAGTTTATGAAGACGATTTTTTTTAACCAGGCCAGAAAAATGGGAATGAATTTAGAGAAGCTTGCTTTTCCAGAAACTTGACACCCATGCATGCCCAGAAACCCAGTCGACCACAAAAGGCAGCGAGCGACCTCTCTTCATTATCTCTCCAGGACTCCCAGACCTTACCCCGGGCTTTTTCTCATTCAGTATCAGCTCAGAGTCTGGGTCCTAGGAATCACAGAAGCAGTTAGCAATGAATGGCAAATGCTAGACTCAACACTTTACATCCTAAAATGTAAGACCATCATGAGCACTGCAGGCTCCCTGGGGCAGGCATCACCTGTGTGTCACCCCTGTAAGTGAATCCACGCTTCTCCAAGTGCAGTGTGTTCACTTGTCTCTTCTAAAATAAATGAGGTGGCTGTTGTGGCATAGCTCCTGGTGGCCTTCAGTAGGGAGTCTGAAGTCACCAAACGCCAGCTCATGGGTGGTGTAAGCTGTGGCAGCATGACAATAGTCCCTGGGCAGTGTCCTGTCCAGCCTGTGATTATTTGAAAGGCATGTTTGCCATGTTTGCCACTTTCCCTCTTTCACATTGAGGCGTGCACTTCAACTAAGACCATCTTGTTTGCTTTATTTGAAAGCAAGAGAGCAGAGTCCACAGCCTCATTCAGTTCCCATTACACAGCTTCCTGGTCCTGCTCCTGGTAACGTGGTTCCAATGCCTGTAGTGGTGACTTACGTGCACTCCCACTTCCACAGCAGGGCTAGTGGCTAGGCAGAGCCCATGCACAGAGGAAGGCCCTCTGACTGCAGACAGCACCCCTCCCTCTCCCAGGGCTCAAGGATGCTTCTGTGGCACCCTCCAGGGACGCCTCCCAGGACCCTGCCCCATAGCACAGAGAAGCTGCGGCCAGGCCGAGGAGCCCCTCCCAGGGGGCCTCAAGGACACCACGGCCTGATCCTTGATTGTCACCACACCTTTCTGCCCATGTGGGCTTGGCCCGTGGGCTGAGAGAAATGAGACCAAAGGGAGCGAGATAAGGTTCTTTGTTTCTCTCCTCCAGGGTCTGGGTGAAAATCAGTATGCCGCCTGTGCACTTGGAGAGCTAGCAAAAGGACACCATGAGATTAGCCTAGGTGGTGGGTTGGTTTTGGCTTTTTAAACTTAAAGTATTTGAGAAAAGAAACTCAGTTGCTCTCCCTTTATGCTGAATTTTAATGTCACTAAGGCCTTTTACTCATGAAATCAGGCCAAATACGTATGCAAAATCTTACTTGCTTTAGTGAGAAATAGGCAGGATGAAACAAAGATGGGAGATGATTCAAGAAAGGGGTCATTGACATTTAGTGATGGTTTTTAGTTGCTTATACTGTAGTAGTGCTGAGGCATTGTTGATGTCAGCCAGCTCTAGGTGTTCAGATTAAATCAGCTTTCTGAAGTTAGGGAAACCACAATCAGGAGTGGTTCTCTTTGGATGGTCTTATAAAATTGTTGTATAAGTTTTTTCAACTAGTGTGACAGTCACTATTTACGCCTATGGCTTGATTCCAGCAGAGATTTTAACACAATGACCTGTTTTCCCTCCACAAAGTGACAGGAGTAGCAGCCACCCCATGCTCAGCCATAGAATCACTAAGATACTGATGCCTGCAGATGAGTTCTCAAGTGGAAGACCCCACTGGAACCGGAAAACTAGAGGATTCCCTAAAATTATCTGTCACTTGGGGTTTCCATTTTAATTTTCATTTCAAAAATGGATGCCCTTGAAAAGAAATAATTTATTGATATAATAAAAGTAATCATGGAGCTTTGAAATAATTAAGTCCCTCTTGCTAAAATCTAAGACCACCTCAACATGTACCATTGGTTCCTAAAAAGTATGCAGCCGACGTGATCAGTGGAGGTGTCCTGCCTTAGGGCAGCAGCTTGGCCTCTGCAGCAGGAAACCCCAGTTAGCACAGGCTGTCCTCGCCACCTCTGCATGCCTCGCCCCGGGCCCTCTTGCCAGCTCGTCCGCACAGGCAGGTGGTGGGATAACAGTGTCGGCATGTGGATCAGCCACATCAGCCGGATATTGCAAATTCAAACATCTGGGGGAAAGTAAATACAATTTGATTTGAAAACTACGTTGAAATGAAAGTATAATCTTTATTAGAATTTCACATCTGATGTGTTCAGCCAGCTAAACTAGGCATTAACTCCTTTAACATGTAAATAAAAGATAATGTCAAAGTTCACAAATTATTCTGCCTCGCTCCTCACGGCAGTTTAGCATTTATTAGTGACAGGTGGTTTTTAAGCAGTTTGTACATTTCTATATAAATGGAGAAGCCATATCTGAAGTAGTTCATTAATGTAAGAGTTTCCAAAGATTAAAGGAGATTAACTGTGTATAGGAACCTATAGCTTCTGCTTTAAGTGGAAGTACGTTTTTGATTACTGAATGAATGTTAGGCAAACACGATTGTTACTTACTCCAGGGGGCCTCCTGTGGCCTAGGTGTTCAGCTCAGATGACACACATCTAGCTGAGGCCTTGAGGCTCCGTGACAAGAAAGCATATCCAAGTTACCAAATTAGTTACAACAACCAGGTGGATACTTTTCTAAACTATCGGAGCTTAGCTTTTGAATAAAAAATACTGTCTTACCAAAAGTATTTTACATGTTCTTGATAATGAGACTGTCATTTTCACTTTAAAAGGCTTGAGCAATTGCCACTGATGTTTTTTTTTTTTAAATGCGTGACATAATGGTCTTCATACAATTTGAATTTTTTAAAAAATCACTGTTTCTTGGTAACTGCAAATTTTACATCTCATAAGGGGAATTTTGTACTAAATTTGATAACTAGTTGATTTCACTGCTAGTCTTAGAACAGCATAAAACCATCAAGTTATACTGTGCTGTGGGAAGTCATTTATGTTTAAAATCACTTTTGCTGGTTAGTTTTATGTCTACACCTGAACATTTCCCAGAGAACTCCCCGGACGCGCTCACTGAGTAGGTGAGGCCCCCTGGCTGCTCATCCTCCCATGCAGTGTTTGCTTTTGCCCCCTGGATTGCCATGGCAACCCTCCATCAGATGCAGCTGAGGATGACGCTGGTAGTGAGTTCTCTAGGGAAGGGCACCTGTGGGCTCTCACTGGCTCAGTGGCACCTGTGCAAGAGGGAACACATGGGGGCAGCCCACCTGTGGAAGGGTGGCTGGCTGCTACCAGAACTTGGTGAGATCCCTCCCTCATAACATTCCAGCCCTGATTGCCAGGCTGCTCTGCAGACAGTGCATGAACCCATTGGATTACCTGGCACCCAGAACAACTGTCCTCCAGGAGACAGCAGACCAGAACGCCTTCCTAGCCAGCTGGCTTTGCTACATGTTGAATTCTGCAAGGAAAGTCAGCATTTTGAATTTGATGTGATTACAGCTCTTGCTAATACAGAAAAGTCCGGCTCTTTAAAGCTCTGAAGTGCAACTTTAGTAAGAGTAGTAATATTTCTTTTTCCACTTCATTTGCTATGTGAGGGAATCTTTGAACCACAAGTTATGATAGAACCCCAAAAGACATGAGCTACATGAAACCATTCACTTGGAAAAAGTTTGCTTCCACTTAGATACAGTGCTGCTTTTAGGAACGCACAACTCACAGCCCCACGCAGCATGTGTCCATCTCTGTGCTTCTTAATTGCCTTGTTCAGAAACCTGCCATCTTACATATGTATTTGTTGTAAATGAGTCCGGCACCCATTTAAATTAATCTTTTTTTTAATGTTATGAAAATGATCAGTTCATTTCATCTTAGTTTAAGTCTTTTCTTTTTTCCTTTTTTACTGCCGTCATTTCTTGTGCTTGTTTTTTCCCCAGTGAGGGTTGTCGAAGAGAAAATACAATGAAGAATGTTGGAAGTCGCAAATATGCATTTAATTCCCTGCAGCTGAAGGCTTTCCCCAAGCATTACAGGCCTCCCGAAGGGACTTACGGAAAAGTTGAAACGTGAACACACGGTTTCCTCTAATTAGCTGTTACATAATAAATGTGGGTACCCTCTAGTGTCATATATGAATTCTTCAAGAAGACCTGAAGGATTGGTTTTTATTTTTTGTGGTTTTTTTAAAAAAAACATTTCACTAAAGAGTCTCTGGAGCATGTTTTTTGTTTTTTGGGTTTTTTTCCCCATTGGAATCAATAGGAGGTAATGTTTGGCTCAATAGTGTGGATAGTAACAACTGCCTATTTAAATTAAATAGCCTTTGGCTGTAACTACACAGATCTCATCAATAGTTACCTACATGAATCAAGCTAGGTTTGTCTGAAATGCTAGAAGACTTTTTCAAATGCCTGCTTGCTCACTTACTTTTCTACAGAGTAACTCAAAAGTAACCATTGAATTACAATCCACTTTGTAAAAATCTGAATGTAAAACAGTAAATAATAAATTAAATAATTGGATCCTAGGCATACCAATAAATGTTATTTGGGGAAAGAAGCTAGCACTATCTCATGCAGTGAGAATAACGGGTTCTAGTGAATTATCCTATCTACACTACCACCTGAAGAAGTTGAAAGAAAGATTGATAAATCAACGGGAGATAAGACTTTATTAGAAGGTAACACCTGCAAGGTACCCCACATAGTTGGGGCCACTCTTTTTTCTGTCCCTTATGAGTTACAGAACAGGGAGTCTGCTGGAGACACAAAGCCAGCAGTAAGGTCCCTTTAGCCTGTCTCCTGTTCTCTGAAGCTCCCTGCCGAGGCTCCCTCACGCCCAGAGGACACATCTCCCCTTCTTCTCTAGATGTTAATGTAGGGCCTCAGATGTGGCATGTCAACACTCCCATGGGGAATTTATGACCATAGAGATAGTAGAAACCTAAATATTTTCAGAAAAAAAATTTTTTTTGCAGGATTTCCAATTTATCTTTGAAAAGACAGTACAATCATGTTTGAATGTCTGATGAAAGTGTCTTATTTTTAGGTTTGCAATAATTGTTACTTTCTTATTCTCATTCTTATGTAAGATGACTATTGAGAAACAGTTGAAATTTATTCTCCTCAAATGAGATTTTGAAAGGGATTTATGGGCCATAAAACTTAGGAATTTCATAGAAAATTTTGTCTGGTCATCTTTTATAAGATGATGATGAGTCTTATCTGCACATAGCAGAGTTTGTTTCTTAGGAGTTTATATGTTTTATTGATTCTGTTTACGATGTTTACATGTTCTTGAAAAGGTTGTAAAAGAAATACATATGGCACATATTAATGATGCTGATCCTAATGATTTGTGAACCTCTTAGAAATTCTTTTGTCTAAAAGCCTAGAGATTCTTCTGGTTCCTTTAGAAACATGTAACAAACTTGGGCCAGGGGTGCTGAGGCATGGGGAGGACTGCTTATTGGCAGGAACACAGAGGGGGTGGGCATCAGGTAGGGTGGAACTGGATGACCTTCCAGACCCCCTCCTACTCAGAAGTCAGCATGCAAGCAGCGCCTGCTGTCTCCCGATGCCTGCAGGGAGGAAAATGTCTGTGAAGGACACTTTAATGAAGGACGAAGCTCTCTGCTGCTCCCTCAAAGCTGAGTTCACTGTGGCAGGCAGGAAGCAGAGAAGCTCCTGCCCGCCAAACCCACTGCACAGGTGGCTGCTGCTGGTATCAGATTCTCCTTTTTAAGTGTCAATTTCTGTTCACAGACAGTTTGTTTTCAATATGGCTGATTTACCCTTTCACCTCTCCACCATCTCATTTAATTTGTAAATTTTTAGTTCTGTCTTTTCTCATTTTAACTTTTAAAAAATCTCCTTGCTTTTTAAAAATAAATATTACCCACATAGTTTTCAGATCTTTTTTGTCTGGAGAGCATTAAATATCTGCACTCATCAAAGGGAATATAGCAAATGTTGATCATCTGTCAGCAGTTTTGCATGTGACACCTTTATATGAATTATTTTCCCAATTTTTGCTCTATGTAATGGGTCACCATAAAACTGTAAGACTTGGCAAATGCTATAGAAAAGGTTCAGGTTTCAGTATTCTCTCTGAAGGCATCATTCCTGGGCTTCCGGCAGCATCACACGCTTCCAGTGCCTGCAGGGTGAGGGTGTGTGGCACAGAGGCAAGCAGCTCCTCTCTTCTGTAGGAGCTTTGGGTTTTCAGAGGTGCAGGGAAGGCAGTTTTACAGGTTACCGTAAAACAGAGGTTCCGTCCAGTGTTCCTTATGATGCCTCCCCATTTAAAAAGAAAAGAGATCTATGGAAAACTGGGAATGTAATGTGGATTCTGTCAGAGCTCCTACAGAGCACAGTTGCCTTTAGTTTCCTTTAAAGATGTAAAAATATTGTATAATACAGTTTTGTCCCTACACAATTGTATTTGCCAAGCTTAGTGCATTATGATACCTTTATTTATTTGTTTTGGGCAGTATTACTATATATATATAAACATACAGTTACTGTTTTATATATTCTTAGGTCATTCAAAGCCATGTATGCTGTAAATGTGCTAGTCTTTAGAATGACACATAATAAATAACTGACAAGATATTAAATGTGGTCTTGCCTGATTCATCCTATTAGGAGGACTAGTTCTATGTGACCAGCCTGTGACTGGACCATTGTTCTTGGGCATTGCATTGAGTGCTCGGGTGCTGAATACATGTTTGTAAACATGGGACCATGGGAGACTTCCATTTTATAAGCTTGTTTCTGCCTAATTTGAAGCAGAGGGGCAACAGCGTTGAGGTTAAGAGCACGGACTTTGGGAGCACACAGACCAGGTCCCAATCCTGGTTCTGCCCCTGACTGGCTGGTGACTCTGAGCAAGTTGCTTGACCTCTCCAAGCCTCCGTTTCCTCATGTGCAAAGTGTGGACAACAACAGTACCTTCCTCATAAGGAACGTGCGACGCGCCTCAGAAGTACGTGTTCATAAATGGTAGCCATTGTTGTTACCTTCCCGTCTGTGAACATGGATCACATCATCTCTGTGGGTAACCCAGTCCTCGTTGTATGACTTGTCAAAATGCAGTTCCACTTGTATTAATATTGACCCTGTTCATCGTCACCAGGACTGCATCTTGCACCACTGTGCCGTCTTCTAGGCACACACGACCCGTTATCTCCCTTGGAAAAATTCCTCTCACTGGAAATGTACAATTAAAGGATGATTGAAATGTTTAACTCTTGGAGTTTTTAGTATTACCAAACTCCTAGAAATTTAAGCTACCACCAAAAATAACATGTGCCTTTTCCCTTTATTCTCATTGATGGTAGCAGTGCACCTCGTTTCAGTGTCCTGATTCCTTGATTACTGTGAACACTGAACATCTTTTATACCTTTATGATATTTCTATGTTTGTGACTTCATTGGAATGTTGATCTATTTCATATAGATTGTTTTTAATATACAATGTATTAGCCCCTGTCATATGTTGCACACTTTTTAACCTATTTGTCAGCTGTCTTTTGGTCTGTGGTAGGAGTTATACAGTATTTTAAATGGTTTATGTAGTCACATATACCTGTCTTTCATTTTGATGCTTGTTCTGAAATGGAGTCCTGGCTTCACCATGGAAGGTGGGACATATGGGACAGCCATGTCCTTGTGGGCATGGTGGTGTGGCTGCGTGCCCACGACGAGGGGCTGGACTAAAGTGCTCACTGGCACCTTGCTTGGTGCATGGGCCATGCTCAGTTTAATATTATTAACAGTTTCTACCTTCACTCTCATGTCTCAGGATTATTTTTTCAGCATTTACCTGTTCTTATTTCTAGGATGTTTATGGTTTCAGTCCTACATTTAGATCAATCCATCTGGAATCATCTTGGTGTAAGTCCTGTGTTGTGCTTACAGTATGTAAAGTCAGAGGGAATCCCTCAAGGTCAGGCCTAATTTTGCTTCTCTTTAAAGTTAAGCCAAGAAGAAGACATGTCAGGACGCCCAGACATCAGCTACCGTGAGCTTCTTCCTGCCCTCCCTCCGCATGCCATTCTGGTGCTGCGCTTCAGTTTCCTGTTGAGTCTCTGCTTAGTAGATGACTTGGCACAATCTGGCTGCCCAGATCTAGGGGAGTTGTCCCAGGGAGGCTTTGCGCTGGAGGAAGGTAAGAGGAGCTGGAGGTTGGAGCTTCCCGATTTGTGATTTTTCCAAGAACAGAAATGATTAGCCATGTGGGGAGGTTACTTCATTGTACATTGTTCTACTGCATAACCTCCCTCTATTCTTTACCAGCATCACACAGCAGGTTGGCACCATTTTTGAATAGAGGTTTCTCACAGTATCCTCAGCAGCATTGAGTGTTCCTAATGTTGTAGTAATGAGCAGTAGATGTCTCTCAGTGGGCAGTGTGACCTCTTTGGTCACTCTAAAGGGCTGCCAGCATTTCTCTTAAGCTGGGGGGAGAAGAGCTGTTCTGTGTATAGGGGTATTGGGAACACATGGACAGAAGGAACTGGCCTCACATGCCATCGTGTTCCTGGGATGGCTCTTCCAAGACCAGCAGTTCCTCCTGGCAGGCAGGCCCTCACAGAACTCTGCATTTGGAGATGGACAAACTCTCTTCTTCTTATCACTTTCTCCCCAAAATGTCCTCTTCTACCAGCCCCTCTTAAGAGCCGATTTTCTGTAAGTTATAGTGAGGGCACTGCTCTGCTGTGCACAGAAGGAACCCCAGCCCAGAAGCACACGCTCCCTGTGGAACCTGCAGGGGTGGCAGTGATGACAGAACCAAGGGGGTCAAGGAAGATTGGAGAGGAGTGGGCAGCAGGAAACAGCTCAGGCTGCCTGACCTGGCCCCCGGCTGCCCATGAGGGCCTCCAGAGAGGGGCAGAGCTGGCTTATCGGGATCCATGATGGTTTTTACACTTTTAAAAGTGCCCTCTTCTCAGAGACCCTGGTTATTTCCAAAAGTAGGAAGTAATCAAATTTACAGTGGATAAAATCCAGTATTTGAAATCAGGAAGACAGAAAAAAAAGCAAAATAGCATCCTTTTCTGAGAGGTATATGCTGACCAAAAAGATCTTTCATTCCTGTGAACACCAAGCAGCGCGGCCTCTGGCAGAGAGAGCGCTGGGTTGTACAGATGGAAACTTGTGTTTAGCAGGCTGTCTGCTCCCAATAGTGGCCCTGGCTGCAACTGACCTCCTGATGCCCTGCTGACGCTAACTGTGGGTACCAACCAGCACCGTGGACATCGGCCCCAGGATCAGTCTACGATTTGTCTGGTGGCCAAATGATGACTTTTGAGTGGGAAAAGCTGGTGGGGGCTACACCGTGCTCTGCAGTGTAGTGGGATCCTGTGAGCTGGCCTGCACAGGCACTCCCTCCCCTGCCAGGGGCCCCAGGGAGGCTTCTCCAGCCTGAGGCTGCACCCTCCATACGATTCCACCCCCCATCCTGTGCCAACAGTAGGCAAACGGAGAGTAGCTTGGTCTTGTTTTTATTAGCTGTTGCCCTCCAGGCTACGACAGGGTTCCCAGGGTGTAGCCTGAAAACACCCATACTCTAGATTCCCTCCACTGGAACCCTGTCTTTGCCATGATTTCTTCCTGCATCAGGCCCCTGTGGGCCTTGCAGGCCAGTCCAGGCAGGTCTTTCACACTGTTGTCCCACATAACAGAAAAAGCTGAGCAGACAGGGTAGGAAACACACTTGCATCTCCATGGCTCCAAAGAGGATGCCTGTGTTAGATGGATGTAGACAGACACAGCACTTCACTGCTTCCTCCTCCTCGCCACCCAGCCCTCCCTCGGTGTCTGTGGCCTGACTCTCTCCTGGTGGTCCTACGTCTCTGACCATCCCTCCTCACTCTCAAATTTTATGTTGCCCACCACCTGCCACTAATGGCGTGGTGTTCTCCTGGGTTCCCTTTCTCACTTAAGATGATCTTCCTGAAAAATCTTACACATTCCTGTTGAACAAATGGTCACTTATATGGTAGTGACTCCTAAATTTCTAGGTCCATCCCAGACTCTCCCCCAAGGTCCAGATTACCTATACATCTAAGCACCATGCCTGTCTTGCAGGCATCTCAAATACAGCATGCTCATGCCTCTCCTCCTCCAAGCTGGCTGAGTCTCCCTCTAATAGACGACCTTGGGATCATTTTCTCCTCCACATCCCATCAATCAGCCACTGAACCTGTATCTCTTGAGAACCATCCCATAATTTCCATCCATGCACCCCAAGGCCTGGTCTGTATCAGTCCCCTCGGATCTGGACCTCTCCTGAGCATCCTCACCCCTCCTGCAAGGCTAGTCTCAGGTCTGCCTTCCTCTATGGTGATTTCTCCCCACAAATGAAGTTGGCCCTTTCAAAAAAACTTCCTCTCCTTCATTGTTGACTATGAAGATTCTTTCATGCATGTCCTGTCCACTGTCAGTCCCCTCTGTATTCACAAGAGCAAGTGTAATGCCCGCTGTGAAGGAGCTAAAGTTTGTTGAATAAACACATGAACAAATGGTGGTTTTGTGGTGTTCAACTGAAATATTTCCTATTTCAGCACTGGACCACGCTGTTTTTCTCACTACATAATCGGTTACGCTAAATGCATCACGAGCCAAATTCAAAAGGTCAAAGGAGAAGGCAAATGGCAGAGTGTGGTAAAGGGGCGAGTGAGAGGGTCTCTGAAAAAAGTCAGGCTAAAATTACAGGGGGTTCAGGCAATGTTATCTTGATCTGGATGGCCAGTTACATGACAGATTACTTTGTTCTTAACATACGAACATCCTATTCACTTTTTGGTATACTGGTTGTTTAACAGTAAAAATTAAATGTTTAAAACCCACCATTACTGAGAATGATGATTTCCAATTTCATCCATGTCCCTACAAAGGACATGAACTCATCATTTTTTATGGCTGCATAGTATTCCATGGTGTATATGCACCACATTTTCTTAATCCAGTCTATCATTGTTGGACATTTGGGTTGGTTCCAAGTCTTTGCTATTGTGAATAATGCCACAATAAACATACATGTGCATGTGTCTTTATAGCAGCATGATTTATAGTCCTTTGGGTATATACCCAGTAATGGGATGGCTGGGTCAAATGGTATTTCCAGTTCTAGATCCCTGAGGAATCGCCACACTGACTTCCACAATGGTTGAACTAGTTTACAGTCCCACCAACAGTGTAAAAGTGTTCCTATTTCTCCACATCCTCTCCACACCTGTTGTTTCCTGACTTTTTAATGATTGCCGTTCTAACTAACTGGTGTGAGATGGTATCTCATCGTGGTTTTGATTTGCATTCCTCTGATGGCCAGTGATGATGAGCATTTTTTCATGTGTTTTTTGGCTGCATAAATGTCTTCTTTTGAGAAGTGTCTGTTCATGTCCTTCGCCCACTTTTTGATGGGGTTGTTTTTTTCTTGTAAATTTGTTTGAGTTCATTGTAGATTCTGGATATTAGCCCTTTGTCAGATGAGTAGGTTGTGAAAATTTTCTCCCATTTTGTAGGTTGCCTGTTCACTCTGATGGTAGTTTCTTTTGCTGTGCAGAAGCTCTTTAGTTTAATTAGATCCCATTTGTCAATTTTGTCTTTTGTTGCCATTGCTTTTGGTGTTTTAGACATGAAGTCCTTGCCCATGCCTGTGTCCTGAATGGTAATGCCTAGGTTTTCTTCTAGGGTTTTTATGGTTTTAGGTCTAATGTTTAAGTCTTTAATCCATCTTGAATTGATTTTTGTGTAAGGTGTAAGGAAGGGATCCAGTTTCAGCTTTCTACATATGGCTAGCCAGTTTTCCCAGCACCATTTATTAAATAGGGAATCCTTTCCCCATTGCTTGTTTTTCTCAGGTTCATTCTCAGTAAACTATCGCAAGAACAAAAAACCAAACACCGCATATTCTCACTCATAGGTGGGAATTGAACAATGAGATCACATGGACACAGGAAGGGGAATATCACACTCTGGGGACTGTTGTGGGGTGGGGGGAGGGGGGAGGGATAGCATCGGGAGATATACCTAATGCTAGATGACGAGTTAGTGGGTGCAGCGCACCAGCATGGCACATGTATACACATGTAACTAACCTGCACAATGTGCACATGTACCCTAAAACTTAAAGTATAAAAAAAAAATAGTCACCAACTACATTCAAACCATGAGAGGGTAGCTGCAGATTTAAATTCTCTGAAGTAAAGTTGAATCATTATCTCTGTATTAAATAGGTTGACTTCTGAGTGATGAACCTTACTTCTTCCAAGGAGCTTTCCCACGTCCCTGCTACTACATAACAAGGTTTATTTAATATGTCTTTTCTTAATTTTCCCATAGCACATTTTAATATTTTTATCAGGGATATGTAATAATACCATTCCATAATTAAAATAGAATATGAGACATAAAAGGTAAAACAATAATGATGGTGTAAGTATTATAGAAAACATAATACATGTACTATCTTTGAAAAATTTTAGAGCTGTAGTTTGCACGATAGAAAATATATATCAACATTTCATCACATCAGAAATATATGCAATGTTAGATCTATTACATTGTGACATTTTAGGAAAAAAAGAACTGGGATTTTACTTTTGTATTCCTAAGATTGTGGCCAGATTTTGAATGACTAATATTTATAGAATTGAATTAAATGTATTTCTAAAAGTTTAAAAAAAAAACAACCCACCATTGTTGAACAATCTCCAAAGGAAATTAAGGAAACAGTTCTATGTACAGTAGCATCATAAAGAAAATACTCAGGAATAAACAACCAAAGAGGCAAAAGTCTTGTATATTGAAAACTACAAAATTTTGCTGCAAAGAAATTAAGAATGCCAAAAAATGGAAAGACATCTTGCGCACATGGATTGAAAGACCTAATATTGTTAAGATGACAGTACTATCAAAAGTGAGCTACAGATTCAATGTACCCCCCCCCCATCAAATTCCCAACTGATTTTTTTGTGTGTGGAAAT
Source organism: Homo sapiens (assembly GCF_000001405.40). Lineage (NCBI taxonomy): Eukaryota > Metazoa > Chordata > Mammalia > Primates > Hominidae > Homo > Homo sapiens. The sequence goes on from NC_000002.12 coordinate 98,596,532, forward strand.
AGAAAAATCCATCCTAAGATTTACATCGAATCTCAAGGAACCCCAGGTAGCCAAAACAATCTTGAAAAAGAACAAAGCTGGAGGTCGCATACTTCCTGATTTCAAAGCTTATTATTACAGAGCTACAGTAATCAAAATAATGTGGCACTGGCATAAATATGTACAGACAGAAGTGCAGAATAGAATAGCATGCCCAGAAATAAACCCTGGCATATATGGTCAAATGATTTTCCACAGGATGCCAAGACCATTCAATGGGGAAAGAACATCTTTTCAACAAATGGTGTTGGGAAAACCAGCTATCCTTAGGCAAAAAAGCTGGACACTCACACCATATACAAAAGTTAACTCAAAATAGATCAAAGACATAATTTAAAAGCTAAAACTCTAACTCCTAGAAGAAAACACAGGAGAAACTTCATTGGAGTCAGCGGTGACTTGGGTATGACACCAAAAGCACAGGCAACAAAAGTAAAAACAAACTAGACTACACCAAAATGCAAAACCCCTGTGCATTTAAAAAAAAAAAAAAAGGCAGCCTACAGAATGGGAGAAAATATTTGCAAATCATGCATCTGATAAGAGGTTAACATCTAGAATATACAAGGAACTTCAACAATAAAAGAGCAAACAACCTATTTTTTTAATACCCATCTACCACCTTAACCATTTTAAGGGATTTAACCCATTTGAATGATTTAACTCATTCAAAATGACTTGAGACATCTCTCCAAAGAGATATACAAATGGCCAACAAGTACATGAAATTATGTTCACCACTAATCATTAGGAAGATGCAAATTAAAACCACACTGAGATACTTCACACCTATTAGGATGGCCACTATTTAAAAAAAAATAAAAAATAACAAGTATAGGCAAGAATGTGGAAAAGTTGAAATCCTTGTGTGCTGTTACTGTAGACTAGTATGGCTGCTGTGGAAAACAGTACGGCTGATCCTGAAAAAATTAGAATAACTGTGTGCTCCAGCAATTCCACTTATGGGTATATACCCACAAGAACTGAAAGCAGGGTCACAGAGGTATCTGTATACCCATATTCACAGCAGCATTATTCACAGTTACCCAAAGGCACAAGCAACCCAAGTGTCCACTGACAGATAGGTAAACAAAATGTGCTATATACATACAACTGAATATTATTTGGCCTTAAAAAAGGAAGGAAATTTTGATACATACTACAACATGGATGAACCTTGAGAACATATGCTAAGTGAAATATGCCAGTCAAAGACAAATGTGGTATGATTCCACACGAGGCACTTACTGTAGACATAAAGTAGAATGGTGACTGTCAAGGTGGAGAGTTGGAGGGGTGGTGGGGGTGAAGGGGAGTTCTGGAGATTGGTTGCATAATTGTGAGTGCACTCAACACTGTTGAACTGTACACTTAAAAATGGTTAAGATAGTAAATTTTATATGTATCTTACATTTAAAATTTTAAAAATATATTGCAAATAAAAGCCTGAAAAATTATTTTTAAAATGAATCAGACTCACATGTAAGAGGTAAAAATGTAAAACTCTTAAATGAAGATAAAACAATAAATTTCCATTAAGCTTAGATTAGGCAATGGTTTCTTAGATACACCAAAAGAAAAAAATAAATTGTAATTCACCAAAATTAGAAATTATACTTCAAAGGATACCATCAAGAAAGTGAAGAGACAAACCACAAATTGGGAGAATCTGTGAATCACTTATCTTTAGGTGACTTGTATCTACAACATACAAAAAACTGTTACAACAATAAAAAGAACCGAACTGAAAACTGGACTAAGGACTTGAATAGACATTTCTCTAAAGACATACAAATGGCCAATAAGCACATGAAAACATGCTCAGACATCATTAGTCGTTAGAGAAATGAAAGTCAAAATCTCAAGTAGATACCACTTCATACCCAGTAGAATGGCTGTAATCAAACATGAATTATAACTGCTGGTGATGTGGAGAAACTGGAACCCTCAAAGATTGTTGGTGGAAATGTAAAATGGTACAGCTACTGTGGAAAATTTTGGCAGTTCATCAAAATGTTAAAGTTGGGCCAGGAACAGTGGCCCACGCCTGTAATCCCAGCACTTTGGGAGGCCGAGGTGGGAGGATCACCTGAGCCCAAGAGTTTGAGGCCAGCCTGGGCAACATGGGGAGACCCTGTCTCCACAAAAATACAAAAAAAATTAGCTGGGCATGGTGTCACGTGACTGTGGTCCCAGCTACTCAGGAGGCTGAGTTAGGAGGAGCCTGGGTGAGGCTGCAGTGAGCTGTAATCATGCCACTGCACTCTGGGCAACAGCAGAGACCCTGTCTCAAAAAAAAAAAAAAAAAAAAAAGGTTGGAATTATATGACCCTGTAATTCCACTCTTACAGAAGCATATGTCCATGCAAAATTTGTTCACTATTGTTCATAGCATTAGTCATAATAGCCCAAATGTGTAAACAAACCAGTCTGCCAACTGATGAATGGATAAAAAAATGTGGTGCATCTATACTATGGAATATTATTCACAAAAGGTAATGAAGTACAGATAGATTCTACATGTGGATGAGCCTTGAAAACATTATGGTAAAAGTGAAAGAAGCCAGTCACAAAAGGCTACATGTTATATAAAAAGTGTCTTAGTGGTTTTTAGAGGCTGAGGGAGAAGGGAAGTGACTGCTAATGGGTACAGGTTGCTCTTTGTAGTGATGCAAATGTTCTGGAATTAGTGGTGATGGTTGCACAACTCTGTAGATATAATAAAAAACACTGAATTGGTAAGTTTCAGTGTGAATTTTACGGTATGTGTATTTCTCCAAATAAAGCTCAATAAAGCTATTACTCAACAAAGATGACAGGGCTTTATAATATACATTTTAGAGTTGTTTACTTTTATTAATAAAAAGTTAGATCACTTATATATATATACATTGAAAAAAACTATTATTGTCCCTTTCCTGGTGAAAAGGAGTATACACAACAGACCTTTGTGATATTCTGCAACAATGACCCATATTGCTGTGGAATTCTCACTTTTTAGTAGAACCTTTAAAAACTCAAGTGAGCTGTACAACGCCCCGATTGCTTTAACTCCAGTGAACCACGGAGGTATAAAGACGCTAGAGTTCTTTGTAATTCTTCAGTGCCAAAAATAATAAAGTTGGAAACTTGGATTCCTGTTTGACTCTACTGTATTAAGTGATCAGAATAAAATTACTGTAAGGCTAATCTTCAACCACTTCATGGTTTTCATTCTTGCTTTCTATAGTGAACATCTGTTGTTTCCACTTGCTCTAAACCCCTTTCCTTTTGGGATTCAGCCCACTACTCATCCATGTGATTCTGACAGGAGTTAGCAATGACAGTGCAGATAGATAGCCCAGGCCTGGCCAAGATCACAGGCCCCCATCCCCTCTTCCACAGGGACTGGTCCAATGCAAGGGCAGGTGATCCTGGGAAGACCAGAGTCCTTTTATAGATTTGATTTGTGGACCCTGAAAAAGGAAGTTCTCTCTCTCCCTTTTGAATCATGGATAATAAGGATGTGGACTTGGAGCTGACACTGGCCCATTATGTAGAGCGGGCCAGACTGAAAATGTAACCAGGAAACAAAAACAGTCCGAAGATGATGGTAAAGAGCCTGGGCAACACAATCTGGGGCCTAGCATCAGCTATGCCTGTGGACGCTATTAAAGTGCTGAGGTTATTACTTCAGTGAATCAGAGCACAAATGAAGTATTTCTTCTCTAAGGAATCAAACACAATTCATTTTAGAACTAGACAGGAAAAGACTGAACTAAAGAAAAAGTTTTATCCTAAACTTTCCCAACAGACACCTTCTGGATAGGCTGCATGTTATCGACTGTGTCAGTCAAATCAGTGGCCTGTACTAATTGGGTAATTCAATTGAAGAGTCAAGTTTGCAAATAACAGTCTTTCCATTTTCTGTGCTTTAGAACAATTCTCAAAACACATTTATTATGCTCCCAACCCATACCTGTTCAATTAGGTTTTTCTTCTAAAAATAACTTGGATCAAGAGAATCATTTACTTTATACATATTCGAAAACAACTCATCCACTTTCTTCAGTGTTCCACGGAGGGGAAATCTGGTCCAACCAAACAGATGTAGTAAAAAGTATGTTTCCTGTTTTGGCTTCTTTGTGTTAATGACCAGGGAAAATATTTGTTGTTTTCCATGTTGGCTTCAACATAATGCATCAATATCCTTTTCTTCCTCTGAATCTTGCCCTGTTATCCAACTGAAAATAAATATACAATTAAATCAAATTTGGTACAATGTAATTAATTAAACACCCCTTACTTTGGTAAGGGTATCACCGCATGAGAGAAATAAACCAGTTATTAGCAAAATCAAAAAGGTGATGACATCAGAACTACCAAGAAAAACCACAGTAACAAAGATGGCATTGGCAGGGCACAGTGGCTCATGCCTGTAATCCCAGCACTTTGGGATGATGAGGTGGGCGGATCACAAGGTCAAGAGTTTGAGAGCAGCCTGGCCAACGTGGTGAAACCCCATCTCTACTAAAAAACACAAAAATTAGCTGGGTGTGGTGGCATGCATCTGTAATCCCAGCTACTCAGGAGGCTGAGGCGGGAGAATTGCTCGAACCTGGGAGGTGGAGGTTGCAGTGAGCCAAGATCGCACCACTGCACTCCAGCCTGGGCAATAAATAAATAAATAAATAAATAAATAAATAAGAAAGATGGCATTAAAAATAGAAGTTCCGCTTAAGGGCAATCAAGAATCCAAATTACATTTAACTGTTTATTTGGACTATACTCAATATACATTCTTCTTCTAAAAAACTTAACTTTCTAGGTTTAGGTTAATATTCAAATATATTTGAAATCTTTAAATTGCAACTGATGAGCCCTGAAAAATGTTAAGTAACACATTACTTTGGGATTAAAAATCCTTCAGGTGAATTACCACCTCACAAACTGGCAGCACGTTCTTTGACTGAAGCCTCACAGTGCAGTCATTTCTTAAGGGTAGTAGGTAGAGCAGAGGGTTCTCAAGTCAGTTTGTAAGGCAAACTTGCATAGTCAATGTCACTCCCCAAAAATTCTATATTGGGGGTCCCTAACCTCCAGGCCATAGACCTGTACCAGTCCATGGCCTGGCAGGAAGCAGGCCACACAGGTGGTCAGCAGCAGGAGAGGGAGTGTTAGGGCCTGAGCTCCACCTCCTGTCAGATCAGGGGCATTACATTCAGATCAGCAGCATTAGAGTCTCAGGAGCATGAACCCTACTGTGAACTGCACATTCAAGGGATCTAGGTGGTACGTTCCTTATGAGAATCTAATGCCTGATGACCTGAAGTGGAACAGTTTCATCCCAAAACCATCCCCTGCCCCCTTCCCCGTCCGTGGAAAGATTGTCTTCTTCCATGGAATTGGTCCCTGGTGCCAAAAATGTTGCAGACCACTATTCTATAGGAAGGAATTATTTTAGAGACAGACCCTGCCAGTTAGTCCAACAAAGTGTGGACAGACAGCCATTTATTCACTGAGCACTAGGTAAAGTAGCTAAAGCCATACTTTTAAAAAAAAATTTTAAAACACAGGAATCAGGATGGTGAACTGCTCATACTATGAGAGAACAGCAGATTCAAACTTCCCATCTCACCTTCAATAAGATGCACACTCACTTTAATAGCATACAAAATTACCCACACAATTTAAATGTTTATATTTCTGGGTTTTTTGCCAAGCATGTATAACAAGTTGCATTAACAGCGATATGACTCTACTCATTTTGGAGGACTAACAGTAAAACATGGTCTTGGAGAAAGATTATAAAAAGGTCCCTAAGCTGGTCGGGTGTTAATGGCTCATGCCTGTAATCCCAGCACTCTGGGAGGGAGAGGTGGGTGGATCAGGAGTTTGAGACCAGCCTGGCCAACATGGCGAAACCCCATCTCTACTAAAAATATAAAACTTAGCTGGGCATGGTGGCAGCTGCCTGTAGTCCCAGCTACTCGGGAGGCTGAAGCACGAGAATCACTTGAACCCAGGACGCAGAGGTTGCAGCGAGCCAAGATCACACTACTGCACTCCAGCCCGGGCAACAGAGCGAGACTCCATCTCAAAAAAAAAAAAAAAAAGGGTCCCTAAGGTGCTCTTCTCAGTGTCAAAGTATATGTGAAACTCTGCCTTGTACTGATATTTAGAAATGGTAAGATCATTTTACTTTTTATGTAAGATTGTTAAAAATTTCTGCTGAAAGTAGATAAATTGTAAAAATAAAAAAAAATCTGACTTCGTTCTTTGGAGATCGAAGACTGAGCTTTAGGTAGAGAATTTCAGAGGGTTTACTGCACACGCTTTGAAATTCTTGACAAAGTTAAAGGTTTGCATTTTACATGGGTAACAAATCTATGTGAGAGAAGGCAAGAAAATCCTCCTCTATTCACACTGAATGACAGGAAAAGATGTCACTTAAGAAAGTAAACAGAGCAGGGCCAAATTTAATCTAACTTTACACCCTCCCTGGATCTGATTAGCTGGCAAACATGCTCCAAGTTCTTTGTTTACAACCACTTGCAGGTCGTAAGTATCAGTACCCTCCATTTCTTTTGTTAACAAAAAGGAAGGGATTTGCAGTGTAGTTCCTAAGCAAACAAAAGCATGCTCAAGGCCAGGTGTGGTGGCTCACTCCTGTAATCCCAGCACTTTGGGAAGCCGAGGCAGGCAGATCACCTGAGGTCAGGAGTTCAAGACCAGCCTGGCCAACATGGTGAAATCCCATCTCTACTAAAAAAATACAAAAATTAGCTGGGCACAGTGGCAGGCGCCTGTAATCCCAGCTACTCAGGAGGCTGAGGCAGGAGAATCTCTTGAACCCAGGAGGCAGAGGTTGCAGTGATCTGAGATTGCGCCACTGCACTCCAGCCTGGTGACAAAGTGAGACTCCGTCTCAAACAAAAAACAAAAAACAAAAAAAAAACATCCTCAAGTCCAAGTGCTTTCTTCCTTTAATGGGATGCTCATATTTTTGGTTTTATACATTTCTCCAAGAAAAGGGTCTCAGTTTCCATTCCAAAGATCTCCATACATCTTCCAAATCAAAGAATGTTAGAATGAACCCCAGAGATTTGTAATCTCTTTTTAGGCCCTATTTCTACAATCCATCCCTCCAAAATTCAAACACAGATACTGACATTTTCTCTTAGTCACATAAGGCACAAATGTATACACCTTGGAGCTCCACATTATATGTTTGTATACAATTGCCAACTGATCTGAACTCGAGTGGCCAACATCAACTTTTACCCGTATATACCTGCCGAGACTTCATTCTCACACTTTCAGAAATGCATGAAGTTCAGCAGCTGTAGTTAGCACGGTGACAGAAGAACATAACAATGAGCTGTGGGTTTTTATGAACGCTACCTAACGTTAACTCACTGGAGGAAGAAATATTATCTATGTAATTTTTTCCAAACCATATCACTGCAACTTACCTATAACTATTAAGTCATTCATATATTTAACCTCCCTATAGCTAATTTTTAGCATAGGCTTTTAAAAATCTTTAACCACTTACCACTGATCTTTTACACTCAAAAAATGCGTACTTCAAAGAGTTGCAGTATCCTTCCTTCAAACACTGCCGAGGTGATTTTCCTTCCTATGACAGACACATAAAACAATATAAACACCTTGGAAATTTTCTCACAAAGTACAAAATAATTGTCCTTCTGAAAATAGTCCTTTTTAAAAGTGTTAAAGGAGGAAAATAGAAAGTTATGTAGGAAATAGTTCTTAATTCATTTGGGCTATTGGTGCCTAAAGAATGAAAAAAAAATTGTAAAGTAACTTGGGAACTTTAAGGACACTGTTGAATTCTTGAAAACACTGGTTTCTATTGGATACTTTTCCTTAAACTGTTTATATAAAAATCTAGAAAGGGTTATCTTCATTTCCTTATGGGTGAAATGTGTGAACTGGGTACCCTAAAATCAGAATATTTTTAGTGTTGGCACGAAACACTTCACAAAGATATTAACAAGGCAGGCTGGAATACTACTTAAATAGAAACATGTGGCCCATTCATGCACCAGAAAAAATATAACCCAAAGCTCATCTGCTCTGCATAATCAGGGATTTTCCCTCAAGCAGATTTTGACTCTACAGCCGCATCACTGCAGCCACTCCCCAGAACCTTTATGTTGCAAGTGCCAGGCACGCTCTGCCAGTTTTTCCTATGAAAAGCTACAGGGTACTATGTCTGTGGTATTCCTGTTCCCCAGGAGTCTTGGCCACCTTCCAGTCTGTATGTCTGCCTGGGTCCTAGATATCAAATGTCATCTACCTCAGTGACTCTCAAAAGTGGATAAGAGTAGCAGGTTTCCTTCCTCTCCAAACTCTGCAATTCTGCTGGTGGGATGTGTTGCCCACATGAACGACGTGGAGGCAGACAAAAGAAGACTAACCATATAAAAGGTTATAACTATAGTTTATAAGCTGATGCCTCTTCAAACTGTATCTAAGATGCTACCTTTTTCAAAAGCTTTCAACCTATATTGTCAACTGCCTGGGGTAAAGATCCATCTAGATACACTAAAGCTAAGAGACAGTCATTCGTTATCCACTCCACCCCAAATAACAGACTGCTAGCTGTCTGCTCTTCCTTTTTATCCAGCATATGGCTGGGTGAGATCTCCTAGACGCCCTTGCATCTAGCTGTGGTCCTGTGACTAAGTTCTAGCCACTGGAATGTGTGGGAAACAGGTGTAGAACTTCTGGGTTGGTCCTTAAAGAGGCTTGCCCCTTTCCTCACTTCACTCCATAAGGTTGCCGGGCCTGATGATGTGGAAGCAAACCAGTCTTGGACCATGAATATGAGAGTAACACCCTACTTGCTATATTTTCCTATTTTCACAGCACAGAGTCACAAGATCAACAGTGTCTGCGTTCATGGAAGACTGAGGGAAATGACTAGGCCCTGATTATAGGCACAAGGACAAAAGAGAAAGTTCTCTATCTCGTTTAAGCCACTATTATTCTGGGTCTCTGTAACATGCACTTGAATCTATATTCTAACTAATACACTCCCAAGCTTTTTTGCCTTCTGAGGTCAAGATCAGTCAGTGCTCTCAAACATGGCTGTGCCCAAAACCAACCTAGGAAAGAAACTTTTAACTTATTGGGGGTAGGGTGAGGGCAGCAGTGGAATCTGTACTTTTAAAAAGCCACACCACTTCTAGGTGATTCTGATGAAGAGTCAGTGGATCTGGAAGCTGTTAGTGGAGACGAAGATACCCTATGATGAGTGAAGTTCCTCTGGCAGAGTTTCATTGTCCTGATCATCCAGGAGTCATTAAATCCTAAGAAGTCTCTTCAAGAGATGCCTTTTGAATCTGCTTTTTCCCTGCTTTCCTCCAGCCCCACTGGAATTTACATCCTTACCATTACCCTGAGTTTCTCTGAGGCCCTCTAACTCCTTGACAGTCTCCCAAAGCAGCACCTAGAACTAAATACATGTTTATGTTGAATTCCTCCCTAGAGCGAGGTGCTGCAGGTTTCAGGTGGGTTAAAGACTGGCAAGAAGAGACTACAGCACCAACCTGCCATAGGATCAGATTAACCTTTTTATTCAAGAACTTAAGAAATCAAAAATTTCCATCATAATTAAGGTTGCCACACAGAGCAAGCACAGACCTCAGCAGAGCTTTCCTTGGTCTTTCAGAGTCCCCAGTGAGGAGCAGTGGGCAGTAGCTGCCAACAGATTGTAGGAGATTGTTCTGGACCTGCAAACCTCCTCACTATTGCCCTTTTACAATCCAGCTGAAGTCAGCATTCAGAATGAATTTAACACAAACTGTATACGAACTTCCATCTAAAGAACTGCTTATAAGCATCACGTTTTCTGGCTGACCAAACTGAGCACTGGTAAGGCCACATATTCAATGGCGGGAAAAGCAAAGTCTGTACCAGCTGTCCCAACCATAATCTCTGCCTACAGCATTCTAGCCAAACAGCTCCGCTTTCTATACTGGAGAGACCATGTTCCATTCATCAGTATTTGTTCCCTGAACTGGAGCCTGGCGCTCCGTACATGTTTGCTGTATCAACCGCTGCAGAAAGCCAGCTTGGAATTCTCTGTGCTGCTGCTATTGTCCTCCACTTGGAGTTTCTTTCCTCAGTCCTACTCAGTGTACTTTCTTCCCTTGACTACTCATCAACATGGCCTTCCGATGCTGAACGTCTGGATAAAATCCAGTCTCCTCACTCTGACACACATACAGGCCTTCACACCTGGCTGCAACCTTCCCCTCAGGCCTTCTGTCGCATTCCCCTATGGCAGGACACTAGCTCCTCTGCGCCCTCCCACATCTCCCTGCCTCTGCACTTGCTGTTCTTTCAGATTTTCCCCACAACCACAACAGTTCCCACTCCTTTACTTGATAAACTACTACTCAACTTTTAAGACTCAGCTCAAATGTCATCTCAGAAGATTCCAAATTCTGAAGCAAAATCAGACGCTCTCCCTTGGGCTAACGCATTTTTCTCCTCAAGATCTAGTCATTAAACACATGTTTAATAAATGCTTACAGTCTTATGGCAGGAATTTAGACCCTTAGATGTCTATTTCTCCCATGACACCAAGCTTACATGGGTAGTGACTGTTACTGATTCATCTTCGTTATCACCAGTGTCAGGTACCATGCCTGCCACTTAAGAGGCATTTACCAGGAGCTGGCTGAACGGCAGCACCAGTGAGTAAGGGGCAGAAGGGACACAGCCCTGGACAGGGGAGCCTGAAAACAACGGTACTTCAGTTTCCTCATTTATATAAGGAAGTTGGGCGAGATAATCTCTTAAATTTATAATAACTCAAGTTTTACTAGACATTGGGAGGCGAGAATGGCTGACTGCTAAAATCAGTGAACCAAACAAATTGTGACTCGGTAGAAACACTGGTACAGTCTTACAGTGGATGTCCATTTGGGGGTAATCTTTTCTCTGAAATAACAGCAACTTTCTGAAACTACATCCCCCAATGCAAAGACAATTGCACACAATTGAATGCCCTCTCGTCGGGCCTCTGCAATTGGAAAAGGCACTTGTGCTTTACTTGAGCTCTAATCCAGAACTCAGGTCCACTGTGAACCTCACTACATGTTTCAGTGCATTCCAAGAGGGTGCTGAGGAGACCTGTGTCTGTAGCCGGGGAGTGAAGGAAGAGTGTAGGGGAAGCAAGATACGAAATCGTGAAAATATGGAGTTGCCTTATTTTTACAACTTAACATCCAAGAATGCAGAGAACTGTAACTCAGAAACAAATTCACATCAACACAAGTCAAACTGAGCACACATTGTCACAACTGAACAGGCAGGAGACACTACTGGCCAGGGCAGTGTACCAGGTTTACGCAACTCTCTGGAATCATTAATTCTACAGATTATCATTTCTAGGCAGGCAAGAAACCTGGCTTATTCTCCTTTATGTCTCCAAAGCCTAGTAGAGTGCTAGCATTCAATAAAGGCTTCGTGAACTGAAATGGGTTAACCTTTACAAAAACCCGACAGGGTGCGTTTATCGTTATCTCCGATTTAACCCCACAGGGAACTGGGGCTCCGACAGCTCAGTGGATCTGCGCACGTTCAGTGAGCCCGAGCTGTGACCTACGCCCGGGATGGTTAACTCCAACCGCCGCCGCGGGCGACCCGCTGCCCTCCGCCGAGCCAGGCCTGCCTGGGACAGGGGTCGTCACCACCGGGAGCGCCCGGCCGCGCTACCTGGACCACACAGTCCGACTGCAGCAGACACGCGCCCAGGTCCTCCTTCAGGCCCGCGCACGCGCCGCCCTGCGGCTTGTCCTCATAATACTTAGGCATGACGGCGCTTCCCCTCCGATGCGGACGCGACTTTCTCCCACCGCAACACTTGCAACCGGGTCGGGAGCGAGCGAGGCCCCAGTCTCAGGGGACCGGAAGCCAGCGGCAACAACTTCCGGCGGGCCGCGGCGGTAGGGCCGAGGACTACGGGGGCCGAGAGGTGGCGCGTCCGCGGCGGAAGTCGGTTCCCGTGACGCGGCGCGCCCCAAGGGCCGGCTCCGTTGAGGGAAGGGAAGCCCGCCCGGTGGCGGCTGGGGTCGGCTGCTGGGAGGAGGTGGTGGGCTGGTTCGGACGTGGGTCGAGGCTGTAGCAGGACTCCAGGTGAGGCCTGAGGACCACTCTGCCCTCCCGCGGCCCGGGCTCGCGCCGGGGGCCATTTAATCCCGACAGCTTGCGGCCTGACGTCGCTGCGGCCTGGCAGTGACCATGTCGGCGTCCGGCCCCTCGGCCGGCGATAGAGTTGCGGCTAAAATGAAAGGACGCCCAGTTACATTTGCATCGTAGATAAAGAAAGAGCATTTAGTATAAGCATGTCCGAAATGTTGCGTGGGATGTAGGCATACTAAAACCTTATTCGTGGCCTGTCTGAAATCCAAATGGAGCTGGGTATTCTGTGTTTTTATTTGCTAAATCTGGCAGCCGTACCCGCGGCCCCGGGCAGGGAGGGAGCAGCTGGGCTCGGCCAGACCCTGCCGGCGTCTGGGGGGCCTGCGAAGTGGAGGGGAGACGGGCAGCCGGGCAGTGGCCGGCGTTCCCCGGAGCTCGGACCGGTTGGATTGGACTCCGACGCTACCGCTCCCTCTGCTGAACTATTCCGGATGTAAAACACTAGGGATCGGAGTTTTTCTTGGTTTTTTAATCTCATTCTAGTGACCGAGAAGCTTGCTGGCAGTGCGCTGATGGATCTGTGTGAATAGGCCATTTATTTGACCTCTTCAGTAACACTGTTCTAACCGGCTGAAACTGCTTTCTTAGGCATTTTCTTAAAAGCTTGGTGGTTAAGAGCACGGAATTTCGAGTCAGATTTCCAATCTTGGCTCTATCACTATCCTCGGAGTCATGGGGCAGTCACATCATCCCTGTCTCTGTAATGGTAGCTGCCCCTGGATAAGTGTTATTAGGTGATTCAGAAGGGTGGGCTGTTGCCCTTGCCTGAGGTTGCAGTCTGCGGTTCCCAAGCCCCAAGACCCGCCTCAGAACTAACTGCATTTGCTTTTGACTCCTGGCCTTTCTCTAGGGTTGGGAAGAACATGGAAAGTGACCTCCCTGCCAAATAACTCAGAAGAGGAGTGTCGGTAGCCAAATGTTTCTTCAGAATACGTGTAAAAGAAATGTTTTTCTTCCATCTAGGAAGATGTTACCGAGTACTTCAGTGAATTCCTTAGTGCAGGGGAACGGAGTCTTGAATTCCAGGGATGCGGCAAGACACACAGCCGGAGCGAAACGCTACAAATATCTGAGAAGGCTTTTCCGCTTTCGGCAAATGGACTTTGAATTTGCTGCCTGGCAGATGCTCTACCTGTTCACATCCCCACAGAGAGTTTACAGAAATTTTCATTATCGAAAACAGACGAAGGACCAGTGGGCCAGAGATGACCCTGCTTTCTTGGTCCTGTTAAGTATCTGGCTCTGTGGTAAGTGTGTTTATCTGAGATAGAATTGAACGCTGAGTGTTTCTGATTAGATTTTTTGTTATAAATGTGTTGTGGGTCAGAATCTGGAAATATTGGAAACTATTTCTCCTTTTTACTGAAGCCTCAAAAAATCTCACAGGAAAGAAAGTTGTAGTCTTGGTTCTACAGGTCCCAAGCAGATGCCAGAGTAAACTGTTACCCTAGGACATTGAAAAGCAGGGGACAAGATTCACTCCATATCTTTTTAAGTACTTGAATCGGTACCCAAATGTCAGCTGACTGTGAATAGGAATATGAAACTGGAAATTGCATTTCACAGGCAAATCCACAGTGAGAATTGTAAAGGTATTGATGGGAACCTGAGAAACTGAAGTTCTCCAATTCCATAATGCAAGGGTCTCATTTACCTGTAGGGTGTTGAAGTGGGTAAGATATTGAAGTTTATAGGGTGTTTTGCACCTTAACTGGACTTAAACTATGTTAGTGCCTTCTCTACACTGGCGTTCTAAATACTGAGGCCACCGTGGTGAATCAGCCTGGCAAGGGCCCACCTCAGGAAACTTCAACTCTCTCAGTGGCCACGCTGTGTCCCAAGGTAGTGTTCACACATCTTGGGAGTTTTGTTTAAAGACCTGTCTCTCCCACTAGCCTGGGCATCTGGAGGGCAAGGGATGTGTCCTGTATTTCCAGAACCTAGCAGAGTCCCTAAATGAATCTTGTGAATCTTTCTTTCAGTGTCCACTATAGGATTTGGCTTTGTGCTGGACATGGGATTCTTTGAGACAATAAAGCTTCTCCTTTGGGTTGTACTCATAGATTGTGTAGGCGTTGGTCTTCTGATAGCAACTTTAATGTGGTAAGTACCATAACTTTGGTTTTTCAGATACTGCTGTAGCATCTCCATTTGTTTGCTTCAGAGGTACAATAGCAGCAGATGGAAATTGAAACCCAGGTAGAGTTACTAAATGATCAATTTTGACTGCCAAGATTATTACAATTTTCCCTCCTGTGTTGCCACCTATATCAGAAAATACTATAAAGGCTGGTTTATAATATTGTCAAATGTAGCAAATAATTGAAATAATTATGTTTTGAACCCAAAATATCTGAGATCGGTCTCAATTTAGAAAGTTTAGTTTGCCAAAGTTAAGGACATGCCTGTGACACAGCCTTAGGAGGTCCTGATGACATGTGCCCAAGGTGGTCGGGGCACAGCTTGCTCTTATACATTTTAGGGAGACTTGAGACATCAGTCAATATGTGTAAAATGTACATTGTTTTAATCCAGAAAGTGGGGAAAGGCAGGTTACAGTTAGATAAGAGACAAATGGTTGCATTCTTTTGAGTCTTTGATCTGCCTTTCACTGAATACACAATTTACTTGTGAGAGGCAGGTACAGGAATAGTCATTTATGCCTTAATCTGGCTCAGTGAGTCTGCATTTTTACATAAACAATGGGGCAGAGGAAGCAATCAGATAAACACTTGTCTCAGGTGAGTAGAAGGAGGACTTTCTGTCCCACACCTGTAAAGATAAGCTATCTTAGGAATAAAATAGGAGGCAAGTTTGCCTGACACAGTTACCAGCTTGACTTTTCCCTTTGGCTTAGTGATTTTGGGGTCCCGAGATTTATTTTCTGCATACTAACAAAATGCCTGGTTTTGCAAAAATATTACAGATTTAGCCAGTTCTGCTTAAGTTGTCTGGATGATAGCATGGTTTTCTGCATTTGTCAATAGAGACCACTTCTTGATATTCATTGTGTTTAAATCCATTTAGATCTAAAGGGTTATTTTGTGGAGTCTTACTTTGAATCTTTGCATTAAATGAAGTATACTTGAAAAAGAAGGATTTTTTTTTTAAACTTCTCATGCCTTCCTACTGAGAATAAAATTCTCTCTCTTTCTCTCATACACACACACCCTCCGCCCCCCCCGCCCCCCCACCGCCACACACACACACGGGCTTTATCAGAAGGGTTCTCAGTCTGACTTTGGTTGATTTAGCAACAGCAGTGTACTGAGGATAAATCTGGTGTTTGGTAAAGTCCTCCTGTGTGGTTGGCATGCTGGATGAAGGGCAGGGGATGTGGCTAGCGATCTCAGTAGAGGACCAGTGGTTGGGTAGACATGGTGGTCATTGTGGAGAACATTTTAGTTGCAGAGAGACCTGGGTTCAAATGCCAACTTAGTTATCTGTGAAACTCTTAGTCCCAGTCTCTTCTTTTACAAAATCTAGTTAATTACCTATTCTGTCCAATTTTTGAGATAATTATGTTATGAAAATTACCTGACACAGTTAAGTGTTCAATATTTGGTAGTTACTAATATTTTAAGCAAAACTCTGCAACTATAACTTCTGATACCAGCCTTTTTTTTTTTTTCTTTGAGACGAAGTCCCACTCTGTCACCCAGGCTGGAGTGCAATGGTGTGATCTCAGCTCACTGCAACCTCCGCCTCCCGGGTTCAAGCGAATCTCCTGCCTCAGCCTTCTGAGTAGCTGGGATTACAGGCACACACCACCACACTTGGCTAATTTTCATACTTTTAGTAGAGACAGGGTTTTGCCATTTGGCCAGGCTGGTCTCAAACTCCTGACCTCAGGTGATCCTCCCGCCTCAGCCTCCCAAAGTGCTGGGATTACAGGCGTGAGCCACCGCGCCCAGCCAATACCACCCTTTTACAGGCATAGTTCAGATATGCTAGTTCCATTCCAGATACTGCAGTAAAGCAAATATCACAATAAACTGAGTCACACAGATGTGTTGGTTCCCAGTGCATATTAAAATCATATTTACACTGTACTGTAGTCTTTTAAGTGTACAATAGCACTATGGCTCTAAAAAACAATGTACAGACTAATTTAAAATGCTTTATTGCTTAAAAATGCTGACACAGAGACATGAAGTGGGCATATGCTGCTGGAAAAATGGCACAGGCAGACTTGCTGGACACAGTTGCCACAAACCTTCAATACGTAAAAATTTAAAAACTACAGTTTCTGTGAAGCGCAGTACAGTGCAGTGTGGTAAAATGACATATGCCTGTATTTTCCTTTGTAACTTCTGACTAGTACAGCAGAGCTTTTGTATGTGCTAGTTAGCCAATAAATGCTGTCCACTGTTAATATAAAATTCTAAAATCTGGCCTAGAATTAATACTAATGTAAGTCACGTATTCATTACCAAGAAATTCATGAAAAACAAATGGTGTGTTTTAAAATTTCAATAAATAAGACTTTCAAAGGAATAGTTTCATTCATAACAAGCATTCTGCCCTGAATGCAGTAATTCTGGAGGCCACTGTCTTAGTCTGTTCTCAATGCTGCTATAAAGAAATATCTGAGACTGGGTAATTTATAAAGGAAAAAGGTTTAATTGACTCACAGTTCTGCATTGCTAGGTAGGCCTCAGGAAACTTATAATCATGGCAGAAGGCAAAGGAGAAGCAGGCACCTTCCTCACAGGGTGGCGGGATGGAGTGAGTACAAGTGGGGGAAATGCCAAATGCTTATAAAACCATCAGATCTTGTGAGACTCACTGACTATCACGAGAACAGCATGGGGGAAATTACGTCCATCTGGCCCCACCCTTGACACGTGGGGATTCTGGGGATTGCTGTTCAAGATGAGATTTTGGGGACACAGCCAAACAATATCAGGCACAGAAGGGGACCAAATCAGCCTGGAGTTTAGCACATTTCATGTGAGTCTGTATCATAGTTTGAATTAAATAGAAAGGGATTCAGTGTATTTTTGAGAACCTATGTTGTGTGAGGAACTAGAAAGAGAAATGACTACATGTAATGATGACCATCACAGAGGAGCTACAGAAGCCAGCATAAGGTGGTGGTTTGTGGAGATGGGGAATAGTTGACTCCTGGTGCTGGGAATTGCAAGTGCAATGGCATAGAGGTGTGAACAGCACACTAGGTCTGGGAGCATAGGGTGACACCGAGTCACTGGGGAAGAGATGTGACTAGAGAAATTGGCCTTCATGCCATTCAGGAAAAAAATTGGACTTTATCTCATAGACTGCATGTGTGGGTTGGGGGCAAAAGGAGGTGGGGAGCTTTGAGGCTTTAAAGTAAGGAAATAATGTCAAACTCACACTATCTTTTCCATGGCAGTGGAGGAGGCAAAAGTTGGAGTAGTGAGTGGGCAAGGCTGGATACACTTGCAGAGGTCTGCGTAGGAGTAGAGGAGGCCCAGATAGTATGGTGGTGATAGGAATAGAGAGGAGAGATGGATTCGAGAGCTTCCTGAGATAACAAGGTATGAGGGGGGATCAGGAAGAGGGAGTGGGTGGGAGGCTCCTTTGGGATGACCTGTAAGATTTTGGCTTAGATGACTGAGGAAGCAGCAGATGCAGATGAAGCAGCCCTTGCTGGCCTGTTGAGTTCAGGGAGCTTCCTGAAGAGTGAAAAGAAGGTCAGTAGACACTGAGGTTGATGACTCTAGACCTAGAGGCAAGAGTCTGGGCCATGATGAGCCTCTGACTGGCGTTAATATGGAGCTGGGAGGTGAAAACCACAGTGCCTTGGAGTGCTCTCGGAAGGCACATCTGTCTTTCAGAGGAAAGACTCTCACTGAGGCCAGAAGCTTGAAAAGCGCCCATTTGGGATAAGCGGGAGAATAGGGGCAGCAGAGAACGTCTACAGAAAGGGCGCTCTTGGGGAGCGAGCTACATACTGATTCCATAAAATTTGAATGGCACACATTCTTGGCTAAAAAGGAAACTGTCTTGGTAAGCTCTAGTTTGTTCAGTATTGTTTTGGCATTTTCAGATAACGAAATGCAGGGACTGTTAACATTAGTATTGTACCTCTGTTTATTTTCCATTTTTATCCCCAGTGACGGAATAGCGTATTCTTAATTGTACCCTTGAGATGAAATGAAATAATACATTAAAAAATACATTGAATTTCCAATATATGTTTATAATACAAGTTTTGTTCTTTGAAGATCTTACTTTTCTGTTACTTGGATATTTTACTTTTTATTCATCATTGAACTGAAAAACTAGTAGGCCATGTTGTAGAACAGTGACATACACTTGAATAATTGTTCTTATGGCTGGATGCGTCACTCTTCCTAACTGCTTCTTACTATTTCATCCTCCTTTTAATAGGGGGTTGACCCAGGTCTTGGGCCTTGGGCCTGTTCATTATCCACATTCATTTTTTTGGTGACATCATTCAGGCCCGTGGCTTTAAATATTAATATCATCTACACACTGATGAGTTTATATTTCCAGTTTGGACTTGTCTTCTAAACTCTAGACATTGTATACAACTTCTTACTCCATACTAGTTGGCATCTTCAACATAACAGGTCCAAATTCAAACTTCCGCACACTCCTTCCCACCTCAAAACCACTCTTCCCACAGCCAGCCCCACCTCAATTAAAGGCAGCTCCATCTTCCATTTGTTCAAGGCAGAAATCTCTCAGTCATCCTTGAGTATTTTTTTCTCATACTCCAATCCAATAATGTCAGGAGCTCTACCTTCAGAGTATCGTGTGTGCCACATCTTAGCACCTCCACTGCCACCAGCCCCTCTGCTCATCTCTTCCTTGCAGTAGCCTTCTAACTGGTCTCTGCTGCCAGTCTTGTCTCTGGAGTCTGTTCTCAGATCCGCCACCAGGGAGGCTCTGTCAAGGCATTTAAGTCAAATACTTTTCTCAGAACTCCACAGTGGCTTCTCACGTCACCAGGAATAAAAGCCAAAGATTGTAAAACGGCCACAGGCTTCGTAAGACATGGAGCCTGTGTGACTTGATGTTGGGCCCAACCCTGTTTCTTTTCTGGCTTCATTTCTTGCTCCTTTTCTTTCAGACACTGGTCTTTTCACCATTCCTCAGGCCTGCCAGGCACCATCACTATCCTTGGGTCTTTACCCAAATGTTACTTTATGACCCTCATATGTACAATTGCATCTCAAGTTTGTATTCTCCACATTTCTCTGCTGCTTTCTCTCTTTCCATAATACCATCTGACATAGGTGTATCATTGTCAGCCTTCCTTCCTAGATGGAAGGCAGGGATTTTTGTCTGTTTTGTTTACTGGTATATCTCCAGAATTTAGAATGTCTGCCGCATAGAAAGTCGTCAGTAAACATTTACAGAATTCATTTTATTATGAAAGAAATTTTAATTTTGCTCTTAGGTTCATCTCTAACAAGTATTTAGTGAAACGACAGAGCAGAGACTATGATGTGGAATGGGGCTATGCTTTTGATGTGCATCTCAATGCTTTTTATCCACTCCTGGTCATTTTGCATTTTATCCAGCTTTTTTTCATCAACCGTAAGTAGCAGTTAATTAGAGTATTATCCAAGTCTTCATTGCATGCATTGGTAAAGGGACTCATGGTCTGCGTCTCTTCTGGCAGATGTTATCCTGACAGACACATTTATTGGATATTTAGTTGGAAATACCTTATGGTTGGTTGCAGTTGGCTATTATATCTATGTAACTTTCCTGGGATACAGTGGTAAGTAATTTTTTTAAATGTTTTTGGTTGAGAACATAGCAAGAGGGGGAAAGTTGTAACAGTAGTACAAACAGCTGCTTTTATGGAACACTTACAGGCACTATCCTAAGTATTTTATGTGCATTATCTCATTTAATCTTCATGACAATTACACAGGTTTGTTTCTGTTTTCAAATGAGGAAACTGAGGCAGAGAGATTAAGCAACTTACCCATGGTCATGCAGCTAGAAAATGGCCTAGCTGGTATATAACAGATTTTATACTTTCAAGGAAACATGTTAAACCATACTGGTTATCTCCAGATGACTTGCAGGAATCCAAGACCATTCACTCCTCTTCTCCCATGCTTTCAGGTTGTGGGTTACCAGCAGGAGGGTAGAGCGAAGAAAGGTGGGGCCCAGCATCTTGTTACATAGGTCTATGAACTGAAGTTCTCTAAAGCCTTTTGAATCATAACTTTTTGCCCCATTCTTAGTTTTCATGATTACCGTATGGTTCTGTAGACAATCACAGAAGATCGGGCCCAACATTTATTGTCCTCAGGACATGTTTGCAGATTTACTGTTAAATCCTGTTGTCAGTTCATTTTTCTTAATATGAATGAGGAACATATATTATTTTTCATTTATGTTAAGAAATGATCCCATTAAATAAAGCCAAATAAAATCTAGAGACTGCGCTGTACGTTTCTTACCCCTTCCTTTCCTGTTACTGTAGATGATTAGGGCCTAACTGTAAATACAGATGGCTCTGACTATGCCTGGCTCCGGAGTTATTCCCACCCCGGTTCTCTCCCCCCTTGGCTGGTTTGTCAGGGAACACTTAACCCCTTCATTGTAATGCCTTGTTTGGGGAGTGCTTTCTCTAGTCCAGGGGAGATGTTTGTGTCATTTCTAATGAATTTTGAAAGTGTTTTGTGATGAGAACACTGCAGCACTGTGGTTTCTCTAAGTGGTTATTTGAACACTCCTGGTAACGACCTATACCACTTAGAATAGTTGGAGTACAGCTCAGTTTGTTTAAGAACTTCCTATATGAGAAATACTTAGGTCGGGATGCATGGGGTAGGGTCCCGCTAACTAAGCAGTGAGCAAGAAACATCAATATTTGGAGCCAGACTTTTATATTTAAGAGTTTCAGTTCTTTTCTGAAGCCTGGGCTACTAGTTGAGCTCACACCCTCTTAAAGTGGGGGTATAATGCTTTACACTGGAAAATCTCAAATAGCTAAAAGATGTTTTCCTATAACGCCATCCATCTCTGTACTTTAAGTTGGACTCCTAGAGGTTTCTGAGGCAGTCACAAGTTTAAATTCACCACTGTTTTCATGAATATTTGTGACATTTCTCCCTCATTGTTAACCTCTCTTGGTCCAGTGTATGATGTCCCACTCAGCCTCTGTGCTGAAATAATTCCTCTCCTAGGTTTCTTCCCAGCCCTAGACAAGGAGGAAACAGCACAGAGGGGTTGGGAAGAGTAGTCTAGTTCTGGGCATAAATAGCATCATCTTACTGATTCAAAATATGCATTCCCTTCCACCCCACATGTTGAAGTAAGCTGTCTTTCAAAATGTTCATTTATTAGTCATTTATTTTTTTTTTTTTTTAAATCAGTTTGGATTCCTTTCTTTTCCAGCATTGCCATTTTTGAAAAATACAGTAATTCTTCTGTATCCATTTGCACCTCTGATTCTGCTCTACGGGCTTTCCCTGGCACTGGGATGGAACTTCACCCATACTCTCTGTTCTTTCTATAAGTACAGAGTGAAATAAAAAGTGAGAAGAAGATTCAATCGTAACTGTGTCAACAGTATTGTGAAGTGATCATTTCTTGTAAAACTTGTAAATAAACTATCATCTTTGTAGATATCTTAAAGGTGTAAAGTTTGCAAATTTGAAGAAATATATATTAACACTGTGGTCAGGTACATTCCTTAAAACTAATTAAATGTACATTTCTATAATAAATATTTTTTAAACTAAAGCATGTGTGTTCACTCTAATATTTGCAAATGTAAGAGCTACATGTAAAATGCTAATGGCATGGGGAAAACATAAACATAAAACAATATGAATTATTTTTGAAAGAGTATCATCTAGTTGGAGAACAAGGGAATAATCATACAGCCCCATCGCTCTCCTATTGACAAAGATGCATAATCTCCATTTCTAATTAGCTGTATTTTAAATACTTACTTACATAAGCCACAAGATCCCTTCTAACCTTCGGAATCCTCTATAAACCTGTAGTGTCAGTCAAACGGGAGTCACTGTACTTCAGGCCCTAAGCATCATTAGCAGCATTTTCTACATTAAAAACTTACTTATAGCCCCTAAATATTTTAGATCAAAGAGGCCCAGGTAGCTACTCTTATTTTAGGAACTGTATAGTACATATAATAAAGTGAACATCAGCATAATATTGGTCATCACTGTCTTAACAGTAGGGCTTTTTTTTCCCCTTTCTTTAGAGACTTTACAAAACCCAATAGAGGATCCACTCCTTTTTCTAACTGAAAATGGATAACTAGTATTGTCTCAGTGTTAACAAAGTTAATAATAAAATACTACTCATTAAGTTTCACCTATTTTTATTAGAAGGAATCTTGAATTCAACATGGCTTTTTAAACTTCTTTATTTCAAATACACATGAACGGTCGTGGCACAGAGAAACAGTGATGAAGGCACAATCAACAGGACCAGTTACTAGGTTTTCAATTATAGCAGCAAATCTGAAAATAAATAATCTTCCTTTAAAAATCCAACAAGTACCTAAAATATTACTACGGATAGGAATCATTCAGCCAATGAAGACATTTTAAGGAAAATATATACAATACATTTAAGAAAAAAAAAAATCTGGTACAACCTGGCAAGGAGATTCCTCAGGCAGCTTCTCTAAGGGATGCTTCCAGAAACATCCCCTAATGCAGACAACCTTTCCAAAGTGTTCTGAATGGGACACTTCAGTTTTTCCATTCCATAAATGAAACACAATTGTTACACTTTGCTGATTTCTAAATCTTTCTTAGAAAACATTACTGCCTACACTGAAATGAAAAGTATCAAATCTACTGGCAGTGCATCTTACAGTACTGTCGATAGCAGCCATTTTTAAGGCTCAGAGAATATGTCTTCAAAAGATATTTTCACCAAATTTGAGCAAACACTGAGCATTTCAAATAAATAATGGAATGCTAATCAGGCAAAAGTACCAAACCCTTGGTTCCAGGACAGTTTGCTAATTACTAATACAATGAAACAACTAGGAGCAAGTGACACATAAAATAGCCTCCCTAAAGTCCAAGAGTATTAAAATATTCCCCACAACAAACAATCTTCATTTCAGAACAATTTTAGCACCACTTTTTTTTTTCCACAATTTTGACTGCAACATTAACAGTGGGAATGTTACTTCGCGCAAAGTGCTTTCCCATCAATGCTCAGTTTACTTTCTTGAATGAGGTCTTCTAAATTCTCAGCTCAGATGCACCCTGGAGTGCCAGCTTGCTCCTTCCTGTTTGTTCCTTTGAAAATGATCTAGTTAGTGCCCAAACCGGGTGAAGGAGTGTTTCAGGTAAGAAGAAGAGTTTATATATAGGTGTTGATACAGATATGTATAACAAAATCCTCAGTTTGGTTGGGTCTTTAAAAAATACCTTTTTAGCATTGTATGATCACATGCATTAAAGAAAGTAAGCATACTAGTTATCGTAGCATATAAGATTCATAATTTAAAATGCACAACTACCAAAGTCAAACAAAATTTTACACACTATAAATACTGCAACATAACTTGGAAAAGTTCCTTTTCTATAAAGGGATTGGACTGGATAAAGTTCCCTTAAAACACTAAGGTATGGTTATGACTCACATTTCTCATCTTCTGACAGTCTTAACCTCTCATTTTCTCTCTTTTAGTTCTACTTGTCTCGTATCAAGGACATGGCAATACAGTAAAAATAAGCAGAAAAATTAATGGACAAACCAAAATAAAACTTCATTAGCTATTAATGGCTTGGAAGCAGAGAGGTATTTGCAAAACATTCTCAAACTACAAACATTTGGCTGGCCCATACAGGATTTGATCTGTGCTAGATGATAAAAAGAGAAACTAAGTTTTGGTTAAAAAAAATTAAATCCCTCGATACACAGATTATCTGATCTCTACAAGGCAAAGGTTATTTTTGCTCTTAATGTATCTAAAATACCACTGTTAATCATTCTTGAATTTACTTCTGACAGGCTCAGAGCAGTCTAAATCAGTATAAAGTAACACCTCTTCTAGAAATAAAAAAGATCCCTTACACACTGTTTCAGTCCTATTCCTATAGTCTCATTCTAGCAGTTCCTTTACCAAACGCTACTCAGTAAGATGCTGCAACTTTGCCAACAAACGTCCAATGAAGACTAATTGAGATCTCTGGCGAGAACATCCCCAACAAGGTCCAGGTACATGACTTGCTACTAAAGACTTTATTCATGCATTTACCAAGAAATATCCAGCATACTACAGGGAATCAAGTATGAAGATTTCCTCTTTACCTCTTTTAAAATACTGTATTCATTTCCTATTCCTACATAACAAATTGCCACAAATTTAGCAGCTTAAAACACCACTGATTTATTATCTCATAGTTCTGTAGGTCAGAAGTCCAAGCAGGCTTAAGTGAGTTCTCGGCTTAGGGTCTCACAAGGCTGGATTCAAAGTGTTGGCCAGGCTGGGTCTTATCTGGAGACTGGAGAT
Source organism: Homo sapiens (assembly GCF_000001405.40). NCBI lineage: Eukaryota > Metazoa > Chordata > Mammalia > Primates > Hominidae > Homo > Homo sapiens. Next base: position 98,621,280 of record NC_000002.12, read on the forward strand.
GAATGCCTTTCCAAGCCTATGAATGAGCTTATGGGCTGAATTCAGTTCCCGTGGCTGTAGGACTGCAGTTCCCAGCTCCTTTGCTGTTAGCCAAGGCCTCTCTCAGCTCCTCAAAGCCATGTGCATTCCTTCTCATGCAGCCCCCTCTACCTTAAAACAGCAATGGTGCCTGAGGTCCTTCTGCTTTGTCTCTTGACTTCTGCCACCAGCCCGAGAAAACTCTCTGCTTTTAAAGGAGTCACAAGATTTGATTAGCCACCCCCAGACAGTCTTCCTTTTGCTACATAACATGATATAATCATGGATCAAACAGGTTCCACCCATGCTCAAAGTGGGAGGATATTATACAAGGTCATTGGTGGGGGTGTCAGTAGGGGTCATTCTTAGAAATTTGCCTACCACAAATATACACTGTTATTCACTAGAATAATCTCTCCAAACGTGCTGTTTCCACATAACCAGTCTTTTCTTTGAGGGACAGCACTGTTGGGAGACAACCTCTTTTTCATTATTATGATAGATTTTTTAAAGGCCTTCATAATTTTGCTTATAGTTTTAAAAATAACAACACCTTCTAATTATTGACTAGTGCAACCACTGATTTGAGAAGATACACACTTTGTTCAAGGGTATTCAACCATCTCCAATTGTTGAACAAATACACACATACGTATCTACAGCCTATGTGCTAAATAATCCTTTGTGTTAACTTTTTCCAAAGCTTTTCAATCACACTGTCTGTTCTGACTACACAGTATGGTACAGCGCGTGATGTGGAGAATGCATGAGACTAAGATAAAGAACTTAAGAAATCTTACATCTTAGAATCCTAGAAATGGGTCCTCAGCTTTCTCTTCTCACCCAAAATATTCATCATCATTTGCATTATGTTCTATTCCCATGTCTGCTTTTAACCTCATGAGAATGTATTAATTGTGGTTTCTAAGCTGTTCATAATTAGCACTCTGGACACAGTACTGTTCAACAGAGCTTTCTGCAGTGATGGAAAAGTTCTGCATCCGTGGTGTCAAGTGTGGTGGCCACTAGCTCCACATGGCCACTGAGTACTTGGAATGTCACTAGTGTGTGTGATGGCAGAACCGGGTAAAAAAATGTTTTTATTTAAACAGCCCCCATGTGTCTACTGGCTATATGTGTTTTTAAAACTAGTCCCAACCTTTGACACTTTTTCCATTTACTATTTTGGTAAAATGATTCGGCGCCCTCTCAAGGCAAAGTATTTACCTTCTTCCAGTTCCAGGGACTCTTCCCCTCCCTTAATCTTCTGCCCTCACACTGCTCTTAAGGGCGACCACTACAATTTCCTGCTTGGGGAAAGGATGGCTGCTTCTACTAGTTGAGTGCAGAACTGGGCAGAAAGGAGGGAGTAACTAACAGTGAGAGGCCCTGAGCACCCACCATAGGAGAGGACAGATGAGCAGTATGAGCTGCAGGCTCGCCTCAGGAACCTGAAATCTGGTCAGAGAGACAGCACACACCATACACACAAACAATCAAAAACTAGACAACCGATTGTGTATGCAAGAGTATGGCAACGACAGCAGGGAGAGGGAGTTAAGAGAGAGAAAGGGGGCTGGACATGGTGGCACACACCTATAATCCCAGCACTTTGGGAGGCTGAGGCAGGAGGATTGCTTGAGGCCAGAGATCGAGGCTGCAGTGAGCTATGAGAGCACCACTGCACTCCAGCCTGGGCAACAAAGCGAGACCCTGTCTCAAAAATAATACAAAATGATAAAAAGAGAAAGAGGAGGGCAGGCTGGAATAATTGGTCTCACATCCAGATGCTGACTGGCCACCTGCCACGTGCCTGGCACACACCCTAGGCACGGGTAGATTCATGGGGAGAGAAGCACAAAAAAGTCCTGGAATGATAGGAAAGATTTGGCTAAAAGGAGTCTTGGGAACAAGAATGAGTTTCTTGGGAACAACAGGTGGACCAATGCTGGGAGGGCAAACTGCATGAAAACAGGAAAAAGCTAGCCAGGCAGGCTGTCTTTAAAGAAGTTGTAACAAATCACACCAGGTGCTGCAATAACTTTCTCCTCCCTAGATTTTCAGAGCATGGTCTTTCTTCATGAAACCAGAGTTGGCAACTGAGGAACCAGGGACCCAAGAGTACTCCTAAGCCCACCTGCAGAGATTTTTACTTCTGGTACTCAGTTATCTTTGCAGTAATTTAGTATACCAAGCTGGTGCCAAAATTTTATGACAAAAGGTTATTCCTGTTTTTGAATGAAATTTGCTCATGGGCACTGGGCCAAGGAAATTTGAGAAGAAAAAAATTCAAGAAAGTGAAAAGTAAATTTAAAACATCCTAATAAAAAAATTTCAACTGGCCTTTAACTGACATAAAAATCATTTTTGGCAATGTGATTGACTTTTCAATCAAGAAAAGTAACTAAAAATTATAACAACATGGAGTGATGGAAATAATTGTACTGTATCAGTGTTTCCAAACGTTTGCACTTTGTAACACAGCACAGGAAATGATGCTATTTCATGCTGTTGGTTCAGCACATTGGGTAACTAGATGAAGCTCCTCCAGGCTAGAGGCAGCCAGCTGGAACCTTGCCCCAGCGCTAGGCCCCAGCCAGTGGTCACTCTGAAAGCTCAGCAGAATCCATCTCTGCCCGTCTGCAACCAACCTGCAACCCACTTGTGGCACCCCAGTGTGTCCAAGCAGACTGGCTGGGAACTGATGTTGATACTTCATCTTTTTTTTTTTTTGAGACGGAGTCTAGCTGTGTCGCCCAGGCTGGAGTGCAGTGGTGCGATCTCAGCTCACTGCCAGCTCTGCCTCCTGGGTTCACGCCATTCTCCTGCCTCAGCCTCCCAAGTAGCTGGGATTACAGGCACCTGCCACCACGCCTGGCTAATTTTTTGTATTTTTAGTAGAGACAGGGTTTCACCGTGTTAGCCAGGATGGTCTTGATCTCCTGACCTCGTGATCCGCCCGCCTCGGCCTCCCAAAGTGCTGGGATTACAGGCGTGAGCCACAGCGCCTGGTGATAATTCATCATTTTTTAAAAGTACTTTTATAAAGATCACTGATTGCTGAGACCGGTAATATTCTTTGTTTATAGTAGTAATATCATTTGGAATAGCGTGTTTAAGAGTAATAAATACAGTCTCTTGGACACGGGACTCACTTATCAGTTCATACTACAATAAAATCATTTTGGAAAATATACTACTAATAATATATTTCACCAAAAAACAATATTACAATTTTCTTTAAAATTATACCAATTATGACTCATACAATAGCAACACCTAGAAAACATTTTGTCTGACGTCATAAAATGAGTGCAGATATAAAAGAATCAACAGCAGATAATGCACCTAATTCATGGATTAAAGACAAAGATTAAAAAGGAAAGAAGAGTTTGTCATTTTACATATCAGAGGAAATATAATAAGTTAAGTCTACAATAATCTGGGTTGAATGCATCACACTTACACATTGAAAATTTATCAGACTGACTTTCTGTGGCTATACACCATACACAGTATAGTAAAGTAACCCTCAGGAAGGACATTAGTCTTTAAAATCTTGGCTTTAAGGAATGACAAATGTCTTTGAAAATATTTTGTTCAGTCACTGTGATTATAAAAGTACTTCAATTAAGAAATCCATCTATAATCAATCTTAAATGGCAGTGCATTTGAAAAATGGCATTGGTTTGTAATGTTTGCATTTCCAAAGAAAAATATAGAAAGAACTTAAAAAAGCAAGGAAACTGGTTTTCAAAAAAAGTATCGATTCAAAAATCTACTGCACAAAAATATGTACTTCTTAAGTGTTTCTAATAAATTAATTCCATAACATTTTTATGTATATTTATATATTTATATATATAATCCCTGATAATCTATAAAAGAGGGTCTATAATAGTAAAATAAGTGAACCTCAAAAGTACCCCCTTCATAAAATGTATGTAACATTAGTTTTTCTCAAATTTAAAGAATGTAACAATATGTACAACTCTTATGTATTAGTATAATACCAAAATAGTACAAGTCATATTAACAGGCTGTCATAATTGAAAAATGTTTGAGTCAAGTTAAAATCTGAGGACAGCTTAGTTTCAAACAAATACAATTATTATGGGAGATTCACTTTCCAAGTGGAAATGACAATCGTCTTATCTACAGTAGACTTCACAAGAGGTAGTGTTCAAGTAGAAATAAAAAAAAGATACATGCTTAACTATCTTTAATTAACAAATTCACAGGAAAAAATGTGTTGGTTTCTCAGATGATCAGTTGGTGGCTTTTTTAATATGAATCTGAAATACAAAATCATAAAAGGTATGATAAAGCTGTTAATTCTCAATTCCAAAAAGGCCTTAAATACAAAATAAAAACATAATAAAAATGTAGTTTCTAAGTTGTTTCACTGATTTGATATATGCTTACCTCATTAAGAATGGCCCAAACAGCAGAATTCTGAATAACTGAAAGTCGAAAGGCTGAAATGGGATTGAGACTTGGATCCACCATTCCTTCTGCAACACCATTCTCAAATTTTCCTTCAAAATAAAAATCAATACTTGTTGGATACACCGAGATAAGCAAACATAAAATATCACTGAGTTAAGGCAGGAAAGGAATACACCAAAATATTTCTAGTAGATGTCTTTTGACAGGGCACAGGTAATTTCTTTCCCCCTTCTTTCTACTTTCATTCAGCTTTTATATTTTTCATGAAGAAGTGCATATTTAAAAACTTCACAATTTACTTAATTAGGCAGAGCTATAATTTTTCTCACTACAAATTAAAAAACAAAAATATATTTGTTCTTATATCAACCATGTTTTAAACTATAGGTTTTTTGTAAATTGTGATTTACCTAAATCTTACCAAAATATAATCTGTACCATCACGCAGTCTGATTGCTTTGAATGTTAAGTCAATAACAAATTTTGATTTGTTAATTAAATACGCACACAGTTGTTCACCTTGAGCAGGGACTCAATACAAGTGTATTCTTTCCAAAGGCACATTTAGAAGGAATTAAGAAATAATGCCTCCTCTACACAGTTCAATATAAAACTCCACTATAATGACAAGCTAAAACAGGCTCTCCTATAAAAATAAGGACCAAGAACCATAAAAGGTAACATGCTGTGTACCACTTTTCTTGCTATCAGGAATAACATCCATCTTAAAACCAAAAAATGTCGTCAGAAAAGTGACAAGAAAATGGTTCATTGTGGGCCAAATTTCTTTAAGCCAAGGTTGGTAAACTTTTTCTATAAAGGACAGTCCTTGTGGGCCAAGAGGAAATTTGAGATTACTATGTAGGGTAATATATACAGGAAGAGAGAAAACAAATTTTTACAAATCTGAGGTGGAAATTCAATATATAATGATAACTGAATACAATATATATTTTTTGGTAATATAGGTATACCAAGGAGAAGAACATAATTCCTTTCGGGAGTATAACATTTCACTTAACTGGGGTTCAAAGTTAGTGTTCCCTATAATCAAAACTGACTGCAAATGTTCCCTTGTTATTGTTGATTGATAATGATATTTTATATACATCTTTGAAACGTTCTTTCACACAGCCTAGGTGCTGCCTAATACTGATATCAATCCACAAACACACGATTTTAATGGGGCACATGCATCCCTTGGGAGGCACTTATGGAATTCTATTTGATTTTCCTTTTGGTATATTATTAGCCTTCCGGTATATTATTACACTGCAGATGAATCATTTCCAATTGAGATTTAGGTGAAGTTCCTCAATTAAATGGATTTTGAGATATGGAAATTTCTCTTTCATTTGTATTGAGGTCCAAAACCACTGCTGGGACTATAGTTTGAGCTTGGAAAGTGCATCTGCCGTAAACTTGTGTGGGATGGAGATCTTGCTTCCTGTTTTAACTTTTGAAAGCATGAGAAATGTATAAAGAGCTTGATGGTGCTTCAAGTTCAATGTTAACTGTCATTAAAATGATTTGACTGCAATGTTAGTTTTGCATATAAGCACCATTTTGTCTTGTAATTTTAGGTTGAATTCATTAAGAAACAATATTAAGTCTGCAGCAAAAACTAGTTTTCTTTTTTTTTTCTTTGAGATAGAGTCTCACTCTGTCACCCAAGCTGGAGTGCGATGGCACGATCTCGGCTCACTGCAACCTCTGCTTCCCAGGTTCAAATGATCCTCCCACCTCAGCCTCCCGAGCAGCTGGGATTACAGGCATGTGCCACCACACCTGGCTAATTTTTGTATCTTTATTAGAGACGGGGTTTCACCATGCTGGCCAGGCTGGTCTTGGACCTCTGACCTCAAGTGATCCACCTGCCTCGGCCTCCCAAAGTGCTGGGCTCACAAGCGTGAGCCACCATGCCCAGTTTAGCAAAAACGAATTTTCAAAGTGATAATAGCTGTTGAGGGAAGTTCTCATTTGGGAAAATTTCAATCTTGGTCCTGAACTCAAAAAAACTGCAGTAAATCTCTACCACTGCTAAGCCACTGAACTGCTGTGTGGCAGGGCAAGTCAGGATATTCAGTTCCTATTTCTGACAAAAATTCACAGCATTTGTGATGGCTAAGTCCATGAGAGTGAATAAGGTTCACTGTTGACACTTTTGTTCAATGACATATGACACATTCAAATCTTTTCTGCAAAGTACCTGGCTGATGAATAATAAAATAAATAACCATAGGCTTTAAATACCTTACATTTTTTTCAAGCTTTATAAATTAATGCAACTAAGCCATCTTCTCCACAAGTATTTTTTTTTAGCACCATTTGTTTAAGCACATCTTAGCAGATTCTACTTCAGGTTGTACTGAATTTGTGTTTTCTCAGCCTGTGTGAAAATACTCTTCTCTGTAGTTGTTCTAAACAGACTATTTACAGGGGCCAACCCTCAGTGTCTTCAACCATGGCACTGATTCCAAGTAATAACTGAGCAGTACCAGTGACAACTCCGTCAATTCCTCAGGAGCCAAGAAAAACACTCAAAATAATCTGCTTTGTTTTTTGAATACTGATATTGCTCCCAATGTCCTTAAGTCTTCAAACAATTGTTATTGCTGAAAGCCTCCTATCCTTAAATAAGTTTACTTTCTCTGCACACATTACTTTGGCTGCTGCTATTAACCATGATTTAATTAACTCGTGATTGGTAAGTGGTTTTTCTTGCTTAGCTAAAAAATAAGCCACTTGAAATACCACTTTGGGAACAGCCTCATTTTTATTTTTAGTGAAGAAATTCTGCTGTGATGAGATATTCCATTCTAAAGTTTCTAACTTTTCTGACCACTGCTTTCCTGTGAGTTGGGAGTATCATTGTATTTAGCCTAATAACGTACAGCTCTCACATAACTGCACAATAACTACAATGACTTGCCAACAATTTTGTAACATAACCCACATTCTACAGTGTTAAAAGCCACAATGCTCAAAATCTACTTTTCTTGTTTTGATGATGGATAAGTACTTGTAATTTTTTTTTAAGTCAGAGTGCCATGATATGTGTGGCTCTCAAAATACTGTCCAATTATAAATGCATCATTGTGATCTGCAGTACTCTAAGCAGCAGTGCAAAGCCGGGAGAGCATGACCTCGATCTCTCCTGCACCTACTCACTCATCTTTGCTGTTGGAGAGAAGCACACACGCACACACTACATTAGAAAATGAGCATGGCTGTCTTCCAAAAAAACTTTATTTATGGACACAGAAATCTGAATTTTATATAATTTTCACATAGCACAATGTATTCTTTTTACTTTTTTAGCCATTTAAAAACAAAAAAAGAAAAAGATGACTTTTTAAAAAATGTTCTTAGATCACAGACTATTCAAAAACAGGTGGAGGGCCAGATGTGCCCCATGGACCGTAGTTTGCTGACCACATGCTGTTACATTATGCAATCCATTGTCCAGTCTCACAGCATAGTTAATAGATTAATAATAAAATAAGGTACATTCAGATTGAAAACCACAGCAGAGCAGGCTTGTACTAATTTATATTGTAAATGTTGAACCTATGAGCCTCCAAAGTAATGCTTTTATTCAAAAATTATTAATAAACTTATTTCATAGAAGTTTGTCCATACTTGGTGCTGGACTTGGGTAGCAGGTAGGTGCTACCAAAAATTATTATTGAATATTGAATTAGGCATGGGATTCAGATCTTAAAAATATTGCAAAACTTGGAACATTTTAACCAATGTGACATTGAATACTGTCACCTGATGAGCTCATTTCATTAGAAAAATAATTACCAAATGATAAGTAGTTCATCAAAACACTCTTGCCCAGCAATTTATCCTCTCCCATGTATAAGAACAGTACATACACTACCGCAAAAGATTGCAAACAACCTAAGTATCCATCACTAGGAGCCTGGCCAAATAAATTACAATATGCTGATACAAGGGAATTTTAGGCAGCCAATTTCTTCAGTCGAAGAAAAAATAAAAAAGAATAAGCCAGCCACAGTCGCTCACACCTGTAATTCTGGCACTTTGGGAGGCTGAGGCAGGCAGATCACCTGAGGTCAGGAGTTCGAGACCAGCCTAGCCAACATGGTGAAACCCCGTCTCTACTAAAAATACAAAAATTAAGCCAGGCATGGTGGCCTGCGCCTGTAATCCCAGCTAATTGGGAGGCTGAGGCAGAGAGAAATGCTTGAACCCAGGAGGCGGAGGATGCAGTGAGTCAAGATTGTGCCACTGCACTCTACCCTGGGCGACAGAGCAAGACTCCATCTATAAATAAATAAATCAATCAAATAATGAAGAAAAAGTTGAAGATAATGCAGTTGAAGATTTGCTTCTCTTCCTAAGTCTATATTGTAGAGAAACTCTCATACATGTGCACAAGTGTTCAAAGCAGCCATGTTTATTACAGCAAAAACATGTACACAAACTTTATGACCAGAGAACAGATCGTGCTGTCCACAGAATCCATCCATAGAGGAGTGAAAAAGAATGAGTCGTAAACACACACACTCACGTGGATGAATCTCACAATTGTGAGGGGGAAGAAACCAAACTGTAGACCACAGAAAGATATTTATATCAAACGTGAAAACAGGCAAAATCCCACTGTGCATTGCTTAGGAATATATTCCATACATAGTAAAAATGGAAATGGTAACCATAAAATTCAGGTGTTGAAGGAGAAGAGAAGCTATTAGGGTATAGCTTTGGGGAGAAGGGGAAGAGAAGAGAAGCTATTAGGGACGGACAGCTGAATTGGCACATCTTAAGCTGGAGGGTGGATACAGGTACTCAGCATATTATTATTATTAAAATATTTTTAAATGTTCATGTTCCATACGTACATAGGCATTTTGTTCCATGAAAAAAAGAGATGTAAAACTGGATTATAGGGCGTATCATTTGTGTGTGACGATGTGTTGTTCTTAGAGAACATACCCAGATATTGTTATTTATGCATACAATACTCCCGAAGGGACACAAATCATTACGGGAACTGCCTCTCAGAAGCAGTGGGTAGGAGAAGAAAAGGGAAGAAGACTTAAGACTACCCTTTTAAATTTGTATTTGGTACTGTGTGTGTGTAATGACTTTTCAAACTACAAACTTAACCTTTGTCCTTAACCCAATGGTCTGGAAGGTAAGTATTAAGACAGGAAAGAAGAGAAAAAGTGAAGGAAATTACCAGAGTGACTGGAACCCCACACTCCTGGCATTGACAGGGACGGCCAAGGGCTACAGCCGTGGCTCCCCTCCGCCCGCCATGCCTGACCAGTGGCCCTTTCCTTCTCCCACTGGGTCTCTGCAGAAGGTTCTTCTGCCGTCTCGCAGCTTTAACCCACTGAAATAGAACTAGTATTTCTTCCACAAGACCATTCTTAGCTATCACGCTCTACTCTTCTAACCCCCACGCCATCAACCCTCGGGTCTCCACTGATGGCCAGCTGATGGTCTACTGTTCTTGCCAATGCCTTCACGCGTAAGTTGCTACCCAGTCTGATCCCATTTAAATTCAGGCCCCTCTCCAGGGCCAGTCTTGGCGACATGCAAGGGGAGCAGGGAAGTGCTGGGTAGAGAAGGTCATGAGCCCTGGCTAGAGCTCCAACCTCGGGCCTGTGCCCACCGACCTAGGTGAGGACAGGCATTTCCGTCTTCCCACCCAAATGTTGCATTTCCCAAGACCACCCTGGCCTGCCACGTCCCCATACTGTGCCTATAAAAGCCCTGAGACCCTAGCAGGCAGGCACACAAGTGGCTGGACGTGGAGGGGAAGGAAGCACACGGGCGGGCGGAAGAGCACACCCGCGGATGCTGGCAGGCCATCGATGGGCGGAATGACGCAGAATTTGGCCAGGGCAGTCGGAGGAGAGCCTAGGCAGCCCGACTCCAGGGGAAAACCATCTCCCTTCTGGCTCCCCCATGTGCTGAGAGCTACTTCCACTCAATAAAACCTGGCACTCATTCTCCAAGCCCACGTGTGATCCAATTCATCCGGTACACCAAGGCAAGAGACCCCGGGATACAGAAAGCTTCTGTCCTTGTGATAAGGCAGGGGGTCTAATGGCTGGTGCGGTGGGTCACGCCTGTAATCCCAGCACTTTGGGAGGCCGAGGCCAGTGGATCACGAGGTCAACACCAGCCTGGCCAACATGGCGAAACCCCGCCTCTACCAAAAATAGAAAAATGAGCCAGGCCTGGTGGTGGGCGCCTGTAATCCCAGGTACTCGGGAGGCTGAGGCAGGAGAATCACTTGAACCCGGGAGGCGGCGCTTGCAGTGAGCCGGGATTGCACTACTGCACTTCAGCCTGGGCGGCAAAGCGAGACTCTGTCTCCAATAAATAAATAAATAAATAAATAAATAAAAAGGCAGGGGGTCTAATTGAGCTAACAAACACAAGCCACCTATGGACAGCTAAACTAAAAGAGCACCCTGTAACACGCGCCCACTGGGACCTCAGGAGCTGTAAACATTCACCCCTAGACACTGCCATGGGGTCAGAGCCCCACAGCCTGCCCTTCTGCATGCTCCCCTAGGGGTTTGAGCAGTAGGGCACCAAAGAAGCAAGCCACACCCCCATCACACGCCCTGAAAGGTGGGTAAGGGAACTTTTCCCGTCTCAACAGCAGCTTGTTTGCACGCCAAGAGGGCTCTTACTAGCATCTCTTTCCCTAGTTCTCCCTGTTAAACTTTCCACTGGGATCCAAATTTGCTTGTCTGTAGCTAACATCTCTAATTGCTTAACACTAAAATTTCCATTGTATTCCACAGCACCCTTAGGCTGAACTTCCCCACATTCTGGTTCAAGTAAGTCATCTCCTCTTTAGGGAGAACTACAGAGCTCTCTGTTCTTCTGGCCTGCCTCTCCATTGGGCACAATCTCTGCACCACTGCTCTGGGTCCTTGGCAAGGACAGCAGCCCCTTCTCTTGGAGTGACACCTTGCTTTAGGATCAGAGCACTGGTCATGGCAGTAGCCCTTGGTTTTTGTCTTGTTTTGTTTTGTTTGAGACAGAGTGGCCCAGGCTGGAATGCAATGGTGCAATCTTGGCTCACTGCAACCTCCACCTCCTGCGTTGGGTTCAAGCAATTCTCCAGCCTCAGCCTACTAAGTAGCTGGAACTACAGGCATGCACCACCACACCTGGCTAATTTTTGTATTTTTACTAGAGATAGGGTTTCACCATGTTGGCCAGGCTAGTCTTGAACTCTTGAGCTGGTGATCTGCCTACCTTGGCCTCCCAAAGTGCTGAGATTACAGGCATGAGCCACTGCGCCCAGCCAAGCCTTGGTTTTCTTGGCTGGCTTCTGCTACTGACTGGACTGGGGCAGTGAGCTAGGACATCGGTGATCAGGGCCAAGTATTCTCACCCTGCTGTGCCTAGGGCAGAGTTCTGCCCAGATTCATCAGCTGCTCTTGTCTGGAACAGAGCTTCTGCAACAGAGTTGGGGGTAAGGACAGATGCTGGCAGCCTGACCCTCCTGGGCAGATGCCACAGCCCTAGACTAGAAGCTGGCAGGAGAGTCCAGTGTTCCTGGCTGTACCTGCACAGGGCAGAGCTTCTGTCTCCCCGAGCTGGGGGTACTGTGAGTGATAAGGCTGGTCCTGGCTCCCTCCCCGAGATCTGGGAGATTCTCATGAATAAATGTTGCTCCATTTGCTGCTAGCCCTTAGGACAATCTTCACAGATTTAAAATAGTTTTTTAAAAATAATTTTCACCAGTTATAATTGTTTTGCTAACGAGAGGGTCAAGGAAGCTCCTCATACACAATTCCATTAAAGAAGACTTCTTAAGGAAGCAGAATGTTCTACATTCAGTTGAAAAAAGATCAGTTGCTCTTTAGTTCTGTTCTGTTTGATTACACAAGGTCCTAGGCTGATGATGCAGAAGTTCACTTCTCATTCTAAGAACATATGAGTTGATATTTTAGATGGTCATTTTCTTCAATTACTATAGAGATATTTAATATAGATGTCTCTATTTCCTATGCTACTTTCATAATCTAGAACATACCATTTTCAGAAATTTAATAAGTGACAGGTAATGGGGTAATAAATGTCTCAGATACTCAGCTGATTTTGTGTATATTTCTAGAGATGGGCTAAGATACAGCCCAAATATAAAAATCATTCATCCACCAAAACTATAAAGAAAGTAGCCAGGGTTATTGTGCAAGCCTCTTAGCAATGGCTGAATGATACTTACCAAAGGTAAAACTGTTCTAGAAAGGGCTTAAAAATGTATTTATCCTATAGACCTACAATATCAATTTACCAATATTTGCTCTTGTCTAATACTAAGAGAAGCATTCATTTGTTTTAAACAAAAGAAAATGTACAGTTAGTTATTGAGTCAGTGTCTACCAAGTGACAGGCCCTGTGTTAACTACAGGACATACAGGAGAGACACGGCCCCTCCCTCTCCAGGGGAGCACACAGAACGGAGCTATGGAACAACACAACCACACAGCAAAGGCACATACGGGGGGATCTGAAGAGCAGGGAAGCGAGGCCATTAAATGGGCAGATTAAGGGTGCAAAAGCATTTATTAGAAGGAAAAATAATTGACCAATCATTTCAGGCAGAGAAAATGGCTAGAGATGTGGCTGCCCGGAGAGTGTGGGGCCTTCATCAGAGGAACAACAGTCTCAGGGCTGGAGAGAAAGAATGAGAGAAAGTCACAGATGTGAAGGTGGGTGGGAGCTAAGGGATCAGATAACAAAAAGGCCTCAGGGTTCTAGTTACATTTCAGAAAAGTAACTGCAGTGGCTCTAGAAAGCCACAGGAAAGCCACAGCGAGATGCAGTCCCTCCCCTGGCTCTGAATTGGAGGCACAGAGCAGCCTGCCCCTCACAGACAGGGTGACTCAAGACTTTCAGATGAAAAACCGACAGATTTGTGCTAATGGACAGCAAGAAGAGGGCAGTCTTCAGGGTGCCTCCCAGGTTAGGCTTAGGCAACTAGATGGATAGGGACAGCAAAAACTGGCGATCAATAAAGAAATGTGTGTGTTACAGACGCTTGTGGTAGACGGCTATGTGGCTGCCAGGTATAAGGCTATGTCAGTGGACATCTCAACACAGATGTGACGCTGGGGAGGAGGGAAGGGGCCCGAAGCACAGATTCTGGCCTGTCAATGTGAGCTGAGGCTGGAGAGGAGCTAAACCCATCCAGTAGGAGGCAGTGCAGGCAGACTCTCTATCAGGGAGCATCAACAAGAGCATGACACACAGCACGGAAGGAGCGAGAAAGACAGCCCAATCTGTGATATGAAATCCTACTTGGGTCAAATAATAAAAGCAAGTACTACAACACAGCACACATAAAACCTGGAGGACACTGGTAATTGTAATCCTCAAGTTGCTTAACATCTGAAAAGAACTGAAAAGTACTTTAGGAGTAAGTCCAGAAAAATAAAGGCCATTTTACTAAAGTAGATATTACCTATTCTGAAATAGCCATCTTCTAATCGTTTGTCTTTGGTTTCTTTGCTTATTTCCAAACCTTCACTCTAAAATAAAACAAAAGCATTAATTTCAAAAATAATTCTTTCTATTTAACCTAAGTTATTAATATATCTTAATATAGATGAAGTGGCATTTGTAACACAGCTATCCCTAAAAAGAGAAATATCATCTCAGTCTTGAACTTTAAAAAACTTATTAGATTAATAATAAAAGATGTTTTCTTAAGCCATCGTTTGAATCTGTATATAATATATTGGTGGTTGGAAATGAAACATTAAATCAATTAAACAGAACAGTATTTTCTATTAAAACTATAGAAGAACTGTGTAGTTAACTTGAAAGAAATCTAAGGATTCCTTAGAGACCAATAAATTAAATTGTGTATTAATTAACAGGCATTAAAAACACATAGAATTTGGACTCAAAATACAAACAGCAAGTAAACACTAAAGAAAACAATGATTCAGGCCAGGCACAGTGGCTCATGCCTGTAATCTCAGCACTTTGGGAGGCCGAGGCGGGTGGATCACGAGGTCAGGAGATCAAGACCATCCTGGCCAGTGCTGAAACCCAGTCTCTACTAAAATACAAAAATTAGCTGGGCATAGTGCCACGCACCTATACTCCCAGCTACTCGGGAGGCTGAGGCAGGAGAATCACTTGAACCTGGGAGGCAGAGGTTGCAGTGAGCCAAGATCGCACCACTGCACTCCAGCCAGTGACAGAGCGAGACTCTGTCTCAAAAAAATAAAATAAAATAAAATAAAATAAAATAAAATAAAATACGATTCATTTCTTTTTCTAGTAGAAACGTTCATATTATTTGCAACCTCCACCTCCCAGGTTCAAGTGATTCTCGTGCCTCAGCCTCCCGAGTAGCTGGGATTACAGGCGCATGCCACGATTCCTGGCTAATTTTTGTATTTTTAGTAGAGATGGGGTTTTGTCATGTTGGCCAGACTGGTTTTGAACTCCTGACCTCAAATGATCCACCCATCTCAGCCTCCCAAAGTGCTGGGATTACAGACGTGAGCCACCGGGTGTGGCCTGTTACTTTCCAAGATAAAACAAAATGAAGGCTCTTTCTATGAATGGGTCAAATGCACTCGTCAAATATAAAAGTGCTTCATATTTCAAAAAAAATTAATATTATTCACCATTGAGTCCTGCAAATCATGAGAATTTTCTTTCCCCTTAAAAACAAGAAAAGCTTCAAGCTAAGTCTACTAGTATTAGTTGTTAGGGAAAGGTAAGAGGAAATAGCAGTCATACCTTAAAAGGCAAAACTTCCACAGTTGTGTTTAGCAGAATATCTCCAGGATGTTCTTGGTTGCCGCTATGGAACAAATAACTGAAAATACAAACATCAAAATAAAAACACAAGTCGGGCTAGATTTTACAAAGATTCAAGAAAATGACCTTACCTCAGAGTCAGCTTTTCTACACAAGACTCTAAGCAAGCAAAGTTGACAACGCTAGAGCTTCTAATAACTGCACAGTATGTGTTCTGAATGGTTGTAGGGAACTTAGAAACTTAAGAGCATGACTCCTAGGTGATAAGTTCATTCCTTCTGTCAGAAACAATTATGTTTGCTGCTTAACATAATAATGTACCTAGATATTTTCAAAAAGGATGAGTTTTATGTCACTGTCTATAATGCTTTAAATATTTAACCCTCTTCCCAGAAAATTATAACACCTATATAATACTGCTGTATCTTATATCAGAAAAAAACTTCACTAGGACAACCAGTAGTCATGGCATGTCCAAAGACCAGTTCTAGGCTGGGCGTGGTGGCTCACACCTGTACTCCCAGCACTTTGGGAGGCCGAGGTAGGAGGATCACTTGAGGTCAGGGGTTCAAGACCAGCCTGGGCAACACAGTGAGACCTCGTCGCTACAAAAAAATTAAAAAATTAGCCAGGCATGGTGGTATGTACCTGTAGTCCCAGCTACTCAGGAAGCTAAGGTGAGAGGATTGCTTGAGTTTAGCCTGGAAGGTCTCATCTACAGTGAGCCGTGACTGTGCCACTGCACTCCAGCCTGGGTAACACAGCAAGAACTCATCTCTAAATAATAATAATAATAATAGTAATAAATAATAATAATAAAAGAAACAAAGACTAGTTCTATCCAATACAAATAACTTTAATATTAGTAGACTAAAAGTAAATTAACCTCTTAAAATATCTGAATATCAATATTAAAAAAGCATTTGAAGAATGACTAATTATCGATATATGGTGACAGATCTAAAATACTTTCTGGGTGTGAGTATAATACTCTGTTTTTGATACTCTGAAAACAAACTAGTAAGTATGCGTATGCGTTCTCAGGGTGTGGGGAAGGGAGGAAACTAGGTCAGACATGCAAAGTATGTCTGAATCTAAACCTAACTCTAGTTCAGTTGCATGGTTAAAAGTTTAGGCTTAGGAGTCAGAAAGACCTGGGTCCAAATCCTGGGTCTCTCAGTTACTAGAATTGTCACCTTTCACGAGTTTCCTCAGCTTTCTGAGCCTGAGTTTCTTCTATAATGCAGACAGTCCCATCTACCTCAGAGGACTGCTCCAATCAGTTCAGGAGAACTGACAAAAAGTCCCCCGCACATTCAAAATGCTCAGCCAGTCACAGTATGGTTACGATACAGTTACAGCGGTGGGCCAGTAGATATGGCTGTAAAAGGTTACGTGGGAATTCTTGGGGTGATAGAAACGGTCCTTATCTTGATATACTGTGTCAAAACCACAGTCTGCAAGATGCTCCCCTTGGGCAAGTGGGGTGATGGGTACACAGGATGTCTCAGTTTTACTTCCTACAGCTGCGTGTGAATCTATACTTTCTCAAAAGTCAAAGACTAAGAAAAAGAAATTGATTGTTGAGGGAAAAAGCACACAAAATAAATGTATCAAGTCAAGTGAAACTGTCCCTGTTATCTCACCTCTATTAACAGTTTAATAGATTTTTTGCAGATTTGTTCTATGTACATAATATATGTAAAACATTGTTTTTATTTTTCAAAAAATCCTTCTATAATCTATAAT
Source organism: Homo sapiens (assembly GCF_000001405.40). Taxonomy (NCBI): domain Eukaryota; kingdom Metazoa; phylum Chordata; class Mammalia; order Primates; family Hominidae; genus Homo; species Homo sapiens. The sequence continues at coordinate 98,638,287 of NC_000002.12, forward strand.
TCTATACTCTCTATATAGAATGCTATATATTCTAGAATCCTATACACATATAATGCCATAATCTATAAAATGATCTATAAGGATATTCTATAAAGTTATAAAATTTGCTTTTCACCCCACTTAGTATATATCTAAGAAAGTTTTCATGTCAATACATACTAATCTACGTCAATATTTTTGATGACTGCTTACAGCATTCCACTGCGTGGCAATATCATTTTATTTAACCAAACACATACTAATGGACATCTATGCTGTTTCTAATTCTATGCTGGCTCTCTGAGTGGTAAACAATATCTCAAAGTGCAGAGTATTACTAATAGTATAAAAATGAACTTTAACAGCAAAACAAATAAATGCTCATGCAAGTGCAAAATATTATTCAAAACTATTTCTGTATGTTCTTCCAGTGGTATTCCCAATGCTTAAAACACTTTTAAAACTTGAATTCCTCTTTGGAATCAGTTTAGAGTAACAAAAGAAAATTAGTAACATTGTATCACAGCTCTAAATTGTTTCTGACCACCTCAAATAGAATTACTGAAAATGATTTCTGGTGGATTCTAAAAATCAAATTGGCCCTCCCATTGGGACACATAAAAGGAAACACCACAGAGTGGGGAACTATGTTCCTTTAAGTATGCCACTGCCAATCTGGGGAACACACCCAAACCTGAAGAAGGACTGAAGGAATCACGACTATTAAATTAAAAACAGGCCAGGCACAATGGCTCACGCCTATAATCCCAGTACTTTGGGAGGCAGACATGGGTGGATCACCTGAGGTCAGGAGTTTGAGACCAGCCTGGCCAACATGGTGAAACCCTGTCTCTACTAAAAATACAAAAAAATTAGCCAGGTGTGGTGTCAGGTACCTGTAATCCCAGCTACTTCGGAGGCTGAGGCAGGAGAATCTTTTGAACCAAGGAGGTGGAGGTTGCAATGAGCTACATTGCACCATTGCACTCCAGTCTGGGCGACAGAGCGAGACTGTCTCAAAAAAAAAAAAGGAAGAAAGTCCTAAATTTTGTAAAATGAACATAAATGCTCAAAAACATAAAATGGCTGTAAATTTCTCCCTGGTGTACCGAAAATAACCTAGCATTTGTAAAACTATTGACTAAGAATAGTCATACTCTGTCAAATTTATCATTTCAACCAAATTGCTGGGCTAATCAACTAGCTCCAGATCAATTTTCAAGGGACATACCAGGATAAAGACATAAACACTAATTTGAGATTTTCGAGAGTTCCGCAAAAAAGTATTAAAAAATTATACTAGATATACTAAGTCCAGAAATACCAATGAAGTTCACCAAACGTGTTAAATGTTGACATTACATCTGAAAACAACATACTCGTTTTATTATGGAGTTGTTTTACATGTAATTTAAAGCCCAACATTTTGGGCCCCACTGTGTCCCCACATCTGTCAGGCACACACACAAAAATCTATTATAAATCACATTACGAATAAGAGATCCAAATTGTAAGATCACATACATTTCAATAATCACCAACCTTTCTACATTGACTGGTTTATCAAATTTAAACAAGATGTAGTCTCCAGCTATCGGTGTGATAGCCCAGAAGAAATCCTCTCCCATGTAAGTTTTCTCCAGCGTATGCCCTTGGTAGACCTTCAAGGAAGTAGATACCTCCGCAGGTGGGTTTACATGGATTTTAAGAAGTAATGGTTTCATATAATCTTTATCCTGGGAGCAAAGACATATATGCTATTAAATAATACACAGCTTATTTAAGAAGAAAAACAATAATTATAACTTAAATAACAAGTTGTATGTTCATGAGAAAATAAAATTAAGTCACCAACCGTGAGTTTTTGGATTTTTCCTGATAGTGATGAGTGCAGACCAACATGTTGGAAAAGGGAAGGTCTGAAGCGAATTCGCAGATTTGCTTTCTGTCTATCACAATGTTTCTAAATATTAAAAAAAATCACGTTAGTGTTGCATCATAAAGTGAAATCTTGCCCTCACCTGGAAAATGAGAAGTCCTTTATTAAAATATTGAAAAGAAGGGCTGGGCGCGGTGGGTCATGCCTATAATCCCAGCATGTTGAAAGGCCAAGGCAGGTGGATCACCTGAGGTCAGGAGTTTGAGACCAGTCTGGCCAACATGGTGAAACCCCATCTCTACTAAAAACACAAAAATCAGCCAGGTGTGCAAGCCTATAATCCCAGCTACTCGGAAGGCTGAAGCAGGAGAATCGCTTGAACCCAGGAGGCAGAGGTTGCAGTGAGCCGAGATCGCACCACTGCACTCCAGCCTGGGTGACAGAGTAAAACTCTGTCACAAAAACAAACAAACAAACAAAACAACAACAACAAAATTGAAAAGAAAACAACTTCAAGTCATAATTACAAATCATATTTTTTTCTAGTCTTTGAGGCACTAATAGATTTGCTACTTCCTTGATAAATAGTCATGATCCAGAAATTTAAAATAAGCATAGTTAAGGGAAGAGTGAAGGATTTAATTTCAACCATCCTTCAACACATGTCAACAAAGATTTGACTTTTAATATTAAAATGAATAAACTATAGACTAGGGGGTTAGTTCAAATATACAAAATATTTTTTATTTAATAATATAATGAATTTGCAAATTATAAATGGCGCATTTTGTTGCATGAAAGCAACTTGAAAATGTGAGGCAATCATTTGCCTAGAAGCAAGTAAATGATATTAAAAATTCCACAGACAATCTCTGTCAACACAGGAAGGGACACCTATGTTTCAACTCGTAGTGCCCCACGGTCCAGACGTTCCATCTCAACCTGTCCTCATGCATGGGCCTGGCGTGTGAAGGCTGTGCAACACCGAGGGCCACCTTGACAAATATTTATTTAGACTTTTCATTTTCAATAACTTACAAAAGTTTGGGGCCAAAAAAAATCAAAAAACACATCTTTGTAAGAAATTTACACTTGACTGGGCACGGTGGCTCACGCCTGCAATACCAGCACTTTGGGAGGCCAAGGTAGATGGATCACCTGAGGTCAGGAGTTTCAGACCAGCCTGGCCAACGTGGTGAAACCCTGTCTCTACTAAAAATACAAAAATTGGCCAGGCGCAGTGGCTCACGCCTGTAATCCCAGCACTTTGGGAGGCCGAGGTGGGCGGATCACGAGGTCAGGAAATCGAGACCATCCTGGCTAACACGGTGAAACCCCATCTCTACTAAAAATACAAAAAAAAAAAAAAAAAAAAAAATTAGCCGGGCGTGGTGGCGGGCGCCTGCCTGTAGTCCCAGCTATGCAGGAGGCTGAGGCAGGAGAATGGCGTGAACACGGGAGGCGGAGCTTGCAGTGAGCCGAGATCGCGCCACTGCACTCCAGCCTAGGCCACGGAGCGAGACTCCGTCTCACAAAAGAAAAAAAAGAAAAAAAAATACAAAAATTAGCAGCCGGCTTGGTGGCTCACGTCTGTAATCCTAGCACTTTGGGAGGCTGAGGTTGGGGGATCATGAGGTCACGAGATTGAGACCATTCTGGCCAACACGGTGAAACCTGGTCTCTACTAAAAATATAAAAATTTGCCAGGCGTGGTGGCCCGTGCCTGTAGTCCCAGCTACTCAGGAGGCTGAGAGGCAGGAGAATCGCTTGAACCTGGGGGGCAGAGGCTACAGTGGGCTGAGACTGCGCCATTGCACTCCAGTCTGGGTGACAAGAGCAAAACTCTGTCTCAAAAAAAAAAAAAAAAGAAATTTACACTGTAGAAGACTTCTAATAATATACTGGGTGCTAAAATGCCTACTTCTCAAGAGGTTTCACTTCACTGGCATTATTACTGACACTACAATAAAGGTGAAATAGTGTATTTTCTTTGCACAAATACTCAAGTGGAAGGAGAAAGAAAGGGAGGAAGAGTCAAAGGGAAGGGCAAAGGGCAAGAGAGAGAGAAGACTGGGGAGCGCAAGGTTGAGGAGAGAGCAAAACCACCGAGGCAGTGTCTGGAACTCAGCCTGTCACTCCAGTGGCAATGGAAGGACTCTGGCCGAAGGGCCCAAGCACGCTGATAACCCTTTGGGACAATGTATAAATGATTCGAAGGGTTTCCCAGGCCACTGTCAAGGATGTGGCGACAGCACCCTCGAGATTCTAGGGGAAGCAACTGAAGAATTAGAGGCCACACAAAAACATGGACTACAGAAGAGTGAAGGAATGGATGAAATCGTCCAAAAGTTCATGTACCCAAATTTATGGAGGATTTAGAGGGTTTTTGTGGTTTTAATTTCTACTATAGATGTTTTCACCTCACAGGCTCATTTTAGAACCTAACCACATATTAAATAAAATTGCACAGGACGAATGGAATGCAAGTGTATTGTAGGAGGTTAAAGATGACGTTAACTTTTTCTGTGTCCTACAATAAAAATTTCTATAAGTCACAGTGAAAATGTGCATAAGGACTGAGATCTCTAAAAAATGATTTGTTTAAAACAATTTATATGTTCAACTAATTGTCGGAAAACAGATACTCTGCCATTGCTAGATTCCATGATTTCCTCTAACTAAGAATGTGTTGGGGTTTTTTAAAATTTTTGTGGTTTTTTTTAAACAGAATGCAATGATAGCCTACAGACACCAGAAGGTAGTATCCTAAAACCTAGCAGGTATGAGGATCCAACTATTCTAGGGAGTAGAAGGTCATGAAGTCAAACTAATGCTTATTTGTTACAATGAATGGTAAGTCAACTCTATAATGACATGTTCTTACAGTAATACTTATCATTACACATCAAAATGGACATTTTAAAGAATTTGTACTTTTACATATTGTTTATGCTTACATCAAATAAATTAAAAGCTATAGTTTTTTTTCAGAGACACAATTCAAATTGGACAAGGAAAACATACCTAATTACTCTTTTTAAAAAAAAATCATTGTTTTTTTGTAGAGATGGGTCTTGATATGTTGCCCAGGCTTGTCCTGAACTTCTGGGCTCAAGTGATCCTCCAGTCTTGGGCTCCCAAGGTGCTGGGATTACAGGCGTGAACCACTGTACCTGGCCTAATTACTCTTAACAATAAGATCTCTATGGTAATAACATGCTATCTGAATGATCAAAGCAAAAATTATTATTCACTTACTTGACTGCAACTATTATCCCAAAGGTAATCATATTATTATGAACACTGGCTTTTTGTAACACGCTGAAAGGTACTTTAACGTCTCATTGTTTTGGTATAAAATATTACTTCTATTTTATTCCTCATTTACAGATGTGTTAGGGTCTAATATCGTCCCCAGTATACAAGGAAAAAGAGAGTGAACAGGAAATATGAAGAAAACAAACTGAAATGGTATCCCATGCCAAGAACAGATATGACCAACATCTACATCCAATGTTAGTAAACCACCAGGGCTTACAAACACTAGAAACATTTATCAGCAATTTAAAGAATGTACGTCATCTTGTAACAGCTTCCTGCTTTACAGGATCTTCCACTGCTATCTAAAAGTTCTTCTAATATAGAAACTTTTTATCAGCTCAGGAAAGAAGTTTTATATCACCTACCTATTTAACTATTTATTTGCAAAATCTCTAAAAGTCACTTTCACGAAATACAGAAGTGAAACTCCCTCCACTCTGGTGAGGAATTAACTTACTGCATCTTTTTCAGGGTTGCAGACTTTCACCCAGAGAATATGGTCCAGGAGCCAATCAATGGGTTTCTCCTTGTAAAACATGAATATGAATTCTACAATCAGAGTAAGATCCGGCGCTTGAAACATTTTACCTGAAAAGATATTCCCAGTCAATAGCTGCAATGAAGAAACCAAGCACCAAAATGGCTTACATTCATGAAATCTTGCCCACGACATACACTGAGGCTTGCGCTTTCAACTATAAATCATCATAAACAATTTCCCCACTTGTATTATCAAAATTAAACAAAGTTGCTTCGGCTAAACTTTCTCTTGAGCTGTCACCTGGGTGTAAACAGATATAGTAAATTCCCGATGTTACTATAATAATCTATCGTATACCTACTGGCCCAAAGCATTCAAAAAGCAAGTCAGAGATTTTCCCTTCGTGTCTTACTAAGATTCTTCCCATTTAACATTGAGAGGTTTAGGTAAAAAATTTTATCTGAATCAATAAATGCAAAAAATAAGGACTCCTAATTTTGTTTTCACTAAAGCATTTGCAAGTAAAGATGGTTTTTGACTTTTAAGTTTTGAGTTAAATGATCAAGATTGTCAAAGGTCCAGCCTCTAAATGCTTAAAGTGTTAAAAAGTACCATAGGAGATGAAATGTTAACCTCTCAATATTATTTGAACCCTGTAAATTTCCTTCAATTCTTCAACTTTAAACATACTCTTTTTTTTTTTTTAGATTGAGTCTCACTCTCGTCCCCAAGGCTGGAATGCAGGGGCGCGATCTCAGCTCACTACAACCTCCACCTCCCCCGTTCAAGCAATTATCTTGCCTCAGCCTCCCGGGGAGCTAGGATTACAGGCGTCTGCCACCATGCCAGGCTAATTTTTGTATTTTTAGTAGAGACAGGGTTTCACCATGTTGGCCAGACTGGTCTTGAACTTCTGAGCTCAGGTGATCCACCCGCCTCGGCCTCCCAAAGTGCTGGGATTACAGGCGTGAGCCACTGCGCCTGGCTAACTTTAAACATATTCTTAAGCTGGCTAATTTTGAAACATCAGCCAAAAACCATTTAGAAATGAGTGCCCCAACTAGTTAAGAGAAAAACGAATAAAAATTAATCACTGAATTAGGACTTCATGCATTGCATGAAAATACTAGGAATTTATATGAGAAAACTCTTTGTGGTATTGTTTTTAAAAGAACTGCAATCTTATGTTAACAAAGGAGCTGGAAATGCCAGAGAAGAAAAAATCAAACATGCTCACCAGCACCACGGTTGGCATTGTGAAGAACGCTACAGTAAATACAATAATCTTAGAAGTCTCCAAATTCTATTCTGGGTTGACTTTCATCATGTCATACAAAGAGGTTTACCTAACTTAAGTTTTCTCTAAAACAACCCATTTCCATAGGAAAAAAAGACATCTTTAGGACAAGTAGCTACTTGGTTTTAGATTCTGAGAGTCACAGTTATTTATGAAAAGTAGGTAAGTGTGACACTTTTCTTACCAATGAAGCCCAGCTGGGAAAACTCTAGAATCATCCATTCCTCAGAAGAAAGTTGAAGTGCAAAATTTTTTATGGTATTAAAATAATTTTGTTTGACAATAATATCATCTTCAAGCTAGAGAAAATTGAACAATCATATTAATACATCAAAAAAAGAAAGGTATTGAGAGAAGGATATTATTATGGAAAAATACAAGCATACCTTTATCATGAAAATGAAGAAGACAATGGTAAAAACAATAAAAATATAAAGCTAGATATTATTAAAAGAAAGTGAAGAAAACAAAATGGAAGAAATACATCGTAAGTCAACTAAGCCACTCCTTTCTATGGGAAATAACAATGAGGAAAATGAGGACATCCTTTCCAAGTAAGACAGCTGGAATGATGCTGACATGTGAGTGGATGGGGCAGAGAGAGCACAAGATAAAGGTCTTATCACAGCAGAAGTTATGGGGAGGGAGGGGGAAAAAGAGAAGGAGGATATCAGGATACATTCTATGGGGTAGAAAGCACAAAGAAAGTTTAAACTGAATTTAGTAGTCTTACTGTTAGTAGTGATAATGGTATTGATATTGTGAAGCTATTTTACGTATATTACAGAATAAAAAATTATATTATTAGGATATTATTGAAAACCAAGGCTTTCAATATAAAAGAAAATAAATACACGTAAAAATTTGAAAAGCTAAGTAAAAGTCCTATAATTTTATTATAACCCTAAAATCTTACATCTTAATCCAGTTTGAATTGGAACTATCAATACAAACGTGTGATTTTTTTTTCCTCTGTAAAATAAAATACACTTTTTCTTGCTGAAAGTCCTAGAAGCAAAAACAAGACAATAGCAATGAGCACCTTTAAGCGCCCAGATTGTGCTTCTATATACCACACACCCTGAAGAGGAATAGCACTCCTCAATGATCGATTCCAGATCTGGGATAGGAAATGCGCAAGATGTGCCAATCATCAAAGAAACAATCACAATTACTGAGGCCAGGCACAGTGGCTCACGCCTGTAATCCCAGCACTTCGGGGGGCCCAAGCAGGTAGATGGCTTGAGTTGCCCAGGAGTTCAAGATGAGCCTAGGCAACAGAGCAAGACCTCATCTCTACAAAAAATTAAAAAATTAGCCAGGCATGGGGGTGGGTACCTGTAATACTAGCTACTTGGAAGGCTAAGGCAGGAGGATCACTTGAGCCCCCAAAAAGATTGCTGGACTTATATAGAAAGGATACAAAAGCCAATTTGAAGGGGTTCCCACTGGATTATGATGTACCAATGAAAGCATCAATAAGAATAATGATTGCAATGGACTGTGGCAAATCAAATGTATTTTAAATATCCATCACTTCATAACGATACATTGTTTTTAAGGGGATGCATGTGCAGGTCTGTTACATGGATAGATTGCATAATGCTGGGGTTTGGGCTTCTATTGAGCCCACCATCCAAATGGTGAACATAGTACCCAATAGGTAACATAATGATACTTTAAAAACAGCCACAACTGTAGATTGCTAAGGCACCAACTTTAAAAATTAGTAAGAGCATGAAATCAAGCATTTACTCCAGCCTTTCTTTAAGAACTGTTTTTCAAGGTAATCTAATAAAGGAAGAAAAATTCTTTATAGAAGAACTCAACATAGCATTTAGAACTAAGCTAAGAGCATTAGCAATTACAGAATTAGGAAAGCACCACTTGGAAACCGCTAATGAAATAAGTGATCTAGGGAAAAATAATCAATGGATGCTGAAACCTTAAGTGGAACAGCTGCTGGAGAGCTAAATTTATAATGCAGCAATGAGGCAGGCATATGGAACCCACTGATTACTCTCAGCCTCGCTGGAGGTGGGACTGCCTGATGTAATGTGCTCTTTTTTTATTTTTATTTTTTATTTTTGAGATGGAGTTTCCCTCTGTCGCCCACACTGGAGTGCAGTGGTACAATCTCGGCTCACTGTAACCTCTGCCTCTTGGGTTCAAGTGATTCTCCTGCCTCAGCCTCCCCAAGTAGCTGAGACTACAGGCACACGCCACCACGCCTAGCTAATTTTTTTTGTATTTTTAGTAGAGATGAGGTTTCACCATGTTGGCCAGGCTGGTCTCGAACCCTTGACCTCAGGTGATCCACCCGCCTCGGCCTCTCAAAGTGTTGGGATTACAGGCGTGAGCCACTGCGCCCGGCCCATAACGCGCTTTCTTATGCGCTACCGTAAGACTTACTCAAGCACCACCTGTGAAGTGCCTGCATCATCTATCAGTTTTCCAGAAGGCACCGTGTTCAACTCAGAGTTTTTTGCAATAAAGCACTTTATGAAACCGTATGATGCTGTCAGTGGAAACTCCATTCCAAGCCACAGCATCTCCCTTTCCCCTGAGGGGTATGTCTATGACAATCACAAAGTAACCCCTGACTCTACTGCCTTTTGGAAAGCATTCTTTAAGAGTCATGGATGTGATACATTCCCAAACCATGCAAACCTGGAGTCATATCCCAAGGGGATAATTATGACGTCTGGAATAAATTCCTTTGCCACATCACCTCTCATCTTAGTCTTCAACAAAATGTCACAGGTAAAATCTAACCTGTATGAACATTTAAAACTACCATTAACTGAGAACTTTTTAGGCTAATATGTTTTTCCCACTAATACTCTGTAGATGACAATGAACTCACTGAGAGAATTCCACATAATAAGCGTATGTGAAGACTTGAATATAAAGCAACTCCCTCTTTCCTGAGGCATAATTTTTGGGCAAATGTGATTATTTTAAGAATGTTCAGGCTGGGTGTGGTGGCTCACACCTGTAATCCCAGCACTTTGTGAGGCTGAGACAGGTGGATCACTTGAGGTCAGGAGTTTGAAACCAGCCTGGCCAACATGGTGAAACCCTGTCTCCACTAAAAATACAAAAAATTAGCCAGGCCTGGTGCCAAGTGCCTGTAATCCCACCTACTTGGGAGGCTGAGGCAGGAGAATCACTTGAACCCGGGAGGCAGAGGGTGCAGTGAGCTGAGATCACACCATTGCAGTCCAGCCTGGGCTAGAGGGAGACTATGTCTCGAACAAACAAACAAAAACAGCCTGGGCAACAAAGTGAGACCCTGTTTTTACAAAAAGTAAAAAAAAAAAAAATTAGCCAGGCATGGTGGTGCATGTCTGTGGCCCCAGCCGCACAGGAGGCTGAGGTGGGAGGATCATATGACCCAGGTCAAGGATGCAGCGAGCTGTGAACTGTGTTTGCACCACTGCACTCCAGCCTTGGCAAGAGAGGAAGACCCTGTCTCCAAAAAAAAAAAAAAAGCTCACTGACACCAGTGGACCAGTGGCTCAAACCTGTAACACCTGCTCTTTGAAAGGCAGAGGCAGCAGGATCATTTGAGGCCGGGAGTTCAAGACCAGCCTGGGCAACTTAGCAATACTCCCATCTCTACCAAAAAGAAATACAAAAATTAACCCAGTATGGTGGTGCATGCCTTAGTCCCAGCTTCCTGGGAGGCTAAAACAGGAGGATCACTTGAGCCCAGGTGTTTGAGGCTGCCATGAGCTATGACTGTGCCACTGCGCTCCAGCCTGTGTGACAGTCAGACTCTGTCTCTGAAAAACAAAAGAATGTTCATTGAATTTGACTTCGAAAGAACTGAACAATTAGAAACAATCTAAATGACCAACAAGAAGGTTGATTATGATATCTGAATAACAGGACTTCAAGAAGGGATTAAAAATCACACCAATCTGTATTTACTGGCATAGCAAGGTACCTATCAACAGTATGTTAAGTGACAGCAAAAAAGGTTATCAGACAGTACATACAGCATGATCCTCTACTGTAAAAGAGGGCTGTGTGAGAGTGACATCAGCGAGACAGAAACAGGAAACCCAGACACACAAGACACATTCCCCACACGAGACACAGATTTAAAATCTGAGCATTCCACAGCCAGAGGCCCTCTCTTGGGCACAGACCACAGTGAGGAAACACTCAATTCCCGACTTCTCCCTAAGGAGAGAAAGAAGTTGGTGTATACCCAGTGTTTTTGACTTTTTCGAGTGCAGCCAGAGGGAATGATTTCTGTCTCATCTAAATCATAGTGTCAGGAACAGGGCACCAGGTTGGGAGCTAAGAACAAAGGCCATCAGTTGGCACCAGAGGCTGCAGTACCAGAGACAGAAACTAGGTGGAGCTCCAGTACTGCAGCTTACTACAATACCAACAAGGCCACAGTGCTGCAGAGCTCCTGACTAGAAACCAGTCAACTTCAATTAGGAGATTACACCCACAAGCAGAGAGGACATGGCCCCAGAAAAGGCTCAAAGGGCTCCAGAGTCTTTAACTAGGCTGACTGAAGAAAATCCTTCCACTACAAAACCAAACTGCAAAGACTGGGAGAGGTGGCTGATTTTTCAAATGCCAAGATCCCAACAACAAAAAACAAGATATACAAATAAACAAAAATATGGTATATCCAAAGGAACAAGTTAAAACTCCAGAAACCAACCCCAAAGAAATGAAGACATATGAACTGCCCAGTAATTCAAAATAACTGTCATAAGATTGCTCAGTAAATTAAAAGAGAGCAGAGACAGACAACTAAATGAAATTTGGAATATGATGCATGAACAAAATGAGAATATCAATAGAGATAGAAACTATAAAGAGCCAAACAGAAATTCTAAAACTGAAGAATACAAAACCTGAATTGAAAATTTCACTAGAAGGACTAAACAGCAGACCTGAGCAGGCAGAAGAATCAGTGAACTTAAAGATAGGACTTTTGAAATTACTGAGGCACAGGAGCAAAAAGAAAAAAGAATAACAGAAAAATAGCGATACCCTAAGGGACCTATGGACAGCACAAAGTGAAACAACATACACATTATGAGAGTTCTACAAGGAGAAGAGAGCCTATTTGAACTTCCCAAATATGAGGATAGAAATGGACATACAAATTCAAAAAGTTCAAAGAACCCCAACTACAATAAATTGATCTACACCAAGAAGAATCATAATGAAGTTGTCAAAAGTCACAAAGAATCCTGAAAGCCATAAGAGGAAAGTGACCCAACAAATACAAGATAACGTCTATTAGATTATCAGCAGATTTCCCAGAAGAAACTTTATTATAGGCTAGAAGAGGGTGGAATGATATGTTCAAAGTGCTAAAACATACTAAACAAAAACTGGCCAGCCAAGAATATTATATCTGACAAAATTGTAATTCAAAAGTAAAGAAGGCCAGGCGCGGTGGCTCACACCTGTAATCCCAGCACTTTGGGAGACCGAGGCAGGTGGATCACCTGAGGTCAGGAGTTCGCGACCAGCCTGAACAACGCGGTGAAACCCCATCTCTACTAAAAATACAAAAATTAGCTGGGTGTGGTGGTGGGCACCTGTAACCCTAGCTACTCGGGAAGCTGAGGCAGAATGGCGTGAACCCGGAAGGTGGAGCTTACAGTGAGCCGAGATCGCGCCACTGCACTTCAGCCTGGGCGACAGAGCAAGACTCCATCTCAAAAAAAAGGAAAAGAAAAAAAGAATGTTCAGGCTGGGCGCAGCAAGGTGGAGGTTGCAGTGAGCTGGGATTGTGCCACTGCACTCCAGCCTGGGGAACAGAGCAAGACTCCATCTCAAAAAAAAAAGAAAGAAAGAAAGAAAGAAATTAAGACTTTCCCAGATAAACAAAAGCTGAGTGAGTTCATCACCACTAGACCTGCCCTACTGCTGAAGGAACATTTTCAAGTTGAAGTGAAAGGTCAATAAGCAGTAATAAAGCACCATATAAAAATATAAAACTCCCTGGTAAAGGTAAATATACAGATAAATATAGACGTAGTAAGGTAATGCAGGTGCATGAATCACTTTAAAATCTGGTACCCCTTTCAAATCTTTTGATCACATTAAAATCACTTCTTAAAGACTAAAAGCACAAACAATAATTATAAATCTGAGTTAATGTATATGCAATATAAAAAGCGGTCACTGGTGTCATTGGTAAAATAGAGTGCAGGGGAGACAGAGATGTAAAAGAGTAGAGATTTTATTTGTCATTGAAGTAATAAATAGACTGTTATAACTTTAAGATATGTAATTGCAATGGTAACTACAAAATGAGTATCTATTGAATATACACAAAAGGAAATAGAAAGGGAATCAAAATACGTCACTATTTTAAAAAATCAACGAAACACAAAAGAAAGCAGCAAGAGAGGAAAAGATAGACAAAAAGTTCCAAGACATACAAAAAAATAAAGTAAATGGCAATAGTAAGTCTTTCTGTATTAGTAATCACTAAAAATGTAAATGGGTCAAACATCCCAATTAAAAGACACAGTTAGGCCAAATGGAAATTTTTAATGAGATCTATTAATATACTATCTACAAGAAACTTACTTTACATCAAAAGACACACATAGGTTAAAAGTGAAAGAATGAAAAAAGATAATTCATGAAATCCAGAACTGAAAGAAAACAAGGATGGCCATACTTAGACAAAATAAGACTTTAAGACAAAAACTGTCACAAGAGACAAAGAAGGACATTGTACAATAATAAAAGGGTCAGTCAAATCTCTGAAAAGACATAACAATTCTAAATAAAGATGCACCTAATAATAGAGGTCTCAGATATATGAAGTCAACACTGACAGAATTGAAAGAAGAAACAAACACCACCACAATAATACTAGGGGGTTTCAATATTCTACTTCAGTTATGGATAGATCAGACAGAAGATCAATAAGGAAACATCGGACTTAAACAACACTATAATCAAACGGACCCGACAGACATAAAGAACACTGATCCCAACAACAGCAGAATACACATTCTTCTCAAGAGCATATGGAACATTCTCCAAGACAGACCACATGTTAGGCCCCATAATATCTCAACAATTTTTTTTTTTTTTTTTTTTTGAGACAGAGTCTCACTGTGTCGCCCAGGCTGGAGTGCAGTGGCGCTATCTCGGCTCACTGCAAGCTCCACCTCCCGGGTTCACGCCATTCTCCTGCCTCAGCCTCCCTAGTAGCTGGGACTACTAGGCGCCCGCCACCACGCCCGGCTAATTTTTTGTATTTTTAGTAGAGACGGAGTTTCACCGTGTTAGCCAGGATGGTCTCGATCTCCTGACCTTGTGATCTGCCCACCTCAGCCTCCCAAAGTGCTGGGATTACAGGCGTGGGCCACCGTGCCCAGCCAACAATTTTTTTTAAGACAGGTTTTCACTCTGTCACCCAGGCTGGAGAGCACAAGGCTCACTGTAGCCTCAATCTCCTGGGCTCAACTGATACTCCCACCTCAGACTCCCGAGTAGGTGGGACTACTGGTATGCACCACCATGCCCAGTGAATTTTTTGTATTTTTATTAGAGACAGGATTTCGTCATGTTGCCCAGACTGGTCTTGAACTCTTGAACTCCTGAACTCAAGTGACCTGCCCACCTCAGCCTCCCAAAGTGTTGGGATTACAGGTGTGAGCCAGTGCCGCCCACCAACAAATTTAAGAAGACTAAAACTATGCAATGTATCTTCTCTGACTACAACAAAATGAAACTAGAAGTCAATAGCAGAAAAGTAAACCCAGAAAATACACAAATGTGTGGAAATTAAACAACTCGCCCCTAAACAACCAATGGGTCAAAGAAGAAATCACAAGGGATTTAGAAAAAAATCCAGAAACAAACGAAAACAAAAAAAAAAATATACCAAAATGTATGATATATAGCAAAAGCCATACAAAGAGGGAAGTTTATACCAGTAAACATTTACATTAAAAAAAAGAAGAAAGATCTCAAAATCAGCAACCTAACTTCAACCTCAAGGAAATTGAAAAAAAGAAACAAACTAAACCCAAAATTAGCAGAAGGGAGAAAAAAAAATAAAGATTAGATCAGATAAATAAATAGAAAAAAATAAATAAATAGAAAAAAAAAAGCAGAAAAAAACCCAAAGAAACCTAGAGTTGGTTTTTGAAAAGATCAATAAAATTAATAAACCCTTAGCTAGATTAGCTAAGAAAAAAAGAAGATTCAAATAACTAAAAGTAGAAATGAAAGAGGGAACATAACAACTGATATCACAGAAATAGAAGAATTACAAGAGACTACTAGGAACAATTATGTGCCAACAAATTGGATAATCTACAAGAAATGGATAAACCTCTAAAAACAATTTTCCATGGGTGAATCATGGAGAAATAAAAACTTTGAACACACTTATAATAACTAAGGGGATTAAAGCAGTAATCAAAAACCTCTCAGCAAAGAAAAACCCAGGACCAGAGAACTTCACTGGAAAATTCTGCTGAACACTTAAAGAATTAACATCAATCTTCCTCAAACAGCTATCTTCCAAAGAACTGAAACAGAGGGAACACTTTTCAAACACATTCTAGGAGGCCTGCATTTCTCTGACACCAAAGCCAGACAAAGACACAAGAAAACTACAGACCAATATCCCTGATGCAAAAATCCTCAACAGAACACTAGCAAATGGAATTAAAATGCACATTAAAAGAATTATATACACCATAACCAAGTGGGATTTATACCTGCAATACAGGGATCGTTCAACACACAAAAATCAATCAGTGTAACATATACTACATTAACAAAATGGAGGAAAAAAACACATGATCATCTCAATTGGTATGGAAAAGCATTTGACAACATTCAAGACACTTTCTTGATTAAAAAAAATGTGACGAACTAGAAATAGAAAAAAACTTATTCAACAAAATAAAGGTAATATATGAAAAGCCCATCGGTAATATCACACTTGGCAGCAAACAAATGAAAGCTTTCCCTCTAAGATTAGAAGCAGGGCAAGGAGTCCCACTTTCACCACTACTAGTCAACATAGTGCTGGAAATCCTAACTAGAGCAATTAAACAAGTAAAAAAAGTAAAAGGTACCCAAACCGGAAAAGAAGAAGTAAAATTATCATTATTTGCAGATGAAATAATCTTATATGTAGAAAAACCTAAAGAATCCACCAAAAACTACAAGCAATAAATGATTTCAGCAAAGTTTCAGGATACAAAATCAACACACAAAAATAGTTGTATTTTTGTATACTAACAATGACCAATCCAAAAAAAAAATCAAGAAAACAATGCCATTTACTGTAGTATCAAAAAAGATAAAATACTTAGGAATAAACCTAACTGGGGAGGTGGAAAATTTTTCTACAAAACATTTCTAAAAGAAATCAAAGAAGATACAAATAAATGGAAAGACATCTTGTGCTCATGTATTGGAAGACTTAATAATATTAAAATGTCCACACTACCTAAAGCGATCTACAGATTCAATACAATCCCTACCAAAATTCCCAAGGCATTTTTTACAGAAATAGAAAAAAATCCTCCTCAAATTTACATGGAGTCTGAAGTGACCCTAAACAGCCAAAATAGTCTTAAAAAAAAGGGAACACAGTTGGAGGCCTCATACTTCCTAATTTTAAAACATGCTACATGTCAGGTGCAGCAGCTCGTGTCTGTAATCCCATGACATATTGTGTTCTTGGTAAAAATTGGACTGTTGTGCTGCTAAAAATAATTGGACTGTTAGAATTAAATGTCAATTTTATTATCTTCAAAATAGTGGTAACAGTATTGTGGCCTACAAAAAAAAATTAGTTCATTGTAAGACCACTAAAGAAAAATTGTAAGAAAATTCCTCTTTAAAATCTGCCAAATAATGACATCTTAGTTCTTCTTGACAGTGGAGAGAGGGAAGAGGGAAGAGAAGATGGGGGAATGGGAGAAAAAGAGGAAAAAGATAAGTGAGTTGCAGGTCCCCCGCTAAGTGGAGGGCTGGCTTCCCTACTCAGTGGAGAAACATCAGAGCCCACATGCTCAGTTACCATGGAGACCCCTCTGCTCTGAGATAGTTATGATTTGTCAGATCTCAGAGGGTTTGCACTTTCAAAACTTCCTGTTTTAATGAAAACATACCCTTGATAACACTTTTTCTTTACAAGCATGAAAAACAAAGGAAAAACTACACTTACCTGAATGTAATATATGCCCTTTTCTTGAGCATACATCATTAGAAAACAGTAATCTAGGTTTTGCTTTGTTCTCCATCTGAAATAAACATTTTCAAAAAGTAAGTTAGGAATCAGACTCAAATTTAGTAAAATAAGATTAAATGTATAAATGTCAAATGTCTACATAACATGTCATCTATGTATATGTGTACACACACACACATACACACACACTCACTTAGGACGAAGAGTCAAAGAAAATTCACTTTCCTCTAATGAAGACTTTATCAAAATGTATTCCCAAGAACACTAATTCTCAAGCTGTCCTGAGGAAAAAAATGAGTCTAATATCAAGTAAGTATGTATACATGTTCCCCTTCTAGAAACATATTAATTCATAAGAGGCACAAAAATATCCAACGGTAAAGACATTTATTGGGAAAAAAATTCTTAATACATATTTTTCCAAACTTCCTTGACCACAGACCCTTTTTTCAGTAATATCTTAATGTTTCATCAAATGAGTGCTTCAAAAATTACAATTTTAGGGTCCCTATTCTGGTGCCTAGGACTGTTTGCACGCAGATCAAAGTTCACAAATAGGTACTGAATGCTTTAAAAAATTCATATTTAAATTTACAGTATTAAACCCTGTCAGTGAATTCCTGGTAGCCTACAGAAACACATAAGAGAAGTGGATCTAAAAGCTAGTTTAAGAAAACACAGTAAAATAAAAGCTAATATTAAGTTTTTACATATTCTAAGAAAACTCTACATTATTTCCAAGCGGTCCTGGACTTAATGAGACTTACCTAGAATATTTTACCAAATTCAACTCTAAAATGTTTTCAGCTTCGATAAATAAAAACTACATGTATTAAATATTTACACTCACAAGTGTGGAGGATTTTAAACGGCACATGCTCACCTTACTCTTTCTTTGGAGTCTCCAAATGTCTCCTTTAGGTTTGTCAAGTCAGGATAATAGCTTTCAGGGGGTGATATGACTTCCACCAAGCCAGAACTGATTTCTTTAGAAAATCTATTATGAGAAAGTTAGCTGAGTTACTTAAGTTCTGTGGGATTTTATTTATCTTAAAGCTCAATACACTGTGTTTAACATAAAACACATCAGTAATCATTTGTAGCAACGTATAATGTTATGGCCGCAAGGTGTTAAAAGGAGCAGCTCATCACTGATTTCATTTACAGAAAATACAGTTTTTTCCAATAGCAAAAGTTTTTTTTTAAAGTAATGCTTTAAAAACTATAAAATACTGCTCTTATTAAAGTAGCATAGAAATCCTAAGCCAACTGCAGGCATTAACGTTCCTAAAATGTATCTGAATTAAAAAAAAAAAATCAAGGTCTCACAGAAAATAGAAAATTGAAGAAAAACAAATAAGTATGTATGTGTCTTTAAATACGTATATTTTGCAAAAACCAAAGCTCTTACATCTTCAAGAAGCTTTGCTTGTGGGTTATAGACCACATGTCATTCTCAACCAGTGTTTCTCAACTGGGGGTGATTCTGTCCCTCTGGAAGACATTTAGCAATGTCTGAAGACGTTCTGGTTGCCACAACTGTGATCAGTACTACTGACGCCTAGTGGGTAGACATTAGGGATCCTGCCCCACATTCTACAATGCATACGGCAGCCCCCACAACAAAAAATTATCTGGCCCAAAATGTCCATTGGGCTGAGGTTAAGAACCCTTTCTAAAGTTTTTAATTAGTCTGTACTGACTGAATTGCAATTTCTTTTGCATTTGCATTCTCCCTTGATTCATTTTTGCAAATCTCCACAAAATGCTAGTGCAACTGCCTGCCTTTGCACAAATGTTCTTAATGTTTAACTGTACTTTTTGTCTGAGCTTGGTTTTCTACACACTAAGGAAGATGTAAATCACCAGAATCCTTGCATAAGCCCACAGACTTGCCCCTGAGGTCAGTGGGAAAGGGGACCAATCATTACTGCCCTGTTCCTTAAGAAGTCTATGCCAAATTTTGTTTCTATAAGGACTTCCAAGAAACTCAGCACTTCAGGAAAACCAAACAAATAACAATTTAATCCTGAACTATAATGTTTTTAAATATTCAATTTTAACATTTTGATAGACAAGGAGCCACATTATTTTAAATGTAGGGTTAGCAAATAATTGTTGCTTCTTTTTTGTCTTTTCTTTTTAAGTAGAAGGTATATCTTTTAGGGACAAAAAACAGATACAATTTAATGAAGAAATTCATAGCAAGACTAATTTTATTACGCTATTGAAACTATTAAGGCAATATTATAAAAAATAATATCTGAAACTTACTAAGCTTTCCCTCTGTTACCTACCATGTGCCTCGCTCATAGTAAACTGCTACTCAATCTTTGCAGAATACAACAGATTAAGACATAGCTTAAAATTGAGGTCTGAAATTACTACGTTAAATATCTACCCTGAGAGCAGGAAGATTTTGCCTGGTAAATACAGTGTGAAAGATTTAATCTCATATGACTCTCTCTGTATTCACTGTCTTCAAGATTAAAGACTGTTATTTAATAGTGTTACATACATAGGACATTCAAGTCTTTTCTATAATGAAATAAACCAATTTATCCCATCACATAACTAGATATATATGCACCTACTTTGGGACAATATCAAATACCAATCAGAGGTGATCTAATAAACAATGAACTCCACAGAGAAATGAACTATCAAGGAAGGCATTTTCTTTTAGCAAGAAACCCAAGAGATAATAGTAACCAAAATATTTGTATGTTTATAATTAAGAAGAACTTACTCTTTCTCCAGGTTGGCTACAACACCATGTACATAATCAATATCTGTCTGGGAAAGAAAAAAAATGTATCTATATTCAAGTTTTTATATTTTTATTTAACTGTTAATACTGAACTCGAAATTAAATGAATGATAAAAACATTCATTAAAACCATACATTAAATTTTTAGACAATTTATTAAATTTGCATTTCTGTATTGTTCTATTGTACTACTGAATGTCACTGAGCACTTGCTAATAAGCAGATATTGAAGTTTTTATTATTTTAATTGTCTGTGTTGCATTCACTAGGAAAACTGAACACAAAAACTACTTCTATCAAAACATCCAAACTATTGTGAATAGCATTAGTGACAGATGCTGCACGATATGAAGAAAGATTTTTCTACTTGGAATCATAAAACCTAGGTTCAAGGTTTGCCTCTGTAGCTACTGAACTGCATACTCTAAAGTCATTTCTCTGAGTTTCAACCTATTCTATGAAAAAAAGGAAATACCTTACAGATTATGAGATTAAATGATAAAACTATGTAATAAAAAACTGCTATTATTACACCATATTAATATTACACTGACACTGAGAACTGAATCAAGAGCACTTCAATCAGTTAGAAATAAACATTTATCAGATCTGCATATTTTTAAATTATGAACAAGTCAAAATTCTAATACTTCTTATTAATTTTTCTTTATTTTCTTTATTGATTTAATGAATCACATATTCACATTTCACAAACATTTACTGAATGCCTACTCTAGGCCAGGCTGCACTGCAGTGAACAAGTCTAAGCATGGCAGGCATGTTTTAAACAGACATTTTCAACCAAGTTCAGATCTAACCCAGCATGGAGGGTAGAAGCATCAGAAGAGGATGCCTGGAAGAGGTGACGTTCAACAGTAAGAATTGGCTTGTTCCAGGGCTCTGGCTCCCAGGGGTCTAACAGAGATAAACATCATTAGCTTTTCTCCTCTAAGAGGTAAACGGAGTCTGTCTCTGATGCTATGTCAAAGACCGTGAAATTGGGTCAAAGTGAAACCACTTTCTAGGCTAGCTGTAAGGACTGACAAACAGGGTGGAGCACAGGTGATGGGCAAATGTAAATAATTATGAGCATTATTTCTCCGGTGTGTGTGTCCAGACATCATCCTCCTCCTAACTCCAGATCCTTGCCCCTTCAAGGACCCCAGGAAGCCCAAGGGACAACCAGGCCAGGGACATGGCAGGCTGGGTTACAGGGCCATAGCCACATTTTTGAGCCAGCCAGAGCCCTATTGATATGGTTTGGCGTGTCCCCACCCAAGTCTCATCTCGAATTGTAGCTCCCATAATTCCCATGTGTTCTGGGAGGGACCCTGTGGAGATAACTGAATCATGGGGGCAGTTTCCCCCATACTGTTCTTGTGATAGTGAATAAGGCTTATAAGATCTCATGGTTTTATAAGGGGTTTCCCCCTTTCACTTGATTCTCATTTTCTCTCTTGTCTGTTGCCATGTAAGACATGCCTTTCGCCTTCTGCCATGATTGTGAGGCCTTTCCAGCCATGTGGAACTGTGAGTCCATTTTTCTTTATAAATTACCCAGTCTTGGGTATGTCTTTATCAGCAGCATAAAAATGGACTAATACACCTACCTATCAATTTTAAATACAGCGATAACTTATAAAAATGCTCAATTGTTAAAAGACTCAATGATATATAAAATATAATCTATGTTATAAAGACTGTCAAAGCACTTAATACTTGAGAAAAACAAACAAAAAAGGTATAGCTTAATCCTGGAAATTGCAAAACCATCAAATTATAAAAAGTTTTTATAACAGGCTTTCTGGAAAACAATATACAAACATCGGTAGCATTTCTACATACTAACAATGAACTATCTGAAAAAGAAATCAAGAGAACAATCCCATTTAAAATAGCTACCAAAAAAATACTTAGGAAAAAATTTAACCAAGGAAGTGAAAGAACTAGACACCAAAAATTATAAAATGTTGATGAAATAATTTGAAGAACACACAAATAAATAGATATCTTTGCTCATGGATTGGAAGAATTAATATCATTTAAATGTCCATATTACCCAAAGTGATCTACAGATTCAATGTAATCCCTATCAAAAAATTTAATGACATTTTTCTCAGAAATGGGAAAAAAATCCTAAAATTCATATATAACCACACACACACACACACACGCACGCGCACACACACACACACACACACACACACACACACACACACAACAAATAGCCAAGGTAATCATGAGGAAAAACAATAAAGCTGGAGGCAACACACTTTATTATTTCAAACTATACTATGAAGCTATAATAATGTAAACAGTATGGTATTGATTTTTAAAAAACAGACACACTGGCCAATGGAACAGAATATAGAGCCTAGAAATGAACTCATGTATGTATGGTCAATTGATTTTCAGCAAAGGTGCCAAGAACACTCAATGAAAAAAGTTTCTTTAGTAAATGGTGCTGAGAAAACTGGATATCCACATACAGATGAATGAAAGTGGAACTTCAACTCACGTGAAATATACAAATAAACTCAAAATGGATTGAAAACAAAAGAAGACTCTAAAACTACCAGAAGAAAACATAAGGGAAAAACTACACGACATTGGCCTGGGCAATGGTTTTTTGGATATGACCCCAAAAGCTCAGGCAACAAGAACAAAAATAGACAAATAGGATCACATCTAACTAAAACTCTTCTACATGGCAAAGGAAATAATTAACAGCATGCCTGACAACCTATGGGTTAGGAGAAAATATCTGCATGCTGCACATCTGATAAACAGTTAATATCCAAAATATATAAGGAACTCAAACAGCTCAAGAGTAAGAAAAAACACTGAAAAAATAGGCAAAGGACCTGAACAGACATTTCCCAAAAGATGACATACAAATGGCCAACAGATATACGAAAAATCCTCAACACTGCTAATCATTAGGGAAATGCAAATTAAAACCACAATCAGATATCATCACATCTGTCAGGATGGCTAACTGTCAAAAAGACAAAAGATAACAAGTATTAGGAAGAATGTGGAGAAAAGAAACGGATGGATATATACACTGTATCCATACTGGATACATACATGGATCCACTGTATCCATATTATCAAGCTCTGAGTATAGGTTGGTAAATAAAGAAGATCTCTGTTTGTAGAACTTAAAACTGGTGAGAGAAGCAGTTCATAAGCAAACAAACAAAAATATGTACACATATGTATGTGTATATATAACTGAATATTGTGTTATAAAAATAGAATGCAATAATAGAGGAAAAACAGAGATGGCCTACTTAAACATTACATTCAGAGAAAATCTCTCTGAAGACTTGACATTTAAGCCTAAATTTGATACATATTTCTATTCAAATGTACAAAACTAAACAGAAAACATTAAAAGGGCTATTTTAAGTTCATTAATTGGAGCTTTGTCCTTAATAGCATGTTGATGCTATAGCAATGGTTCTCATTTTTTATTAGAACCCATTTAGTTAAAAACATGTTCATAATTTACCCATCTCTGATCACCTCCATGAACAGTCTCCCAGTCCAAGCCTCACCTCGATTATGGCAACAGCTTTCTAAGTAGTCTCCTTTCTTTTGCCCTTACCAAAGCAGACAGCAGGATCCTTTTTAAAAAGGCAAGTCATATTATTCTTGCCAAAAATGCATAGTCAAAATATAATCATGAGAAAATATCAGATAAATCCAAACTGAGACATTTTACAAAATAACTGACCAGTGCCCATCAAAAATGTCCAAGTTCATGAAAGACACAAACATGGACAGGAGGAAGCTAAGGCATGAGAACCGCTAACTGCAATGTGGTGTTCCATAGTGCATGCTGGAACAGAAAGGCGAACCCAGGCGGAAAAACAGGAAACTCAAATAAAGTCTGTAGTTTGGTTGAGTATTATATCAGTGTTAATTTCCTGGTTTTGATAACTATAATATGGCTACATATGTTGTTAACATCAGAGCAAGCTGAGTGAAGGAGATACCCTCTATAATTTCTGCAACTTTCTGTAAATCTAAAATTATTTCAGAACAAAAAGTCTTAACATATAATTTGAAATAGTTATATTTATGTAGAGGAGTAACAGGTAATTTTTCATTATATATTTATGTAATTGTTTTGAACAGTATGCATTTGTTTACTTCTCTAATAAGGAAATCATCAAGACCATTTTCATTTAAAAAGACATGGGGAACTCTAAAAAGTTAGGAATTAGTGGGCCAGAACTAGACCATGTCCTAAATCCTTTCCCATTCTGAAATTCTATACAATAATTAAGAAAATATTTACTCTAGGGTCTTATTCCTCATGATTTAAAAAGAACTTGCTCAAGATTTATTCTTTCTCTAAATCTTTTGAGGAGACTAAAATACAAGAAGTGTGGTATTTCTCATTCACATGATTTCTTAGGAGTACAGAGAAGGGATGGAGAGAATAAAAGAATGATAAAACCCCAGCTGAGCCTAAACCTTTTTCAGGTTTCAGGACTCCCAAAGATCATCAGTGCAAATCTCCAAATTTAAGTCTTAGAGCTAGAAATAGGCACACGTTCTTAAAGATCTACGGGTGTAACATCCTATTGACAACAAATATTACTATTCCTGGTTTGTAATTGCAGGACAGAAGTGAGTTCAATTTACATTAAACTACCAGATAGAATATATTACCTAAGCTTTACTCATCACATTTTTTAAAAAGCGTTTTTAAAAGCATATTCAAATATTCAATTAGAGTTTCAACTCTTATAGGCTATATTTGGTAAAAACATAACAACAATTAAATAATTACCTCTCCTATGAAGACTACTATAACACAGTCCAACTTCTCTTCAGGATACAGGTTATCAATAAGGGAATGAAGAGTTTCTATGAGGTAAGATTTAACTTCTCTCTTCACTGTGGGAATGCCCATGACTATTGAAACTGGAAAAAAAAATAGTAATTATATTAAAAAACTGTACAAGGACAATACAGAAAAACACTTCTATTTCAAAAGTATTATACCCTCTCAAATTGATAGGAATAACTGATGGATCAAAATATATTAAGTTTCAGGAAGAAAAATAAAGAATACAAGGGCATACCTGTAATACTGTAATTCATTTTCACATGGCTTAACCATAAGAAAAAAAGAACTGATAAAAATGAAAGACATTAAACTTCACACTAAAAAATGAATGGCTGCGAAGTATAAACAGCAAACTGTATTTTACAACTAAAACTTAAAAACACTAAACATATCTTAAAAACTAATGTCTTATCTCTCGACTTCAAGCATGTGACATGCCGAGAAGAGCACAACATCAGTTCTGTGGTTGTTCTTGCCAACAATGCATAACCTCAACTTAACCGTAAAGAAACATCAGAAAAATCCAAACTGGGGCAATGCTCCACAAAATAACAGTACTCTTTAAAGTGTCAAGGTCATGAAAGACAGAGTAATGAATGGTCCCCGATTGGAAAAGACTAAGGAACCACGACAATTAAGTGAAATATGGGATCTTGATTTGGATCCTGAAAG
The DNA here is from genome assembly GCF_000001405.40 of Homo sapiens. Taxonomy (NCBI): domain Eukaryota; kingdom Metazoa; phylum Chordata; class Mammalia; order Primates; family Hominidae; genus Homo; species Homo sapiens. The sequence goes on from NC_000002.12 coordinate 98,663,778, forward strand.
AGAAAAACAGCAACAATGAAACACATGACAAAATCGGAGTAAGAGCTAAGGTTAGTGAACAGTGTAGCATCAACGTTAACTTCCTGGTTTTTGATCGCTATACTATGGTCATGTAGGGACACTGGGTAAGGGCATATGAAAACTTTGTGACCAGGCACAGTGGTTCACGCCTGTAATCCCAGCACTTTGGGAGGTACAGGTGGTACACTGCTTGAGCTCAGGAGTTTCAGACCAGCCTGGCCAACATGGCGAAACCCGGTCTCTACTAAAAATACAAAAATTATCTGGGCATGGTGGCGCACACCTATAATCCCAGCTACTTGGGAGGTGGAGGCACAAGAATCGCCTGGGAGGCAGAGGTTGCAGTGAGCTGAGATTGTGCCCCTGCACTCCAGCCTGGGTGACAAAGCAAGATTCCATCTCAAAAAAAAAAAAAAAAAAAAAAAAAAAAAAAGAGAAAACTTTGTGTACTATTTGTGCAACATTTTTAAAGACTAAAATTACAGTCAATGTTCCTATAATGCTTGTTTTCAATGCAAATTTGTTTCTACATGATTAACATATTAGGGAAAAACTGGGGCATAACACATGAATTTCACATTAGCTTACGTGCAATTTGTCCTCTGAGACAAACACCAGGTGAACAACAGAAAATTGTACCCAGCTGAATTGAGTTCAGAAAATTAAACCGAACCATGTAGAAATACTGCATACAAAATGCACGCACCTCAAAATACCTACCAGCTGTCTCAGTTCACCACAACTATCAACCACACCCATCCACACTGGGTGTTGCAACCTTCCATCAGATTGCAAATAACCTACCTCACAGCCCTTCACAATAACTTACAAGCTGCAATCCTTCAGCAACCCACTTCAACAAGCAAATCTCAGGGCTTTTTCAAGATGGAATGCCACATTTATGTGTTTCTTAATCATTTAACTTGCGAAAAACTGTGCCACTATTATAATTAGGTTCTTATCCTTTTTTATAGTGTAACTGACAAAGTGTTTGAGTGTTGTGATCCTAACCCCCTTGCTCTCATTTTTTTGCACCATTTTCATACCACAGTGATTTTTAGGAACACTTATACTGCATTATAGAGGTATTTCAAAGTAAATTTTTAAAAATTATGCCTTAAAGTCTTAGTACGCTATGTATCAATACAGAAGTATTTTAAATATGGTAAAAACAACTTAGTCTTAATCATGCAACAATTTTTTGGAGATACTAAAAAATACTTATAATTCACAGAATTCTAATGCCAGGGGCTGGGTGTGGTGGCTCATGCCTGTAATCCCAGCACTTTGGGAGGCCGAGGCGGGTGGATCACGAGGTCAGGAGATCGAGACCATCCTGGCTAACACGGTGAAACCCTGTCTCTACTAAAAATACAAAAAATTAGCTGGGTGTGGTAGCGGGCGCCTGTAGTCCCAGCTACTCAGGAGGCTGAGGCAGGAGAATTGCTTAAATCCAGGAGGCGGAGGTTGCAGTGAGTCAAGATCGCGCCACTGCACACCAGCCTGGGCAACACAGCAAGACTCCATCTCATCTCAAAAAAAAAAAAAAAAAGAATTCTAATGCCAGAAGGGAGCGTAAAGACCATGGATCTACCACCATGATTCTTGAGGTAAGAATACTAAGATGCGAAAGGTTTAAGGGACTGCCCCAAGGTCTCGTGACACAACCCTCTCTTCCATTTTAGGCAAGAAGAGTTCTCAAGCACTCAAAAAGATATTTGCTCTATGAGACTCCGTCCCCCCAAAAAAAGATATTTGCTCTATTTGTTTTGCACATATTTACTGCAAGGCACTATTCTAGGTGTTAAGCATACAATGGTAAATAACATAGGTAAGGTCCCTGCCCTCATGGAACGCACATTCTAGAAAGGGGAAAAAGATTTAAAATATATGTATCTTACAGGCTGCTATGTATAGGTTGGTACTGTCAGAGTGATGAATGGGGAGGGGGTACCCCTGTAAGTCGTGTGGTCACGGAAGGCCTCTCTGATATCAGCTGAGCTGGTAACCATGAGAAAGAGCTGATGAAGAATACTGCAGAAGAGGAAGCAACAAGGCCCTGAAGCCAGAATGATTTTGACATAGTCAAGAAATACCAAGAGCAGGTTGGATCGAAAGCAGAATAAGCCCAGATTGAGAAAATCAGTCAGGGGTCACATTGCATATAACAAAGTTTGTTTTAATGCTGAGTGCAAGAGAAAGCCATTGTAAGGTTGTAAGCAGGGGAATGACATTATCCAATTTGTAATTTTAAGAGATTACCAAATTTCACAAAAAGTAAAAGCACTTTGGAAGAGTGGTTAGGAAGTTAATGTACTAACTGAAGGAAAAGATGGTGGTTTGAATGAGGCTGTAGGGTGTTTGAAGAGGTGGAGATGAGTGGATGATGGAGACCCTTGCAAATAGGGCTTCAGCTGGCAGACAAGAGAAGGGGAGGAATCAAGGGTGACTTGAGTAACTGGACGGGGGCAACTTTCACTCAGAACAACACACTTGAGGAGAGGGCCTCCAATCCAGATTTCTCTTCTGACCATGTTACTCTGAGATCCCAAAAGACAGGATGAGTTACAATGGAAGCAAAATTCCATAGAATAATCTACCTCAGAATTTAAGGCCGGGTGTGGTGGCTGATGCCTTTAATCCCAGCACTTCAGGAGGCTGAGGCGGAAGGATCGCTTGAGCCCAGGAGTTCGAGACCAGCCTGAGCAACTTGGCAAGACCTGGTATCTACAAAAAATAAAACACTTAGCTGGGCATGGTGGCGCATGCCTGTAGTCCTAGCTACTTGGGAGGCTGGGGTGGGAGGATCACTTGAGCCTGGGAGGTAGAGGCTGCAGTGAGCTGTGATCACACCACTGTACTCCAGCCTGGGCGACAGAGCAAGACCCTGTCTCAAAAAAAAAAAAAATTACCAGCGTAACAACTAGGATGAGGAGCATTCCTAGAAAATGCTAACTCATGGAGTACAAAGACTTCACTATGATGAAAGCAAAGCCCATGGTGATCCACAGTGTGCAAACAAGAATGGCATAAAGTCACAATGCAAATTCTCTATCCCTACCATACTCTCGAGGGTTTTTGGTTTCCGTTTTGCTTTGCTAAAGTTTAGATGGCACGTGATATGGTTTGGCTGTGTCCCCACCCAAATCTCATCTTGAATTCCTACGTGTGGTGGGAGGGACCCAGTGGGAGGTAATTGAATCATGGGGGCAAATCTTTCCTGTGCTGTTCTCGTGATAGTGAATAAGTCTTACAAGATCTGATGGTTTTAAAAAGAGGAGTTCCCCTGCACAAGCTTGCTCTCTGCCTGCTGCCATCCACATAAGATGTGACTTGCTCCTCCTTGCCTTCTGCCATGATTGTGAGGCCTCCCTAGCCACATGGAACTGTAAGTCCAATTAAACCTCTTTCTTTTGTAAATTGCCCAGTCTCAGGTATGTCTTTATCAGCAGCATGAAAATAGACTAATACAGTAAATTGGTACCAGGAGAGTGGGGCACTGCCGAAAAGATACCTGAAAACGTGGAAGTGAATTTGGAACTGGGTTAACAGGCAGAGGCTGGAACAGTTTGGAGGGCTCAGAAGGCAGGAAAATATAGGAAACTTTGGAGTTCCCTAGAGACTTGTTGAATGGCTTTGACCAAAATGCTGATAATGATATGGACAATGAAATCTAGGCTAAGGTGGTCTCAGATGGAGATGAGGAACTTGTTAGGCACTGGAGTAAAGGTGATTCTTGTTGTGTTTTAGCAAAGAGACTGGCAGCATTTTGCCCCTGCCCTAGAGATTTGTGGAACTTTGAACTTGAGAGAGATGATTTATGGTATCTGGCAGAAGAAATTTCTAAGCAGCAAAGCATTCAAGAGGTGACTTGGGTGCTGTTAAAGGCATTCAGTTTTTGTTGTTGTTGTTGTTGTTGTTGTTGTTGTTGTTGTTTTGAGACAGAGTTTCGATCTTGTGGCCCAGGCTGGAGTGCAATGGCATGATTTCGGCTCACTGGAACCTCCACCTCCCAGGTTCAAATGATTCTCCTGCCTCAGCCTCCCGAGTAGCTGGGATTACAGGTGCCCACCACCATGGCCAGATAAGTTTTGTATTTTTAGTAGAGACAGGGTTTCACCATGTTGGTCAGGCTGGTCTCGAACTCCTGACCTTGTGATCCACCCGCCTCGGCCTCCCAAAGTGCTGGGATCACAGGCGTGAGCCACAGCGCCCGGCCAGCATTCAGTTTTAAGACGGAAAGAGCATGAAAGTTTGGAAAATTTGCAGCCTGACAATGTGATAAAAAAGAAAATCCCATTTTCTGAGGTGAAATTCAAGCCAGCTGCAGAAATTTGCATAAGTAATGAGGAACTGAATGGTTAAGCTCAATGGGGAAAATGTCTCCAGGGCATGTCAGAGACCTTTGTGGCAACCCCTCCCATCACAGGCCCAGAGATTTAGGAGGGAAAAATGGTTTCCTGGGCTGGGCCCAGGGTCCCTCTGCTGTGTGCAGTCTAGGGACTTGGTGACCTGTGTCCCAGCCACTCCAGCCTTGACTAAAAGGAGCCAAGGTACAGCTCAGGCCATGGCTTCAGAGGGTGCAAGCCCCAAGCCTTGGCAGCTTCCATGTGGTGTTGAGCCTGCAGGTGCACAGAAGTCAATAATGGGGAACCTCCACCTAGATTTCAGAGGATGAATGGATATGCCTGGATGCTCAGTTAGAAGTTTGCTGCAGGGGCGGTGCTCTTATGGAGAACCTCTGCTAGCGCAGTGCGGAAGGGACATGTGGGGTCAGAGCCCCCCCAGCAGAGTCCCTATTGGGGCACCACCTAGTGGAGCTGCGAGAAGAGGACCACCGTCCTCCAGACCCCAGAATGATAGATCCACTCATGGCTTTTACCACATGCCTGGAAAAGCCGCAGACACTCAACACCAGCCCATGAAAGCAGCTGGGAGGGAGGCTGTACCCCGCAGAGCCACAGGGGCAGAGCTGCCCAAGACCATGGGAACCCACCTCTTGCATCAGTGTGACCTGGACGTGAGACATGGAGTCAAAAGAAATCATTTTGGAACTTTGAGATTTCACTGCCCTGCTGGATTCTGGACTTGCATGGGGCCTGTAGCCCCTTTGTTTTGGCCAATTTCTTCCATTTGGAATGGCTGTATTTACCCAATGCCCGTACCCCCATTGTACCTAGGAAGTAACCAGCTTGCTTTTGATTTTACAGGCTCATAGGTGGAAGGGACTTGCCTCATCTCAGATGAGACGTTGGACTGTGGACTTTTGAGTTAATGCTGAAAAGAGTTAAGACTTCAGGGGACTGTTGGGAAGGTATGATTGGTTTTGAAATGTGAGGACATGAGATTTGGGAGGGGCCAGGGGCGGAATGATATGGTTTGGCTGTGTCCCCACCCACATCTCATCTTGAATTCCTACATGTTGTGGGAGGGACCCGGTGGGAGGTAATTGAATCATGGGGGCAAGTCTTTGCTGTGCTGTTCTCCTGACAGTGAATAAGCCTCACGAGATCTGATGGTTTTAAAAGGAGGAGTTCCCTTGCACAAGCTTGCTCTCTCTTTGCCTGCTGCCATCCACGTAAGATGTGACTTGCTCCTCCTTGCCTTCCGCCATGATTGTGAGGCCGCCCCAGCCACGTGGAACTGTTAAGTCCAATTAAATCTCTTTCTTTTGTAAATTGCCCAGTCTCAGTATGTCTTTATTAGCAGCATGAAAATGGACTAATACAGCATGTTTAGAGAATAAACCATTTTATCCCTAATTATACTATTTTAGAGTTAAAATTTAAATTATTTAGCTTAAACCAGGGTATTCAAAGACTTCAAAAGCACTAAACATGAAACTTGTAATTTCAGCCAAACCTACAAAATTAAGAGTGACCATGCTTATGGTAATTTGCAAAATTACCACCAAAAAAGGGTAGTTTCCTTGGCCTTCTGAGCCCATGGTGGGGGCTGCCCTTCTTAGTCCCCTTATGGTTGGGGACTGTGGGGCAAAGGGGATATAATTATTAATAGCCCATGAGTCATCAGCATGTGTAATCTGTGGGCTGAGCACTGATAACTACAGTGTGAAATCCTTGAGATTGTTCTCTTTGGCAGAGCAGCCAGAAACATTCAAGATGGCAACTGCTCTGTCAGCCTGGATCCCTGCATGACTGGTCAACCTTGGTGGACACGTACTATGAGCAAAAAAATAAATAAACATTTGTTATCTCAATCACTGAGACTCTGGAGTTGTTAGTTACCACAACATAACCCAGCCTGTCCTATCTGATACAATGTTCTTCTACCATTTACAATCCAGAAAATGTAAGTATTCTACTGAGTTAGAGTTAAGAAGAAATATGTCAGCAAAGTGAAGAATATGGTCATATCATCCTTTTAGGCAGGAGTAAGATGGACCAAGGAAACCAAACAGAAACAGAGCCAACGGGTTGGGCTAGGTACTGGGATCACTAATTTTGTTTTAATTCTGAGTGCAAGAGTTCCACTGATTAGCCACCTTGTATTTCCAATTCAAGCAGTAATTGTGCATATGTAGTACCTCTATTATGTACTAGACAGTCTGAAATACAGTCATGAGATAGGTAAGGCCCCTACCTCATGGTATTTATAATTTGACAGAGCTATCAATTGTGATTATTTCATTTTCTTCCACTTTCCCGGGAAGTTTTCAAATTCTAGTTCGTATTTCCTTTAAAGTAAAAAAAGAATTAGGAAAAATCTTGGCATTCTCAATCTTCAGTAACTCAATCTACCTTTAGTTATAACTAAATTATGTCCCTTTAAAAATGTTCATTGCTAGCCAAATATTTTTAGCCTATCATGTTTCCTTATGGTTTCACTTTAGTCATTTATTCCTCATTGCTTTCCTTATATCTCATGACAGTTTTTTTTCTTCCACTGCCTAGTTGCCCTTTCTCTGTCTCTGTCTTCCTTGTGTTCATCTTCCTCTTTCCCTGGAAATTAACTGCTGGAAAACCTTCAAGTCTCAGTCCTAGGCCCTAGGAGATCTCATCCATTTCTGCGTCTTCAACCACTTATTCTCAAACAATGACTCATAAAATTAAATCTAACTCAGATCTCTCCTTTGAGTCCCAGATCTAAATATCCAACTGCCTACTCCAACATCTCCACTGTGATATCTCAAAATCACCTCCAAATTATCATATTCAAATTTAATCTATAAACCTCTCTTGCAAACCAATGATGCAAAACAGTGTCTATTGTCCCCTATCTCACTGAATGGCCCACCATGCATCCAGTCACTCAATCCAGAAACCCTGGGTTCATTCCTGACCACTCCTCTACCTCAGTCCACAAATCCAGAACATGACTATGTCCTCCCTGATACATTCTCATATGTTCCAAACAACTCTAGGTCCATCTTCTTCTTCCCATCTCTACAACTACCACTGCTACCTCGTCCAAGTTCCAAGTTGACCCTCTCTCCAGTGGATCACTGAAACGGCCTATCTGGTTTTTCATTATCTATTCCTCTTCCCACATCCTCAACCATTCTTCCCATTGCAGCAAATGTGATCTCTGTAAAATTTAAATCTTATCAAGTCATTCTTAATAAGTCCTGTTGAAAACCCTTCAATGGCTTCCTACCGCTCTTAGGATAGAAACCAAAATCCCATAAATGGTCTAGGAGGCCCTACATGGTCTGGCCTCAACTTACATCTCTAGCCTCATCTTGTTCCACACACTTCCTCACTCTACACGTAAACTACAGTGACCTTCTTTCATTTTCTAGAACATTCCACACTCCCTTCCACCACAGGACTTTTGTGGTGCTCTTTCCGTCTTCTGGAATATTCTTTTTTTCCCCATTGTGATGGAGAGAATAATAGTCGCCCAAAGATGTCCATGCCGTAATTCCTGGAGCCTCTGAATATGTTACCTTACATGGCAAAAGGGACTTTGCAGATGTGATTAAAGTTCTTGAGATGGGGTGATTATTCTGGATTAGCTAGTGGGCCCAATATAATCACAAGCGTCTTTATGAAAGGAAGGAGGGAGGGTCAGAGTGAAAGAAAGAGATGGAACAACAGAATCAAGAGGGTCATGGTCAGAGAGATTTGAAGATACTGTACTTTGACGATGAAGGAAGAGGCCACAAAGTAATGTGGAAAAGGCAAAAAAAAAAAAAAAAAAAAAAAAAAAGGATCCTCCCCTAGAGATTCCAGAAGGAACACACCCCTCTTGACAACCTGGTGTTAGGACTTCTGCCTTCCCAAACTGTAAGATGAGAAATCTGTGTTGTGGTTTAAACACAGTGAGTTTGTGGCAATTTGTTACAACAGCAATAGAACACCAACACACCCATCTTCACCAGTAAATGATAGATTCTACCAGCCTCAGGCCAAACGTAATTTCTCAGAGTTCCTTAAACTCCCTAATTAGGCCAAAAGTCCCTCTTACACATTCTCAAAGCATCCTTTACATCGGTAATTAAAGTTATAATTATACAGTTGTTTGTATAATTGACTATGTGACTAATACGTGTTTTCTTTACTGGGCTGAAGCTCCACAAGACTCGGAACCACATCTAATTTTGTGTACCAAAGTATCTGGCAAGGTGCCTGGCCCATAGCAATTGCTCATGGACTTTCATTGCAGCAAATACTTCAAGAATTATCTGTTATCCTCTACGAAGCAGTTGTGCCGTTTTGGTAGATAACCCAATGAGAGTCTTTGCTCAGCCCTCTTGCTCTACCCTGAATGGGCCCTTTAACCTGAAAACCTGAAGGTTTCTTCAACTCAAAGAAATTTACTTCTATAAGCTGGTAATTCCCTCTTTTCACTCTCTTTGTTCACTCCTTCTGAAATGACTACCAGATGAACATTAAAACTTTTGTCTACTTCCATTCTTTATGCGTTTATGCTGCATTCTGGAAGAAATACACAGCTCGGTCTTTCTGATCACTAATTTGATCTTTAGCTATGTCTAGCTAAAATTCCATATCAGTCCCTCGATGTAGGATTTTTAAATATAATCATTGAAATCATAAGCACAAAAATTTCTAACGGATCCTTTGATAATGGTCAGTTATTGTGTTATGGGCAAGTTCTCCTCCCTCATTTCTAAAAATATGTTGATGCTTTATTTTTAAATCATATTCAGTTTGTTCTGCAAACTCAATTTTCTTTAGTATTAAGTCATTCGTGGTACTAATTTTCCTAAATTATTCAGCAACCCCTTGTTGCTGAAGTCGCCCTTGCACCTGCTTGTAGTCGCTGGGTTTGTTTGCCGCAGCCTGCCTTGGAGAATGTGGTGGAAGGATACAGATGTGGTGCTGGGTGGTGCGCCGACAGTTTTCTGTTCTGGGCATTGAGAATCCCAGCCGCTCCCCTGGGGTCAGCAGCCACCGGCAGCACTGTCCTTCCTCTTCAGCCTTACAATGGCTTAGCTATTCTAAGTGCTGTTCCCTAATTAATCAGCCTGACCACTGGAAAACAGAATTTTTAGCAAGAAGCTGTTTTTCTTTATCTAAGAAACAGAAGTTCTGAATATGAAGCCCTAGATAAGTTCTGGGGTTCCATAAAACCCCAGAAATTACAAATAAAATTATATTTTCTATGGGCATTTTCCAAAGTAGAGATTGACAGCTTTCCTAGAATATCCAAAAGGTCCTGTAACTAAAAATATTAAGAGCTTTTCCTAATGATTTAGGGAGGAAAATGTTTAACGTAAATATGGGTTATTTTTTCTACCAAGCTGTTTTTTCTACCTTTCAAAAATAGTAGCAGCTTTATAAGAATGTTAACTATTGGAAAGCTGGTTGACCAAGATTTTATTATATTTATAATGGATAAAGTCATGTAAACAAATGGGATGGAATACATAGCTTCAAAAGAAAGAGAATGTCACATTTACAAAATAAAAACCTATTAGAGACCTTGGACATTTTAAATGACTTTAAAAACACTTCTAATTTCTTTTCATTTGATACTCTTATGAATGAAGAAATAGTGTAAACAAACAAACCCACAACTACTTAAGACATCTTACCCAAAAAGTGACTATTAAAGGGAGAGATGATATCAGCTTCAAAAATAATTAACAATCAACATTCTAAAAAAAACAAAAAACAAAGTACCACACACACCTTGTTAGTCTCTGTATACCTGGCACCTGCAGAATGCCTGGCTTCAATAAATATTTTTTGAATCATTAGAGAAAGGAAAGATGGAGTTTGTCTCAACATGCTATTTTAAGAGTTTCCACCTCCTTAAGAAGGAAGGTAGTATATTATTTCAACTGATTAATGAAATAGAAAGACAGCAGAACTAAGACAAGATGAATGTAAAAGCTTACATTTATAGATCAATGAGAAGATGTGATCCCCCAAATAAGACAGCAAAATACTTAAGAATCCCATTGAATCAAAAGTAGACCCAGCTTTTCAAAAACACTAACCCAAAAATGAATCTTGATATCTATGAAGTTATCATTTCATCACTTGTTAAAAACTTACAGAAGAACAAAATAATATTCTGCCCTCTGCATTTTAAAATCTACAAAGAAAAGATTAACAAAGTCAAAACAGCGGAATCAAATGTATGAGTGGTAAACGGCTCTTGGGCTGCTTGCTCAAGCCCACTTCCACTCTGTGGAGTGTACTTTGGTTTCAATAAATCTGTCCTTACGTTGCTTCAAACAAACAAACAAAAAGAGTGGTAAATAGTTTCTATAAGGAAAACTGAAGAAGTTCTGTTGCCTCTGACAAGAAGAGAAAAATAAGCTATATATTATCTTTTGAATAAATTAGGAAAAAAGAAGCAAATCAAAGTATTTCTACTACTCCATAAAAAGTTACATAAAAGTTACTATCTACTTACACCTCTGTAGGAAAAGTGGGGCAGACATAAGAAAAACCTTTATGACATGACCAAAAGAGCTGTTAATTTTGAAATAAGATACAAGGCAAGTCATCTCTGTACTTCCCAAGTTTCTTAAACAGAAAAATGACAAAGGTGTCAACATTTGTCTGCCTGGGATGGGGCCTGAACTAGATTTCACATGATCCCTTTCAGCTGTATTACTTTGGTCTATGAAGGAAAATGTCCAATTCCTTTCAACATGGAGTTTAGAATGATCTGATGTGCACAGATAAAGAAAGAACTTTCATTTTTTGACCTCCCAGACTTCTGATGGTCAACATAATAGTCCAAAACACATTTAACAGCAGTAGTACAACTGCAGTAAGAAACAAAATAAACATACCTCCTGTTCTTCCGTTGCCAATCTGTACAGCAGGTTGAAGACTTCCTTCATTTTTCAATAAATGAGGCAAATGATAATAAATACTTGGCACTTGAAGAGATTTTTTGCTTGTTAACTCCTTTAACAGCTTTAGGGTATTATCTGAAACACAGAAGTATAATTAATATACAAGAATTACCTTACAGAAGTTGCTGATTTTATAAAACCAGCAGTAAAAATTAATAAGAACTAGAACTAAAGAATTTTCTTTCCTAGTTTCACACTCTGGTGAATGAGATCTCCATTTAAGATGAAAAGGACACTTTCAAAGCCAAAGTCTCACAGGTCATGATGTTGATAAAACTGGCTGAAGGAAACCAAAATGGCCAGCTAGAGGACCGTAAGAAGGTGGGATGCTAAGGGCTCACCTCTATAATGTATTAGAACTCAAGTTTGCCAAACAGACTCTAAATATACTGTTGGCTTATGAAAATGTAATAAATAATAAGTACATTAACCATCAATCACTTCCATTTTCTTTTTTTTTTTTTGTGACAGGGTCTTGCTCTGTAGCCCAGGCTGGTGTCCACTGGCACAATCACGGTTCACTGTCGCCTTGACCTCCCAGGCTCAAGAGATCCTCCCCACCTCAGCCTCCTGAGTACCTGGGACTGCAGGCACATGCTACCACATCAGCTAATTTAAAAAAAAAATTTTTTTTGTACAGACGGGAGTCTCACTATGTTGCCCAGGCTGGTCTCAAACTCCTGGCTCAAGCAATCCTCCTGTCTTGGCCTTCCAAAGTGCTGGGATTACAGGCATGAGCTATCATGCTCAACCATTCACTTTCTTTATGCATTACATGTTATCAAAATTTCACATGGAAGGAATTTTTTTTCTGAAAACTTCAAGTAAAATAATATAAACAGCACAAGTTGAGAATATCCAGTACAGATCACAACTTTCAAATAGTTTCATTTTTTTTCTCACTCCATTTTATACATAGGATGTTTCTGTTTTTATTAGAGGAACCAATGAATCATTTAATGATATGAAATAAAAACTTGGTAGTAGAAATAATATTGTTTTAAAATTTCATTAAATTTGAATTTAACCTTAGAAAAAAGCAAGCTAGCAGTAGGAATTTGTTACCTCAACTTCATTAAAAATATGAGAAGAACCAAAAATTCACGAAAGAAATGCAAATGACTGTCATATGTAAAATTAAAGTTTAATCTCATGCGTAAAGAAACAATTACAAATTATATCAATTTCTACCTATGAAATTAGCAGATTAAATATATTAAATATTGGTGATAACAAGATAAATGTTCCAACTATTCAAAACAGCAGCAAAAACCTTAAAACATTTCTGTCCTATTACTCAGTAATTTCCCTTTTAAGAATTTAGCTTCTATGCATTCAACAAATATTTAGTGATTATCTATTTTATTCCAGCAAATGTATCATTTGTTCAAAAATGAAGTCATCAAAACACAGATCCTATTTCTAAGAAGATCATAATCTAATGAAAATAACTTAAAGGTTACCAGAAATATGATTGCTTTATATACAAATATGTTCATCAGAGTTATAAACTAGGGGGGAAAAACAACCCAGAAAAACCCATTTGAATAACTGTAGAAAAAAATGTTTAATATATTGTGGTATATATAGCTGGCACATTCACAGCCACTAAAAATAATATTTTGAAGATTAATGACAAAGTTTTAAAATGCTCATAGTATAATTTCAAGAGTGAAAATCAGGCCATCATACACAATAACAATTTTGAAGAAAAACATTCACGGAAAAAATACTAGAAGGAAACAAAAAATGTTAGTAGAAATCACTTGGCATCAGGTTTATCGGTGATTTATTTTTTATCTACACTAGTCCATGAGTTTCAACATCAGGGTGACATAATGCAAAGTTTATCAGCAGGAGGAGAAGGAGCACGCAACTTTATAAATAAGGTGAGGCAGTGGATCTGGAGATGAGAGGAATTCATGTGTTTTTAAAACAGGTGAAGCTAAATGAAAAAGTATGCTAATCTAGAAAAATTATGCAAATTTAGAGGCAATCAATTAGATACATATGTCAATTTAATTATCAGATAAAGAAGAGCACAGAAAGAGAGATCACTTGCCCTCATCTTACTCTGACCAGGATTTCTCAGAGAAGAAACAGGCCAGATACTCCTAAAGTATCCACTAGGAAACTATGTATGTTCTGTATTATAAATAAGGTTTAAGAGCACGAATTGCTTCAAATAGCTCAAAGATTTCTCCAGAGTCCATCTGAAGTCCACACATAAGTCATCACAGAAACACATATACACGAAAAATTAAATTTTAATCTCATTTTGAATAATTTAATCTCATTTTCAAAAGATGCACATTCTTCACCAGTGCCAATGAAATTTATTCCACTGCAATTTAACTTTTTTTGTTTTTGAGATGGAGTCTCTCTCTGGAGTGCAGAACTGGAATGCAGTGGCAGGATCACAGCTCACTACAACCTCCGCCTCAAGAGTTCAAGCGATTCTCCTGCTTCAGCCTCCTAAGTAGCTGGCACTACAGGCGCACACCAACATGCCCGGCTAATTTTTGTATTTTTAGTAGGGATGAGGTTTCACCATGTTGGCCAGCCTGGTCTTGAACTCCTGACCACAAATGATCTGCCCGTCTCGGCCTCCCAAAGTGCTGGGATTATAGGTGTGAGCCAACACACCCAGCCAATTTAACTTAATATGACTCTCTTAAAATCAGATTTAGCAGGTAATAAATTTTTTTTTTTTTTTTTTTTTTGTAATTTACTAGAAAAGAAAGTTTTGTGTGGTGGTTTTTCTCTCTGAAAGGGCTGGCTTATAAACTATTCTACATGACTTTCAAAAAAAAATTCCACATGCCCCTTTGCAAATCTAATCTTTTTCAGCCGGGTGCAGTGGCTCACGCCTGTAATCTCAGCACTTTGGGAGGCTGAGGGGGTGGATCACGAGGTCAGGAGATCAAGACCATCCTGGCTAACATCGTGAAACCCCGTCTCTACTAATAATACAAAAAAATTAGCCAGGTGTGGTGGCGGGCGCCTGTAGTCCCAGCTATTCAGGAGGCTGAGGCAGAAGAATGGTGTGAACCCTGGAGGTGGAGCTGGCAGTGAGCCAAGATTGCGCCACTGCATTCCAGCCTGGGCTACAGAGTGAGACTCTGTCTCAAAGAAAAAAAAAAAAAAAAATATATATATATATATATAAAATCTTTTTATAATATAAAAAATACTGTTTGTACCTGAAAACTTATTCAACGCATCCTTACTTCCATTTGTTTCTGCTCCTACACGCTTGAACTGTTGCACAATCGTATTTAATTCAGAAGAGCGCTGTGAGATTCTGTGTTCAGCTATTCGAAGACGTTCTTTCAAAGCAAGGAATTCTCGTTGATAAGCAATCAGTTTTTCTAGAAGCAAAACCAAAACAGTTATAGTATATGTCTTAAAACAAATAAACAATATAATCTCAATGGAACTGTAAAATTACAAAGTTTAAAGTTGAGTTTTTCAGAAGAAAATATTCATTGATACAGAACTGAAAAAAAAAGGGTTCTGACTTGTTATATAACAAAGTTTATATGCTCTTATTATTTGTAAGAATGCTGTTAATGCCTATTATTATTATGCTCTTATTATTGGTAAAAATGTGAGCAGTCTCCAGCACTTCATATAATTAAAGATGGATAAAATGATAAAAGGTTTTAGAATAAACACTTTAAAGCATCATACTAAACAGCATCTGTCAAAGGGTACAAACAACTATAAAGACCATATTCACATCAACCAGATAGAGAGATGAGGCAAAAACTGATGGTAATTTATATAATAATATAATGAATATAACATATTTTATAGCATAATCATTAATTTCCATAGACCAAACTTTTCCTCTGAACTTCCTAGTCCTCAAAGATTTCCCTAGGCTAGACTTTGGTCAAAGCCCTGATCCCTAAAAACCCAGTGAGTGGCCAGGCGTGGTGGCTCACACGTGTAATCCCAGCACTCTAGGAGGCCAAGGTGGAGGATGGCTTGAGCCCAGGAGTTCAAGACCAGCCTAGATGGCCGGGTGCGGTGGCTCACGCCTGTAATCCCAGCACTTTGGGAGGCCGAGGTGGGCGGATCACGAGGTCAGGAGATCGAGACCATCCTGGCTAACACGGTGAAACCCTGTCTCTACTAAAAATACAAAAAATTAGCCAGGAGCGGTGGTGGGCGCCTGTAGTCCCAGCTACTCGGGAGGCTGAGGCAGGAGAATGGCATGAACCCAGGAGGCGGAGCTTGCAGTGAGCTGAGATCGCGCCACTGCACTCCAGCCTGGGCGACAGAGCAAGACTCCGTCTCAAAAAAAAAAAAAAAAAAAAAAAAGAGACCAGCCTAGGCAACACAGTAAGACCCCATCTCTATAAAACAATAAAAAATTAGCTAGGCATGGTGGTGTATGCCTGTAGTCTCAGCTACTCAAGAGGCTGAGGTAGGAGGATTGCTAGAGCCCAAGTATTGGAGGCTACAGTGAGCTATGATCACACAACTGCACCCCAGCCTGGGCGACAGAGTGAAACCTTGTCTCAAAAAACAGTAGAATAAAAATCCACTGAGCTAGATGTACAATGACCCTTGTTAAAAGTCATTCATTTGAATAATTTGAGAGAATCACGCGTCAAAAAAACCTGGTCTAGGAAATAAAAGTGGGCTTTGATGAGGATAAACGTAGGCATTGAAACAATGAGTAGAAATGAATCAGCACAAAGTGTACAGTAGAAGAGGCTCAAGCACAGAACTGGACAGCAACACCTGAGAGATGGTGGAAGAAGCCATTCATTTACTTGCCTGGAGGTACTGAATAGTAGTGGAGGCTGCGGGAATGTTATGCACAATGTCCACAACCTCATTAAATTAAGATAAACCGCAAGCGTGCTTCCAACTTCTATAGCAAGCTAAAGCTACTATTTTGACACCTAAACAAACCTTAGAAAGGCTTTTTTTTTTTTTTTTCTGAGACAGAGTCTCACTCTGTCGCCCAGGCTTGAGTACAGTGGCGCGATCTCGGCTCACTGCTGCAACCTCCGCCCCCTGGATTCAGACAATTCTCCCACCTCAGCCTCCCAAGTAGCTGGGATTACAGGCGCGCGCCACCACACCCAGATACTTTTCGTATTTTCAGTAGAGATGGGGTTTCACCATGTTGGTCAGGCTGGTCTCGAACTCCTGACCTCAGGTGATCCACCTGCCTCAGCATCTGAAAGTACTGGAATTACAGGCATGAGCCACTGCGCCCAGCCAGAAAGTCTGTTTTTAATTTAACATTATAATTTCTGTTTTAATCATGGATAGAAGCAGTAAAAACAGACTTATGAAAAATGAATCTGCAGTCTTAATAACACTCAATTATTCTGTTCCTTGTCCCTTACATAAAGATCCTTACAGTAAACACCTCTTAAGATTCCATAGCAGAAAAAAATATCTCTCTGTCTTAACTGCCATGCTTCACTACATGGAATAACAAAAGCATGTATGTCACCGTATTTGCGTTAATTTGCTCAGAAGGAAAGGAGAAGAGGTAGGACAGAGAAGGCTGTGATAGGGAAAGGGCATACCGGCAGCTCCAGGGTGCCGGCTAGGTTCTATTTCTCGATCTGGGTGTCACTCATGGTTTAAGCATTTTCTGCATGTGTAAATTCACAATATAAGAAATGTGAAAGAGATACTATTCCTAAACACAAAACTATAAACAATTCTATTAAACAATTATAAGAAGAGACACATAAGTTTTATGTGAAGAAAAGTACAAGCTTTTTACTGAAGTCTATAATAGAATCAATAAAATTATCTCTTATTCCTAAATAAGAAGACTCAGTCTTACAAAAAGATTAATTCTACCCTAAGCAAAAGAAATTCAATTCAGTATCCTTTTTTGTTGTTGTTGTTGTTCTTTTTTTGAGACGGAGTCTCGCTCTGTCACCCAGGCTGGAGTGCAGTGGCGCGATCTCAGCTCACTGCAAGCTCCGCCTCCCGGGTTCACACCATTCTCCTGCCTCAGCCTCCCGAGTAGCTGGGACTACAGGCGCCCGCCACCATGCCCGGCTAATTTTTCTATTTTTAGTAGAGATGGTGTTTCACCGTGTTAGCCAGGATGGTCTCTATCTCCTGACCTTGTGATCCGCCCGCCTCAGCCTCCCAAAGTGCTGGGATTACAGACGTGAGCCACCGCACCTGGCCCAATTCAGTATCTTTCAAAGTAACAAATTTTTTGAACTTGATGTATAATTCTAATATTTATCTAGAAGAATTAATGTTTTTAAAGGGCCAAGAAAAATCTAGAAGATAATATGGGGGAACTTGCTCTGAGATCAGAATACGTTATATGGTTTCAGAACCATATATGTTATATATATGAAACCATGTGTTATATGGTTTCAGTCCAGAGAGTGTGGACAAGGGCAGATCAGCATAAACACAGTGTCCAAACACAGCATGTGTCCAAAACAGATCTTTTGAGTTCTTCCCTCTTTATGTGAACAACATTAGAATCCTACCCTTCAGACTTAAGCAGTGCCTAGATACTGGTTTCTCAACACCATTTGCCACTAAAATAAAATAGAACTCTTTGGAGGCCGGGCGTGATAGCTCACCCTTATAATCCCAGCACTTTGGGAAGCCATGGCGAGAGGATCACTGGAGCCGAGTTTGAGACCACCCTGGGCAACATGGCGAGACCCCAACTCTAGTAAAAAAAGAGTTTTTTTAAGAACTCTTTAGAGAAATAACTTTAAGATAAACCTAGAATATTCTTCTGCCAGCAAGAAAGTATTACCAAAAGAAAAAAATGACAGGACTTCTCCAAAGGGCACAGAAAGGCAGTGGAGAGGCCCCCACTAGCCAAATGGGGAACAATTTAAGAACCAAAATAAATATCGATGGTAATGGATTATAACCCATTGAATAAAATACAAATCCATGAGTCCGTATCAACAATAAATAAATAAAAAATGAACAAATGAGGGGAAAGTGTTTCTTACAGAAGAAGGCCAATTACTAAATGTAGAAGAAATAATGAACATTAGAAAAACTGCCATTTGGGCCAGGTGCGGTGGCTCACGCCTGTAATCCCAGCACTTTGGGAGGCCGAGGTGGGCAGATCACCTGAGGTCGGGAATTCAAGACCAGCCTGACCAACAAGGAGAAATCCCGTCTCTACTAAAAATACAAAATTAGCTGGACATAGTGGCGCATGCCTGTAATCCCAGCAACTTGGGAGGCTGAGGCAGGAGAATCGCTTGAACCCGGGAGGCAGAGGCTGCAGTGAGCCAAGATGGCGCCATTGCACTCCAGCCTGGGCAACAAGAGTGGAATTCCATCTCAAAAAAAAAAAAAAAAAAAAAAAAACCACCACTTTGCAACCATCATAGCAATAACTGACTCAGGCAAGCATCAAAAATGCATGCTAAAACTAACAGGTGAAAGTCTAATAAGAAACAGGTATTTATATCATCTCAAAATACCTCCCCACAAAGTACTCGTTACTTTACAAAGAGGGAAACGATAAAACCTAGCTGACACCACCTTCATCAAGTGATCAAAGTTAAAGTTGGCAATAATGGGACAGAGATCACGTGCCTCGTGAAGTGAACCCCAGAGGACACCCCTCATGTGGGATTCCTGCCCAAAATGCATAACCTGATTCTAATCTCAAGGAAACATCGGACACATCCAAATTGGGGGATTATGTATAAAACAAATGGCGGCCGGGCGTGATGGCTCACGCCTGTAATCCCAGCAGTTTGGGAGCTGAGGCGGGTGGATCACAAGGTCAGGAGATCGAGACCATCCTGGCTAACACGGTGAAACCCCCGTCTCTACTAAAAAAATACAAAAATTTAGCCGGGCGTGGTGGCGGGCGCCTGTAGTCCCAGCTATGCGGGAAGCTGAGGCAGGAGAATGGCGTGAACCCAGGAGGCGGAGGTTGCAGTGAGCCGAGATCGCGCCACTGCACTCCAGCCTAGGAGCCAGAGCGAGACTCCGTCTAAAAAAAAAAACAAAAAAAATAAAAAAAATAAATGGCTTCCACTTTAAGACGTGTCAAGGTCATCAAAGACAAAGGCTGAGGAAACGACCAGGAGTAAGAGAAACTAAATGCAAAGCGCTGTCCTGGACTGGATCCTGGACCAGAAGAAATAAATGCTGTCAAGAACATTACTGGAAAAATAACAGAACACAGACTACAGAATGGGTATGATTGTGCCAATGTTAAATTTCCTGAATTTGACACTCGAACTGTGGTAATGTAAGAGAATGTCCTGGTTCTTAGGAAATAAACATAAAATTATTTAGGGGTAAAGAGGCACGATTTCTGCAATTTACTCTGAAATGGTTCTGAAAAGAAACAAATATCTGTAGAAAGGAAGATGATAGAGGCAAAATGTTCACAATAGGTGAAATGTGTAGAGAACTTATTTGTACTATCCTTGCAACTCTTCATTTCATCATTTTTTTTTTTAATACAATGATGCTTTAAAGTAAGCAGGAGATTGAATGGCAGATATAGGCTCAGTCTTTCATCAGCTCCTGAGTGGTAGAAAGGGATAGGAGTCTGAGGGCAGTCTCCATCTCCACATGCATTTTCTTGTTATGTTTTCAAATCACCCTCCCAGAGGCCAGCTTCAGCAAGTAGGAAGAATAAGCAGTCCCAGTAGAGAAATGCCGCACCCCTAATTCTAAAATGCTTCCCTGCTTTGAGGGGAACTGTCCATGCTTTTGGAAAGTTAGCTTAGAAAAAGTCCCTGGGGGCCCATGGACTATTGGATAATGTCACAGGTATTTAGTTTCTAGCCCGGATGCTATTGCTGTTCTTAGTCCAAGACCCACAGCTATGAAAAGGCTCCAGAGGGGCCATTTTCGATCTCTCTCACATCCGTCCTTTGTTTCTAACTCCATTCTGCCACATTAAAAGAGTTCTCCACAACAACAGGGCAACTTCATATTCCATCTGGAAAGCCAACTCAGCTTTCTAGAACTTTCTAGAATTTTCCCTAGACTTTTCTCCATTTATATTTCCCGTAATACTATACAGCTTTCTTAAGGAAGAGAATTGTTTATCTGCTTCCAGCATTCAGTTCACTTTAACATAACAGATGAAAAAATTCCTCCAAATTAATATGTTTGATAATTCCCTATTGTCAACATTAGTAGAAAAATTCTTATTTTTGCTTTTCTTAGAATCATTTCAATCGGTTTGTATGAGGGGTCATGGTGGGAAACTGAAGGAACTTTCATACTACCATCTTACTGGGAAGTGCCCAGTTTTGTTTATTGTTTTGTTTTTACTGTAGACAAAATCTAACTTTTTTAATTGTAGAAAATTATATGTTCAGCCTAGACAATGAAAGTACAAATTATGTTTTGTACAAATTGTGTTTTGTGAACCTAAGATTCTAAAACAAAATTTCCAGAGAAACCACTTTGATTCTTCAACTCAAATATTTAGGTCAGTTTCCAGTGAAAAGGGTAACTCTGGGCTTTCAAAGACTTACAAGGCTAAACCGTATAAAATTGCTGATATTTGATCCTTTTTGGCAAAAATGGTAATTTCATATGAAATTGTTCAACAGTATAAATGAATGATTAACACAAACAAAAAGCACCAATAAGTCACATCTAATGTGTGGTGAATAAAAACAGACCAGAGAACTTTATTTTTTAAACAATAGTAACTTCTTATCAGCAAGATGTACAAGATACTACTAAATTCAGAGCTAGTGTTAAAAACTGGCTTTTTGTATTGAAACAAAAACTACCAAAAGTTAAACCCACTCTTTATTTCTTAATTTAAAACATTTTAATATTTATTAGATAATAAAATTCTGGCACTGAAAAAAATGTTGATAAGTCCTCTGGGCCGGGCATGGTGGCTCACACCTGAAATCCCAGTGCTCTGGGAGGCCAGGGCAGGAGGATTGCTTGAACCTAATAGTTTGAGACCAGCCTGGGCAAAATAGGGAGACCTTGTCTCTACAACAAATTTTCAAAAATTAGCCAGTGTGGTACTGCATGCCTGTAGCCCCAGCTACTCAGGAGGCTGAAGTGGGAGGATCCCTTGAGCCCAGGGTTTGAGGCTGCAGTGAGTGGCAAATGTGCCACTGAACTGCAGCCTGGGTGATAGAGCAAGACCCTGTCTCTTAAAAAAAAAAAAAAAAAAAGTAGTCATCTGGTTCAACCTCAGTACCACATTGAACGGATACAATTCTTTCCACAGATAAATTTTTTTTAAATATGAATGAGGAAGGTTTTTAGTAAGATTCCAAAATTTAATAAGCTTTACTTCTCAGGAAGCCACTGCCTTTGAAAAATGTTTTATTTCACTTTTTAAAGATTTCACATGCATCACTCTTACACAACCATTTTAAATTAGAAAGAAGATGGCCTAGATGAAATTGCAGAAAATTTCCCACTTATAAACCTCTTAAGCATAAAGAAAAAAAAATAAAAGAACTGGATTCAGAGGGTGGTTTAGGAGAACTAATGCCATAAAAAGCCAAAAGACACAGTGAACAGCAGTCCAAATGAAACAGGCTGAAAGAACAGAACTTGAACAGACAATTCTAATTAGAATGGATAGCTAAAACTTACAAACGAGACCAAGTATCTCATTGTTTCCTGAATTTATCATGCATAAGAACCACCTAAAAGGGCTCATTAAAACACAGAATTCTGGACTTCACTTCCAGGGATCCTGATTCCATGGTCTGAGGTGGGGCCCAAGAATTTCTAACAAGCTCCCAGGTGATGCTGATGTGCCAGTCCCAGGTCCATGAGCGGAGAAGCCCAGAGGTAGCCAGCATTGTCCTCGGGGTAGTTCTAGACTCGAGCAACCTAGAAGTTTATGTAGTTCTAGTCTACCAGTTCCTTCTCCTCTCCCTTCCTCTGGCCCACAGGTTAAGGGTTCCAGGGACAGGGGGCGCTCATTAAAATGTTTAGGGCCGTAATCCTGAAGATTAACTTGGGACAGAGAGGGTTTTCCAAGTATCCAGTGAACACCAGTTTCAAAGGTCTCTTACATGGCATTATCAAGATTATTCTGGTTTTGGAGTACTCCAGTCAGGATCCAACACATACGCATGGATTCTGAAAATAGCTGCACCCTTCTAAATTCAAAAGGGAAAATGGGGCTCATAGATATACAGGATCATACACTTTATTTAAATTAAAATAATGAAAATAATTCATTTACTCCCTTATGTTTTCAGTATACTTACAAAACAGTGACTAGTGAATACCAAATCGGCTATGGTTGAAATATTTTCTGGAACGCAACCACTATTTCTCTAAGCTGTCGGCTAATATAATCATTAACAGTGTCATTCAAAACAAACTTCCAGGTAGAGGTTTAATAAGTTAAAATCTATCCCCTGACCTAATAAACATAACACCTTAAGACAAACAAACGATGCTGCATGTACCTATAACACAGGTTTTTTTTTGGTTTTTTGGTGTTTTTTTTTTTCTGGAGACAGAGTCTCGCTCTGCCACCCAGGCTGGAGTGCAGTGGCATGATCTCAGCCCACTGCAATCTCCGCCTCCTGGGTTTAAGCAATTCTCCTGCCTCAGCCTCCCAAAGAGCTGGGATTACAGGTGCACACTGCCACACTCGGCCAAGTTTTTGTATTTCAGTAGAGATGGGATTTCACCATGTTGCCCAGGCTGGTCCTGAACTCCTGACCTCAAGTGATCTGCCCGCCTCGGCCTCCCAAATCTAAATAGACGTAATAATTTTCCTTGACTTCCCTTGGGAAAGGGCAATCTCTTTTCAGTAAGTTCATCGTGAAGTCCCAAATTCCCTTATAATAATAAAATGAGGAACTATAAAAATTCATAACTCATGATAACATTCATTAGAGTACACTTAGCTATATGTTTATAACAGCTCTTCACTTCTAAAAATATTAACAATGATTGTATTCAACCTGACTTTTTAAAATTCAACAACCACAAGGAGCTTGGAGTAAAAATTATCAGGTGGTTATAAACTATTTTCCTTAAGTACTTTAAAGTTACTGGGAGACACTTCTTCATAAAGGTGTATTTCATTCTAAAAGGAAAATTAAGAACATTTTGTATTCTGAAAGCTATAATGCGCTGTATTTTCCTATGAAGAATCCTCAAGACACAGCATTAGAATTCTAATGTAGTTCTACATTAGAACTACAAAGATAACTACATAGTTATCTAATGTAGAACTATGTAGATAGTTGTAACTGTTACAAACATATAGCTAAGTGTACTATGTAGATAGTTCTTCATTAGAACTATCTTTAACTAAAAAGCAGGGTACTGATAATTAACCAGTCACACACTATGGAGTAGCTCTACTAACAAGCGTGTCCTCTTACTGCATGTCCCTAGCTAGATCTGGATATTCCTTGTATGACCTATTTCATGCTTTCTCCTTCTTCCCTCTTCTCACTTTCCTTTTGCTCATTCATTTCCACCTTCCCCCTCCTAATATTCTTCTGCAAAGTCCTTTTCAAATTCTTCTGTGTTTCTTTTCTGGACTTATTTTCAATCAAACTACTGCTCTCACCTCTTTCTTTTCATGTTATTCATGCTCCCCCCACCCACCCCACAATAGCCCTGTCTCCTTTTTCTTTGTTTCAAATTACTGAGGACTTTATTTCTCCATGTGAATGGTTTAAACAGTCCACTCACTTGCCCTGCAGGCCCAGACCAAAATCACAGCTGACACCATTTCCAACACCGGCTAGTGCTTCCAGGCTGCGGCACTCCCACTTTAACTGTGGGAACTTGACAGACTCACCCTGTGGTCTTATGAAAGGGGCCTAGTGAACCAGAAGATGCCTCAGACTGAAAAAGGAAAAAAACAAATGAACCTGCCTCACTACAGGTGAGGCAGCAGTGAGAATGTGAGCTACAGCCTCCTCCACCCTTGTCTGACTCTTCCAATAGTCCACTGATGATGAGACAGGTGAGGATATAGGTTATCAAGATTTTATCTTCCCATCCCATCTGACTCCTCCTTAACCCTCAGTATGTCACCAAGGTCCGCCGCACCCAAATTTAGCTATCGTTTCTTTTTTGAAATCTTCTATTTTTAAGGACTGATACTTCATGGCTTTTAGTCTTTCTTAGAAACCTCCCAAAGGATAAAGGGAACATCTGGGCTTTTTTTAAAACAAAAAAAAAGAATATAACTCATTCTGTCTAGCAATTACCATATGAGTCCCTCAGACTGTTTTATAAATCTAAGACACTGTCACAAGCGGACTCTGCAGTGACCCCAGTGACCCTCGTCCTTCTGGTATTCACAGACTTCCACAACCTCTGCCCCTTGAGTGCAGGCAGACACAATGACTTGCTTCTAATGAACAGAATATGGCAAAGGTGATAGGCGTCATTTCCAGGATTATGTTATATTACACAGGACTCCATCTCATATAACATCTATAGTGTATAGTATAATATATGGTGTCTATAGACTTCCTAGCTGACTTTGAAGAAGTAAACAACTAAACCGAAAAGCCCATGTGACAAAGAGCTTAGAGCTGCATCCCAGAAAACAGCCAACAACAAGCCTGGGCTCTCAGTCCTACAGCCACAAGGAAATGACTTCCGCCAACAGTCTGGATAAGCTTGGGAGTGTATTCTTTACGAGTCAGGTCTCAAGATGATAGTGTAGTCCAGCTGACACCTCAGTGTATCCTTTTGAGAGCCCAGGTAGAGGGCTCAGTTAAGCCATGCCCAGTTTCCTAGCCCACAGAAAATAAGAGATAATAAATGTATCATTTTAAACCACTAAACTTGTGGTAATTTATTATGCATAAATAGATAAATAATACAGATATAGGATCTCAGTGAGCCTATTTTTTCTATATCTTAAAACTTTTTGCTATTTTATTGTCCTAAGAATTACTTTACAATTTTATAATTATTCATCAATCATTCCTAATCATGCTAAAAAAAACTAAATAAAATGGAAGAATGATAGAACCACCTGGAGGATGGTACATAGTGACATAAATCACCACTATTATATCATCTTTTAGTTTTCTTATTGTGTTTCTAAGACTACTGGCATCATCTTTCAGGATAGCATAAAAGAAGTTCAAAAACACTACTTTGTAGTCTTCTGTAACCTTTGCTGAAAACAACTGGGAATTCAGGATTTTTCCTTTTTGTACCCAAAATGGCAAAAAGAAGAAAAGTTACAGCAAAGACATCTGACAACTGTAGGACAAATCAGAAAATGAATGTAGAAAGCAGGTAGTATCACTATAGACTCTAATAATGGTGGTGAAATTGATCATAAAAGCAAAATCTCAGACTATGAGTCTTCAGATGACAATATCCTTGAAGAACTTTCTCTAATTCAGATGAGACTTCCAGTTCCAGACCAAGATGGAATAGACACACTTCTCTCTATGCATCCTGCTAAACACAATTATAAACCCAGATATTATAAATAAGAAGGCTGGGCACCATGGCTCACATCCATAATCCCAACACTTTGGAGGCTGAAGCGGGTGGATCACTTGAGCTCAGAAGTTCAAGACTAGCCTCGGCACCATGGGGAAACCCTGTCTCTACAAAAAATACAAAAATTAGCCAGGCGTGGTGGCAGACGCCTGTAGTCCCAGCTACTCGGGAGGCTGAGGTGGGAGGATGGCTTGAGCATAGGAGGCAGAGGTTGCAGTGAACTGAGTTTGTGCCAGTGCACTCCAGCCTGGGCAACACAGTGAGACCCTGTCTCAACAACCACCACAAAAAATAAAAAATAAGAAGACTTTGAAAGGTGGAAAGCAGAAGGCAGAAAGGGTAGAGTCACTGGGACCCAAGAAACAACACAGTAGTGAGTTCTCTGAATTTTCTTTCTGCCTCATATATCCTAGAATGGGAACTAGAAAAGTCGGCAACCTGAAAATACCAACAGGAGCACAAAAAAAAAAGGACCAAGAAAAGCCTGCTAACCCTATGCAAAGGACTCAGTAAAGGGCAACCCAGCAGGACAGAAAACGTCAGACAATCACCACTCTACTCCAGCCATATACCATGAAAACACATGGTCCCATCCCCACTCTATCAGCAATGGCCAGGCAGGGAGCCTAGACTTCCACCCTTGCCCAACTGTTACTAGGCCCCCTGACACCCATAATATGTGGATGGGGTCAGGAAAGACTGAGTGAGGGAGCTGGGACTTTCACCACCCTCCACCAGTAATGAGCCTCCTGGTGAGGTGTGAGTGGAGGCCACAGGAGAAGCAGTAGCAGGGTCCCTTCTCCCCTCTTAGCAAGTGTGGCATCAGCACAGGACTTACGGGAAACTGACCTCCCAACCCTGCACAGCTGGAAGGAGGAATCCCTCCCTGCTGGGTACTGATGGATGCTTTGGACTTTCATCCCATTCCCACCAGCATAATGAGGTGGCACAGCCCGTACCCTCCCAAAATGATGTCAGAAAAGGCCAGCTATGACAGACAATGTAAATAAAAGCCAGAGTCTTATAATAAACACCCAAAATGCCTTGGACACAACTGAAAATCACTCATAATATTGAGAACCAGGAAAATCTCAACATCAGTGAGAACAAACTATGAACAGATGCCAACACCAAGATGACGCAGATGTTGAAATTACCTTGTAAGGATTTTAAAGCAGCCATCATAAAAATGCTTCAATGGGTACATTAAACAAATTTTTAAAACTGAAACCCTAAGCAAAGAAATAGAAAATATAAATAAACAAATGGAAGTTTCAGAATATGAAATATAATAATTGAAACAAAAAAAACTTAATGGGTGAGCTCAAGAGCAGATGGAGAGAATCAGTGATCCTCAAGAAAGACAACAGCAATTGCCCAATCTAGTCAAAAGAGAGAATATAGACTAAGGAAAAAATTAACAGAGCCTCAGGGACGTTTGGAACTGTAACAAAAGATCTGAGATCTAACACTGCTATCATCAGCAACACAGAACATACAGAAAGAGGGCTATCATCAGCAACACAGAAGAACATAGAGAAGCAACATAGAGAAAGAGGGTGGGGTGGGAAAAGTACAGTCCTGCCCCATATATGTCCAGGGGTCTTGTAAGATTATAATGGAGGCTGGGCGCAGTGGCTCACACCTGTAATCCCAGCACTTTGGAAGGTTGAGGCAAGAGGATCGCTTGAGGCCAGAAGTTCAAGACCAGCCTGAGCAAATCAGTGAAACCCCATCTCTACAAAAAATACAAAAATTAGCTGGGTAACGTAGTCCCAGCTACTAGGGAGCTGAGGCGGGAGGATCACTGGAGCCTAGGAGGCTGATGGTAAAGTGAGCCATGCTCACACCACTGCACTCCAGCCTGGGCATCAGAGCAAGCTCTGTCTCAAAAAAAAAAAAGATTATAATAGAGCTGAAAAATTCCTATCGCCTAGTGACACTGTAGCCATTGTAACAGCATAACACAATGCATGACTCACATGGATGTGGTGATGTTGGTGTAAATAAACCTACTGCACTGCCAGTCATGTAACAGTCTAGCACATACAATTATGTACAGTACACACTTGATAATGACAATCAACTGTTACTGGTTTATGTATTTACTATACTATGCTTTTTATTGTTCTTTTAGAGTATACTCCTTCTGCTCATAGGAAAAAAAGTTACCTGGAAAACAGCCTCAGGTCCTTCAGAAGGTATCCTAGAAGGAGGCACTGTTCTCATGGGAGATGACAGCTTCATGTGTGTTACCGCCCCTGAAGGCCTTCCAGTGGGACAAGATGCGGAGGTGGAAGACTAGGAAACTGATGATCCTGACCCTCTGCAGGCCTAGGCTAATGTGTATGTCTCTTCCTTTTTAACAACAATGTTTAAAAAGTAAAAAAATAATAAATTTTAAATAGAAAAAGCTTATAGAATATGAATATAAAAAACAAAATATTTTATGTGGTTATACAATGTGTTTGTGTTTTAAACTTAGTGTTATTACAAAGGAGTCAGTTGAAATTTTTTTAAGTTAAAAAGTTACAATAAGCTAAGATTAATTATTAACATTTTTTGAGACAGGGTCTCGTTTTGTCACCCAGGCTAGAGTGCAGTGGCCTGATCAAGGCTCACCACAGCCTCAACCTTCTTGGCTCAAGTGATCATCTCACCTCAGCCTCCAGAGTAGCTGAAGTACAGGTACATGCCACTACACTCAGCTAATTTTTGTGGTTTTTTTCTTTTTTTGTAGAGACAGGGTCTCACTATATTGCCCAGGCTGGTCTTGAACTCCTGGGCTCAAGTGATCCTCCCGCCTCAGCCTCCCAAAGTGCTAGGATTCCATATGTGAGCCACTACCCCTAGCCAGGTTAATTTATTTTTGAAGAAAGAATAATATTTTTATAAACTGAGTATATCCTTAGTTCAGTATTTGTGAAGGCTATGGCAGTCTACAGTGGTGTACAGTAATGTCTTAGACCTTCACATTCACTCCCCACTCACTCACTGACTCATCCAGAGCAACTTCTACTCCTGCAAGCTCCATTCATGGTAAGTGCTCTCTACAGGTATACTGTTTCGCCTTTTATACGGTATTTTTACTTTATCTTTTCTATGTTTAAATATATTTAGATACACAAATACTTACCATTGTGTTATAATTGCCTATGGAATTCAGTACAGTAACATGCTATATAGGTTTGTAGCCTAGGAGCAGTACGTAGGTGTGTAGTGGGCTGTACCATCTAGGTTTGTGTAAGTATACCCTATGATGTTCACACAACAAAACCACCTAACGATGCATTTCTCAGAACACATCCCCATCATTTAGTGACACATGACTGTACTTGGAGAAATAATAGCTAGAATTTCCCAAATTTGGTAAAACACATAAACCTACATAAAGATTCAAGAAGCTGAGCAAAACCCAAACAGGATAAACCTGAAGAAACCCATGAAAAGAAACACCACAATTGAACGTTAGAAAACTAGAGACAAAGAAGAAATCTTGAAATCAACCAGAGGGAAAACACACATGACCTACTGGGGAAAAGATTTTGAATTACAGCAAATTTCTCATCAGAAACCATGGAGATCAGAAGGAAATGGCACATTTTTTAAGCACTAAAAGAAAAGAAAAAGAACTGTCAATCTCAAATACCATCTCTGGCAAAA
The DNA here is from genome assembly GCF_000001405.40 of Homo sapiens. Lineage (NCBI taxonomy): Eukaryota > Metazoa > Chordata > Mammalia > Primates > Hominidae > Homo > Homo sapiens. Next base: position 98,693,212 of record NC_000002.12, read on the forward strand.
CTATCTGTAAGGAATAAAGGGAAAATCAAGATATTCTTATAAAAAAGAAAACTGATGGAATTTGCCATCAGCAAACCTATCTGAAAAGAATGGCTAAAGGAAGTTCTTAAAAAAGAAAGGAAATGATAAAGGAAGGAATCTTGCAACATCAAAAGGGAAAAACTGAAAAAGAGAAAAAAATGCAAGGAGACATTCCTTTTCTCGAGTTTTCTAAATTATGTTTGATGGTTGAGGCAAAAAGGTAACATTGTCTGATGTGGTTCTCAATGTAAAAGAAATATTTAAAACAATTATAAACAGGCTAGGCAACAAAGCGAGACCCCATTTCTATAGACAAATTAAAGAATTAGCTGGGTGTGGTTGCACGCATCTGTGGTCCCACATACTTGCGGGGGCTCAGGTGGGAAAATTGCTTGAGCCTTAGAGGTTAAGGCTGTAGTGAGCTGTGACAGAGTGAGAGCTTCTCTCAAAAAAAAAAAAAAAAAGATCAACTGGGGAGGGCAAAGGACTTTAAAGGAAATAGTTTCATACTTCACTCAAACTGATAAAACGTCAACCCCTGTAGACCACGGTAAGTTATATATGTACACTGAAATACCTAGAGCAACCACTCAAATATCTATACAAAGGAATACACTCAAAAACACTACAGATGCATCAAAATGGAATTTTGAAAACTGTTTCAGGAACACACAAGAAGTCAGGAAAAAAAATTAAAACACTGAAGGAACAAACTACAAAGAAAAATAAAATGGTAGACTTGATTAAGCCTAACGTAACAATAATCACATTAAATGTAAATGGTCTAGAGCTCTTGTTCTCTCGATTCATCCTCCACCCTAGCCCCAGCTCCAGCCTGGCCCCAGCCCCAGCCCCAGCCACCCACCCACCATGGTGAAGGCAGAGCTGGCCCAGCAGGCTAAGCACTGTGACAACATGGCCACCTACACGAAGGCCATGACCAAGTGGGGCACCCAGCTGTCCAGCAAGGAGCGCAATCTGCTCTCAGTGGCCTACAAGTATGGGGTCAGGGACTACAGGTCCACCTGGAAGGACATTTTGGGCACTGAGCAGGAAACTGACACCTCCGACATGAAGCTGCTACTGATTAAGTACCATAGGGAGAAAGTGGAGTCTGAGCTGAGATCCACCTGTCCCATGGTCTTGGAATTTTTGGATACACCATGGTCTTGGAATTTTGGGATAAGTATTATATTCAATAGCCAATGCAACTAATCCAGAGAGAACCGTCTTCTATCTGAAAGTAAAGGGGGATTACTTCCAGTATCTTGCTGAAGTTGCATGTGGTAATGATCAAAAACAGAAGGTAGGTCAGGTACAGTGGCTCATGCCTATAATCCTAGCACTTTGGGAGGCCGAGGTGGGTGAATCACCTGAGGTCAGGAGTTCGAGGCCAGCCTGGCCAACATGGCAAAACCCCACATCTACCAAAAATACAAAAATTAGCTGGGTGTGGTGGTGCATACCTGTAATCCCAGCTACTCAGGAGGCTAAGGTAGGAGAATCACTTGAACCCAGAAGGCGGAGGTTGAGTGAGCTGAGATAGCACCACTGTACTCCAGCCTGGGTGACAGAGCGAGACTCCATCTCAAAATAAAAACAAAACAAAACAAACAAACAAAAAACACAGATGGTAGATAATTCCCAGGAGCTTACCAAGACACATTTGACAATTTGATAAGCAAGAGAGAGATGCAACCCCCCCCTTCCGATCTGCCTGGGGCTGGCTCTTAACTTTTCTATATTTTACTGTGAGATCCTTAACAACCCTGAGCTCACCTGCCCACTGGCTAAAATGGCTTTTTTTTTTTTTTTTTTTTTTGAGACAGAGTCTTGCTCTGTCTCCTAGGCTGGAGTGCTGTAGTGCAATCTCAGCTCACTGCAACCTCCGCCTCCTGGGTTCAAGTGATTCTTGTGCCTCAGCCTCCCGCGTAGCTGGACTACATGTGCTCACCATCATGCCAGGCTAATTTTTTGTATTTTTAGTAGAGACGAGGTTTCACCATGCTGGCCTGCCTGGTCTCTAAATCCTGGCCTCAAGTGATCCACCCGCCTTTGCCTCCCAAAGTGCTGGGATTACAGGCCTGAGCCACCGCACCCAGCCCTAAAACAGCCTTTGATGAAGCCACTGCAGAACCTGATACACTGAAGACTCAGACAGCCCCCTCATCATGCAGTTGCTGAGAGACAACCTAATAACACTGTGGACATCACACAGTGCAGGAAAAGAACGCAATGCAGCAGAAGGGGCTGAACACTAAATGCATGCAGGGTGTTATCCTTCTTCCCTTCAAGAAACCTTTTTACCATGTCCATTCCTTATTCCACTTGGATTTCCTGTAGCAAAGAAACCTATTTATGTGTATGGAACCAACTGTTTATAGTATTTCCACACTGCAGCTTTGAGAAAACCTGATTCCCTGATTTGTGTTTGTCTTGGCCTTCCTGGTGTGCAGTTACTGCTGTAGAAAAGTATTAACAGTTTCATTCCATATAAACAAAAGTAACTTGAAAAAACTTATGTAGAGGACATATTTGTATCTGGTATTTAATCTTAACCAGGTCTGCAAGTGACTGTGTTTTGTATTACTGTAAATATATGAAAATGTAGTTAATTACAATTTAAAGAGTGTTCCACAGAACTTCTTTTTTTTTTTTTTTTTTGAGACAGGATCTGGCTCTGTTGCCCAGGCTGGAGTCCAGTGGCACAATCTCAGCTCACTGCAACCTCCGCCTCCCAGGCTCAAGAGATTCTCCTCCCACCTCAGCCTCCCAAGTAGCTGGGATTACAGGCATGCACCACCATGCCTGCCTAATTTTTCTATTTTTTGTAGAGATGGGGGTCTCACTTTGTTGCCCAAGCTGGTCTCGAACTCCTGACCTCAGGTGATCTGCACAACTCAGCCTACCAAAGTGCTGGAATTACAGACAGGAGCCACCACACCCAGCCAACTTCCTAATTTCTACATTCCCTCCCTTGCTCTTTGAGATTTCCTTTCAGTAAGGAACTTTTCTATGCTCTTAATATATTCCTTTTTAGTAGGAACGCAGAAGTATTAGACTGAATGGAAAAGCACTTGCCATCTCTGGGCTGGAGGCCATAAATTTGAAATGCCTCTTATATCACATATTGTAGAGGTCATGTACGTCTGTGGCAACAGGCAGTTTTCCTATTCACTCTTCATTTGCTGCTGTCTAAGTTGACGTCTCTTCCCAATACAAATTCACTTACACCTCCTGCCTTTGCAGTTCTGGTATTCACTTTACTATGTAATAGAAGTAGCATGTTGCTGCCAGAATACAAGCATTGCTTTTGGCAAATTAAAGCGCATGTCATCTCTTAATACACTAGAAAGGGGAAATAAGTACCCAAGTCCAAGTCTAAAAGTTTAGTCCTTTTCCATGCAGATTTGTGCACATGTGACAGAGGGTATCCAGCCTGTCTAGTGATTGTTCTTTAGGGGTGGACCACTGTTATGTGCTGCTAATCACTGGCTGTAGTCCCAAAAGAGCCTTGTAAAAATGCTATCCCCTATGAAACAGCAGAGGAACACAAAATAAAATCTCATTTTATAAACCATTTACTATGGCTTTGTAACAACTGCATACCCATACATTAAGAAACGGGTGAATTTATTACTTTCTAAGGTTTATTGATATCTCCCTTTTATCTTATGTAAATTGTAGTAACAATGCCTATATTTCTGCATTGTGATCCACTTTTTTAGGGGTGCCTGGAAATGTACAGAATTGGACTGCATTTCTTAGAGTATTTTACTATAGATCAATTTCATGGGCCATCTCTTCCTCAGATGTAAATGATCTCTGGTGAAGTGTTACATGGAATAAAGTGGACATTTTAAAACTAAAAGTAATATAAATAGTCTAAATACACCAATTAAAAGAGAGACTAGATTTTAGAAGATGATCCCATTAAATGCCATATAAAAGGTTGGCACCCATGCCATGGAATCCTCCTCAGCAAGGTAACAAAGCAAACTACTCAAACACCCAGCAACTTGGATAGGCCTCATGGGCGTCACGCAGAATAAAAAATTCCAATCTCTCACACACTGTATGACTCCATTTATAATAACATTTCCAAAATGACAAAGTTATAGTGAAGGATAATAGACTAGGTTCCCAGGGGTTAGGGATGATGGGGGATGCAGGGGTTGGTGTGACTATCGACACCACAGGGGAGATCTTTGTGGTGATAGAATTGTTCTATAGTGGTGGTTACAAGAATCTAGACATGATAAAAGGACACAGAACTATCCACACTCATAATACCAATGTCAATTTCCTGATTTTGATATTGTACATTATATACACATAAGTTATCCCAAGAAGTAACTGTCAGGGAAAGATGGGTGAAGTTTGCACTGTATCTCTCTGTCTTTGCAGCTTCCTTTAGTTCTACAATTATTTTTAAATAGGTTTTTGAAAAAGCAAAGCAGAAAAGAACCAACGAACAAATAATTATTATTAAGGGCAAAAAGAAAATAGGGCATGTTCATCCAGTGGGTCATTCAACTGAAAGGACTTCACCACAACGTTTGTCAGAGGAGCCCAGAACACTGCCTTACTAAGAGGATGTGTAACAGTACTCTTTTGTCTACTGTGTATTCATACAACAAGATTAACTGGATGGGTTCATAAGAAGACAAATGCTAAAGGTTGATGTACACACAAAAGTGATTAGAAAGAGAGCGAATGTTAAAAAATTTTTCATTGACTTGATCATTCTAATTGCTGTTTATAAACCTAATAAAATGTTTTACAACTGAAAAGATGGCCATTCTCTTTTCAAAATTGTTAGCTGTCAGTTTTCAAAAACTGATATTTGCATTTGATGATTCAAGTGCAGAAGAACCAGAAGTAGTGATAAGCTGGCTGGGTGTGGTGGCTCATGCCTATAAAAAAATTCCAGCACTTTGGGAGGCTAAGAGAGGCAGATCATTTGAGGCCAAGAGTTTCAAGACCAGCCTGGCCAACACGGTGAAAACCCGTCTCTACTAAAAATACAGAAATTAGCCAGGTGTGGTGATGTGCACCTGTAATCCCAGCTACTTGGGAGGCTGAGGCAGAAAAAAATCACTTGAACCCAGGTGGCAGAGGTTGCAGTGAGCTGAGATTGCATCACTGCACTGCAGCCTGGGCAACAGAGCAAGACTCCGTCTCAAAAAATAAAATTAATTAAAAATAAATAAATATGCTCTGAAATCTCCTCACATTTGCTTACATTAATGCTCATTAATCCTCTCTTCTTTACACAGATCCCAGTATCAACGCTCCTTTTATTCATCTCCTGACCAGGAACACGAAACTGTTACCCATGCCTTTTCATTTTCCCCTTCATTATCCTCTGTACCTTACATTTCTAAATGGAAACCCTTCAATGACTACCTACTTAACTCTCCAACATGATCTCCTCACGTTGCCCAGGATCTTTCTTGCTTCAGTATTACCAAGCTGCTTGGAGTGCTCCAAGCCCACTTACTATGAGTTTCATTGCTCTACGTTCATGCTGTCTGCCTACCAGATCCACCTTCTCTTTCTTTACTGGAAAAAATTCCATGCATCCTTCAAAATACTCTTTCATTGTCTTCCTGTGAAGTTTTCTCTGACCTCTATCCTCTCTTTAGCTCCTTTTTATCTTGTTAACTACACTATTTTATATCAACACAAACTGTACTATAATTACATACTTATCTCTTTTTCCCTCCTCAGCTATGAGTTCCTTAACAGCAGGTTTGTCAGGAGTTCCTAAGACTATCCCCAGGTTCAGTGATTCACTTGAAGGACTCACAGGACTCACCATTGAGTTGCAGCACAGGGAAAAGACACACGGAGAGAAGTTTGGAAGAAACCAGGTATGCAGTGACTCAGGACACACTTCCTTCCCACAGTAGCGAGTGCTGACAACACGTGCAATGTGTTGTGTTGTCTACCACGAAAGCTCATTGGAGACTCAATGTCAAAGGCTATTACTGCGGGCTGGTCACATAGGCACCCGCTGCCTAGTACATACCAAAATTTCAGACTCCAATAAGGAAACCAGGTGTTCAGCATAACCACACAACTTGTACAAATAGTTTAGGCACACTGAGCCACTCTTCTCATATAGGGAAAGGTTATTATCAGGGTTTATCAGCCAAGTTCCCAGAGGCCAGCCGAGGACCAGCCTTTCAAGCCAGGCTTTCTGATAATTAGCAGTCTCAGATTTGCCATGTTAACTCTTTTCTGCACAGCAGGAATCATATTTTAGTCTTTTTTTTTTCCCCCTAAATGCCATTGCCTTACAGAATGCCAAGCAATAAGTAACAAGAGGCAAATCCTCTTAAACTAAAAAAATGTATTTAAAAATTGATCAATAATATGCATAAAATTTGTTATACCATTACTTATAAGATTAAGCTAATTATGGTAATTGTAAAATGGAATATTATGGACCCACTACAATTCATGGTATGGGAAACATTTGTGATATTAAGCAAAAAATGTACATTATACAATATGCACAGTATGAGGCCAATCCCATTTTTTGAGGGAGACACATATGTAGTACTGTGAGACAAATTAGCAAACATAGGAAGCCATGTTTGCCATTTCCGCTTGAACCCCGAGTATGTGACAAAATGCTCCCTGGAAGAATGTTTTGAAGACAAAATAGGGTAGAGCACATGGCCCACCACATCTCTTGCCTGAGTCACGATGTTTCTTATAGGATACGTGACCCGTCCTTGCCTTTTTCTGCACGTGAGATAACATCTGACGGGGTTAGTGAGTATGCTTCTGCAAGCTATAACCAGATATCCTCTCATACCCAAACCTCATGATTCCGCTTTTATGGAACTTTCTGAGCAAGTGCGATATGATTTTACCTGGAATGGTCCTGCACTACCTGCATATAAGCAGTGGCTGGAACACTGTGCAGGGGCCATCTCACAAGACCTCTCCAAAGGACCACTCCCAGGCTGCCAGCCTCGGGCTATAGTCCTTAGCAAGACTTCTGAGTAAAATTAACTTTAATTCTTTAAAAGCTTGATTTTTTCCTTTAGTTGACTATATATATAATATATACTATATATAATATATTCATATATACTATAAATACCATATGAGTATTTACTATATATGATATCATATTAGTATATACTCTATATTATATTAGTATATATTGCATTATCTGTCTATCTATCTATCTATAAGGTAGGTCTCAGAACCCCTTTACACTGTCTTCAAAATTAGACAACCCCAAAGACCTTTTGTTTATGTGAATTATATCAATCAACATTTACCATATTGCAAATCAAAACCAATTAACTTTTTAAAGATGTATTTAAAATTCATTTAAAAGTCTATTACATGTTGGCTGGGCGCGGTGGCTCATGCGTGTAATCCCAGCACTTTGGAAGGCCAAGGGAGGTGGATTACCTGAGGTCAGCAGTTTGAGACCAGCCTGGCTAACATGGCAAAACCCCATCTCTACTAAAAGTACAAAAATTAGCCAGCCGTGGTGGCGGGCACCTGTAATCCCAGCTACTCAGGAGGCTGAGGCAGGAGAATCGCTTGAACCCGGGAGGCGGAGGTTGCAGTGAGCCGAGATCGCGCCACTACACTCCAGTCTGGGGAACAAGAGTAAGACTCTGTCTCAAAAAAAAAAAAAAAACAATCTATTACATGTTAGCATAAATAATGCATTTTATTAAAAATAATTGTTTTCTTAAAAAAATTAGTGAAAAGAGTGACATTTGCTCACATCTCTTTAATTCAGCTGAATAGAATACAGCTGAGTTCTCATCTGCTTCTGCTATTTCTTATGAGAGTGGAAAAGGCTATTATAAAAATGGTCTTCACTTCATGAACCTCCTGAAAGGGTCTAGAGATCCCCACAGGTCCTTGGATCACATGCTCAGAACCACTAATCCAGAAAAAATGAAAGAAAATATACCAAAAATGTTTAACACTGCTCTAAAGATTTAGTTCATTGGTATTTTATTTAAGATTTCATCCTATTAGGTAAGGCTGATCTATTAGTCTCTTTTTTATGCTATTCTTGTCCACTACTGGTTTCAGAGTCCAGTGCAACTTTATCCACTGTATCCATTGCACAATGGGTCTAGAACTGGACAATTACTCACATCCCCAAAACCTGATTAGTAATGTTTCTGAAGCAGCACAAAAAAATCAGTTAATGTTCTGTAATAACCCAATGTTCTCAGTGTAGTCCCCTCTCATATGTCGGCCATGAATAATATCCTTTCAGAGTTAAGAATACCTCAAACAGATTCCAGACAACCTCTGAGCACAGCACATGTACTGCTTAAGAAGCTTTCCAACCTGGAAAAATTAGATTAGGAGTCTGTTTCAGGAAATGGATGCTAGCCAACTAAGCTGAACATAAAATAAAATAATACCATGCCAAGTGCAAGGTCTAAATCGGCAAACTTTAACATATCAGCAAGAAAGGCTGCTGACCAATTTGGCAGAGGCTAGGTCTA